>NC_000011.10:59070528-59373558 GCF_000001405.40 Homo sapiens | reverse complement strand
TAGCTTTGGTCTTTTCACATAGTCCCATATTTCTTGGAGTCTTTATTTGTTTCTTTTTACTCCTTTTTCTCTAAACTTCTCTTCTCACTTTATTTCATTAATTTAACCTTCAATCACTTTCTTCCACTTGATCGAGTTGGCTACTGAAGCTTGTGCATTCATCACATAGTTCTCGTGCCATGGTTTTCAGCTCCATCAGGTTATTTAAGGTCTTCTTGACACTGTTTATTCTAGTTAGCCATTCGTCTAATTATTTTTCAAAGTTTTTAGCTTCCTTGTGATGGGTTTGAACATCCTCCTTTAGCTCCGAGAAGTTTGTTATTACTGACCTTCTGAAGCCTACTTCTGTTAATTTGTCAAAGTCATTCTTTGTTCAGTTTTGTTCCATTGCTGTCGAGGAGCTGCGATTCTTTGGAGGAGAAGAGGCACTTTGGTTTTTATAATTTTCAGCTTTTCTGCTCTTCCCATCTCTCCTTTTCTTTCTTCCCATCTTTGTGGTTTTGCCTACCTTTGATCTTTGATGTTGGTGACCTACAGATGGGATTTTGTTGTGGATGTCCTTTTTGTTGATGTTGATGCTATTCCTTTCTGTTTGTTAATTTTCCTTCTAACAGTCAGGTCCCTCAGTTGCAGGTCTGCTGGGGTTTGCTAGAGGCCTACTCCAGACCCTGTTTGCCTGGGTATCAATGGTGGAAGCTGCAGAACAGCAAATATTGCAGAACAGCAAATATTGCTGCCTCATCTGTCCTCTGGAAGCTTTGTCCCAGAATGGCATCCGCCTGTTTGAGATGTCAGTCAGCTCCTACTGGGAGGTGTTTCCAAGTTAGGCTACACTGGGGTCAGGGACCCACTTGGGGAGGCAGTCTGTCTGTTCTTAGAGCTCAAGCGCCATGCTTGAAGAACCATTGCTCTCTTCAGAGCTGTCAGATAGGGACGTTTAAGTCTGCAGAAGTTTCTGCTGCCTTTTGTTCAGCTATGTCCTGCCCCCAGTGGTGGAGTCAACTGAGGCATCTGGCCTTGGTGAGCTGTGGTGGGCTCCACCCAGTTTGAGCTTCCCCAGCTGCTTTGTTTACGTACTCAAGCCTCAGCAATTGTGGACACCCCTCCCCCTGCCAGGCTGCTGCCTTGCAGGTCAATCTCAGACTGCTGCACTAGCAATGAGCAAGGCTCCTTGGGCATAGACCCACTAAGCCATGTGCAGGATATAATCTCCTGATGTGCCATTTGCTAAGACCATTGAAAAAGCACAGTGTTTAGCAGGGAGTGTCCCCTTTTTTCCAGGTACAGTCTGTCATGGCTTCCCTTGGCTAGGAAAGGGAAATCCCCTAACCCCTTGCACTTCTTAGGTGAGGCGATGCCCTACCCTGCGTTGGCTAGCCCTCCATGGGCTGCACCCACTGCCTAACCGTTCCCAATGAGATGAACCAGGTACCTCAGTTGGAAATGCAGAAATTACCCATCTTGTGTGTCGATCATGCTGGGAGCTGTAGACCAGAGCTGTTCCTGTTCAGCCATCTTGGAACAGAAGTCCACCATGCTTTTTTATTCCCTGGAGTTCAATCATCTTTTCTGTTTGGCCAGAACAAGGCATGTAGGCCAGAGGTAGATCATAGGGACAGAGGCTGGAGAATGGCAGTAATATTCATTTATGCCTTCTTTAGAAAGCGATTGCAAGAAACACATTCACCCATCCAAACTCAAAGAATGGAGTTGTAGACAAAAAGAACAGTGGAGGCAAGACTTTTAATGTCAGTCTTGCAAGATTGGGTGTCTGGTAGGCAAGCACACCCAGGGCAGTTACCAGTATTACTCTTTAATATGTTGCTCAAATTCTTTCCTTTATGACTTCATACCTTTATCTGTTGCCTATCCTATAATTTTTTCCAAATTTGTCCCTGGACCTTCCCTCAAGATGGGCTTAGCTAGACTACATGTGGCCTTGCCTTGTATTATAATTCATTTTACATCCTTTATTTGTAAGTTGTTGTTGTTGTTGTTTTCTCTGTTATTATAATGTCTCTGGCATAGGGAGGAGTCCTGGAAGCTGGAGCATAGATGCAGGTTAGCCTTAGCTGTACCGTAACTCCTTCTGCACAAATTGTGCTTTCAGCTTTGGTGGTAACAAATTTAAACATTCTGCAGTTTTCCAATCCTTATTTTGTCTTTTTTTTTCCCTAAGGTGGTGACCTATAGAGGTTCCTCTGAATTCCTCACCTTCACATATTCTGTTTCTTCTAACTTGCCATAACACAATCTTTCTCTCCAAATCAGTGAACATTTTTGCACTCATACTATGTTTTTGAGTACTGATTAAATAATTATGACCCAGCTACTCTATGTAATATTAAGCAGGGACACTATGCAAACATTAAAAATGTTTATCTTTATGTGCTGACCTGGAAGGCTATCTTTAGTGGAAAAAAAAAAACCAAGTTGCCAAATAGCATATTCAGAGAAAGTCTAGTCTTACCTTTGTTTAAAAGAAAAAGGAATACTCCACATACACACAAATATTAAAGCAAAAGAACCCAATTGTGTGTAGATAACACATGGACATGTGAAAAGAAAAAGCCTACAAGATAACAGCCTAGAGCTATCACAGAGGTTATCTCATGGTCCTTCTTGTGAATCCAAATGATGTAAAGCTTTGATCAAAAAAGATGTATATATACAGAATATTTTTCCAACAATTTTAAGGAGTTCAGGAACTCCTCTGATGTATCCTATTGGTTTTGTCTCTCTGGAGAACTCTGACTAACACGTTCATTCACTTGTCTTCACTGTGTTGCTGCAGCTCCTTAACTGGACTGCAGAGCCTTCCTATAGCAATTTTCATGCACAGATAGCTGTCCAGTTGTTTTCTGTGGGTGATGAGGGCTGAGATCCCTGACTCCCCATCTTGCTTATGTCACTTATATAGCTTCTGAATACATTGATATTTGTAAGGGCAAGAATATCTTGGATATACTTTGCTCTTTTCTGTATTAATTTCATAATCAACTTTTAGTTTCCACAAGCATGTTGTGATTTTGATTGGTATTTCACATAATTCATACATTAATTGGTTAGAATAGAAATTTTTACAATTTTGATTCTTTCAGTCTGTGACATTTGGCAGCAACAGTAACAAATCAGCCATGGAAGTTTCTCCTTCCCTTTATTTTGAGCCTGTGTGTGTCTTACATGTGAGACGGGTCTCTTGAAGACAGCATACCATTGGGTCTTCCTTTTTTATCCTGCTTGCCACTCTGTGCCTTTTTAGTGGGGCATTTAGCCCATTTACATTCAAGGTTAATACTGATATGTGTGCATTTGATTCTGTCATTGTGCTGTCAGCTGGTTATTATGTTTACTTGTTTGTGTGGTTGCTTCATAGTGACATTGGTTTCTGTGTTTAACTGTGTTTTTGTATTAGCTGGTAGCAGTTTTTCCTTTCTATATTTACTGCTCCTTTCAAGATCTCTTGTAAGGCAGGTCTGGTGGTAATGAAGTCCCTCAACATTTGCTTATCTGAGAAGGATTGTATTATTCCTTCACTTAGGAGCTTAGTTTGGCTAGATATGAAATTCTTGGTTGAAGACTATTTTCTTTAAGGATGTGGAAGACAAAACCCCAAACTCTTCTGGCTTGTAGGGTACCAGTGGAGAGGTCTGCTGTTAGCCTGACGGGGATCCCTTTGTAGATGACTCACCCTTTCCTTATAGCTGCCTTTAACATTCTTTTATTTTGACCTTGGAAAACATAATGATTATGTGTCTTGGTGATTATCTTCTTGTGTAGAATCTTGAAGGACTTCTCTGTATTTACTGAATTTGACTGTTGTCCTCTCTAGCAAGGTTGGGGATATTTTCATGGACAATATTCTGAAATATATTTTCCAAGTTGTTTTCTTCCTTCCCCTCCCTTTCAGTGATGTCAATTACTTGTAGATTTGGCCTGTTTACATAACCCATACTTCTTGGAGGCTTTGTTTATTTCTTTTTTTTTCTTTATTTGTGTCTGACTGTCTTATTTCAGAGAACCAGCATCAAGTTCTGAGATTGTTTCCTCAGCTTGGTTTATTCTGCTCTTAATACTTTTGATTGCATTGTGGAATTCTTGTATTGCGCTATTCAGCTCTGTCAGACCCACTAAGTGCTTTTTTATACTGGCTATTTTTCTTTCAGCTTCTGTGTCACTTTATTGTGATTCTTATTTTTCTTGGATTGGATTTTGCCATCCTCCTGAATTTCCATGATCTTTTTTTTTCTATCCATATTCTGAATTCTATTTCTGTCATTCTAGCCAGTTTGGCCTGGTTAAGGACCTTTGCTGGAGAACTGGTGTGATCATTTGGAGGACATATGATATTTTGGCCATTTGAGTTACCAGAGTTCTTACATTGTTTTTTTTTTCTCATCTCTGCATGTGGGTGTTTCTTTAACTGCAGAGTAGTTTGAGTATAGTCAATCAACTTATTTTCTGGATGTTTTCACTGGGCCAAGGCTTTGTGTAGGGTCTGTGTTTGATGCTCACTTCTTATCTCTTGTTTCAGAGGGGGATATATTAGTGAGATATTTTTGGTGTTGAAGTTTTGAGGTGTGATTCAGTAGGTGATACCTAGGCTTACAGGACAGCTGGAAGACTCTTGTTCTGTTGTGTGGCTCCCCTATGTTTCCTCACATTTGCAGCTGTGTTCCCTCTCAGTGCTCAGAACGTGTGGTTTCCTCTCCCCCTGAGTGCTGCCTGTAGTTCCTGATTCAGCACTCCTGGGCTGCCTGCTGCAGCTCTGGGGAGATCTTTGTGTTTACGTTCCTTCCCCAGCTTAGAGACAGCAGTGGAAGAGATCTTCGTAATGGTTGTGGCTAAGGGTCATTTGTTTGACTCCTGGGGGCTCCACCCCAGAGAGATGCAGGTCAGCAATCGCTCAGTGCAGCCAGCCCAAGATAGAGGGTATGTGTTGTGGGCCCAAGCCAGGGGTTCTTTGTCTGGTGATGAGTGGTGGGGGGTGTGTGGGACCCGTGGGAGACAGACCAGCCTCTTCTCCTTGGGTTGACTACAGATTATTAGAGGTGTGGATAAAGCACTTAGTGTCTTTGCTCATTCATTAGTTGGAGCGTGTCAAGGGCAGTTCCACTGCAGAGGCAGTGGCATAGAAACTTTCTGTTGACCTCGGAAGCTCTGTCTAGGGAGTTGGTGATTTGATACTGGCTTGATAGTTCTGGCTGGTGGTGGCTGGAAGCCCAGGCCTGAAGATCTTCCTGGTGAGAAGATATGGGAATGGAAACCCACGAAACACTCTGGCCACTTTTCCATAGGGCTGCTGTTTTATGCTTGGGGGCTGCTCCAGTACCTGGTCACCTCAGATTTCCCAGAACCTGGAGGTGTCACCAGTGAAGGCTGTGAAACAGCAAAGACAGTGGCTTGTCCCTTCCTCTGAGAGCTTTGTCCCAGGGAGGTATGCAGTTTTGGTGGCCCAAAGCAGCTGTAGGAAGTGGCTGGAGAGCCTAGTTGAGAGGTTCCACCCAGTGAGGAGGAACAGGATTAGGAACCACTTGAAAAAGCAGTCTGGCCACGTTTTGGTAGAACAGCTGTGCTGTGTTGGGGGTCTACTTCAGTCCTCAGTCGTCTCAGATACTTCAAAGCCCAAAGGCTGGAGTTGCTAAGTCATTAAAACAGCAAAGATGGTAACCCACTTCTCCCTCTGTGAGTGCCATCTCAGGGATAATTCAAATCTTTGTCACCTGGAGAGCTTGGTGGGGGTGGCTGCAGGCCCCAGTTGGGAGGTCCTGCCCAGTGAAGAGGAATGGGATTGGACACCCACCTAAAGCATAGTCTGGCTATGTTTGGGTAGAGCAGCTGTGTTGTGCTAGGCTGGGGGTTCTCTTCCACCCTGGGTCAGCTCAGATTCTTCAAAGCCCAAAGGCCGGAACAGCTAAGGCATCTGAACAGCAAAGATGACAGCCCAGCTCTTCCCTTTGAGCTCCTTCTTAGGGAGGTACAATGCCACTACTGGTAGCTGTCTGGAATTCCAAGCCAGTGGATCTTATCTTGTGAGGTGGCATGGAAGTGGGGCCTGTGGGTTGTTGCTGTTAACACCCCTGGATTCAGCCTCTTTCCTAGGGTTATATACAGGAGTCTAACCTCCAACTTTGCTGGGGCTGCAGCTACTTTTACCAGAAAACCCAAGTATCTAAGCCTTCGAGGACTCCATGCTGGCCTGAGTGGCTGCTCTGCCAAGACTCCACATAGCTCTGTGTATTAGACTGAAGACTGAAAGCCCTGGTGGAGTGGGTTCACAAGGAGATCTCCTGACTTGAGGGTTGCAAAGACCTAATGCTCACCCCTTCTGTTCCTTTCCATGACAGCCACACACACTAGCTGCTTCTGGTCAGCCATCTTGCCCACTCCTCCACTTCTCCTCTAGTTTTCTTAAGGTTTGAATTGGCATTCTTTTTTCAATTTTTTTCTGATTCACAGCTTTGTTACTTTATTGTATTTCTTTTCAAAAGATTGTTACTTCTGATTTTAGCTTTGGCTACATCTCATAAATATTGCTTTATTTTATTCATATGTACCTTGTATATTAATAAGCAATTTGGCACCTTATACATTAAGGGGTATTGAAGAAGGGAGGAGGCTTTGATATCTGCAATGTTAGTTTGGATTCCCACCCCTTCACTTACTAGCTGTGTTTCTGAATTTCTCTGGCCTAAGTTTATTCATCTGTGAAGTTGGTATAACAGTAAAACTTAGCTCAACTGAAACCATTTAAATTCTTTGAACATAGAAAGCACTTAATAAATAATAATACATGATTCACGTATAGCGTTTATTATATGCTGGGGTCCCTATTCTGAGTTTTGAATAAGTATCAGCTCAATAATCCTAAACAACTCCAAAATAGATATATAATATCTCAATTTTACAAATGAGAAAACTGAGGCACAAAAGATTGTGTGGCTTGCCCAGCATCACACACCTTGGGGGTGGCAGAGCCTGAATTTTACGCCAGGCAGTTTGGACAAGGAGAAAATTTTTAATTTTAAATTATGAAGTATATTGGTTAACTACTGCTGTATAACAAACTGCAAAATCCAGTGCTGACTGCAACATTCATTTATTATCACTCACATATCCTCAGATCATCTGGAGATCAGCTGGGACTGGCTGATGTAGAGTAGGCTTAAATGCATGACTTCTCTGAACATGACTGCAGGTTAGCTTGTCTAGGTTGAGCTTGACTGAAATATATTTGACCCATGTTTCTTTCATCCTCTCCTGGATTCAATAGTTACCCAGTCAAACAAGAGTAAATTTTCTAAATTTAATGGGGGAGAAAAAGAAAGTTTGAGTCCCACAGTATCAGATGTTGCTATTGGCTGTGAACTTTGAATATCATCTCCATTATAATTTCCCACTAGACTCTAGATACAAGAAATCAAATCATCAGACTCATAAGTAAATATGATTGCAGGAACCATATCCTTGTTTCTATCCCACTTCATGATTAAAATCACCTCCTTCTTTCTTATGCTACAGCTGGTGTAGGCAAGGAAATTGCCAAAAATGTATTAGATGATTAGCTGAGAGAGGTCTTAGGCAAACTGCAGCTATCTCATGTTGCTCTTTCTTAAAGACACAACCAGGCCAATATATTGCTTTTTTTTCCCTTTCCAATGGCAGAACCCCTCTGTCTGTTTATTCTTTCCCATCCAGAAACACAGAATAAACAATGGTTACCACCATGTCTTTATTATGCTGTATCAGCATATATGGGAGATGATGTTTCTGAACTCCTGGGGGTCTGTGCCAGGCCTCATTTCTGTAGTGGCAAAGTCCTAACATTGAGCCATCTTTGATCTGAGAAGCCACAGGAAACAAAAGATTTCTAAATCTTGTTGTTTCACAAATAATTTTGGACAAATTCATAAATGATGAGGCCACATTATTTATCCTGATGTAGGATAAAAATAATGAACCTCCAGGACCTAAAGATCCTGATGTCTGTGGCATTGAGTCATCTGTTGGTCCATATTGGCATATTTTGTGCATCAAATCAAGCCTTCTTTGTCCAAAGGCAGTAGGCAGCATGAATTTTGTTATAGTCCATTCATTATCATATTTTGTGGGTTAGGGAGATTCTGATGGGCCATATCTGGCAGAAATCTCAGAATCTGTAAACTCAGCAGCACTTTCTCTTTTGCAACCTCTTTAAGGCATCTTTAATTTCTTTGTTCCTCAAACTGTAAATCAAGGGATTTAACATGGGAATGACCACAGTGTAGAAAACAGATGCAAATCTGTCAAAGCTTGAAGAACCTCCAGAGCTGGAACTCAAATAGACAAAGATTCCTGATGTATAGAAGAGGGAAACAGCTGTTAGATGAGAAGCACAGGTGTTGAATGCCTTGGACCTGCCTTTAGCTGAAGTGATCTTCATGATGGAGATGCCAATATAGCCATAGGATATCATGATAACTAGGGCACTTGCTATCCCAAAGAACATGGTTAATATAGCAGTCATGACCTGTACAAAGAAAGTGTCAGTACAGGACAAGATTAACAGTTGGGGCATGTCACAGAAGAAATGTCTGATGACATTAGACCCACAGAAGTGGAGTTGAAGCAAAGCACCAATTTGGAATAAAGAAGCAGTGAGGCCAGTCATGTAGGCTCCCAGTACCATCCAAACACAGAGGGTGGGTGACATGATGGATGAATAGAGCAGGGGGTTACAAATGGCAGCATAACGATCATAAGCCATGGCTGTCATGAGACAAGACTCACTCAGTCCCATCGTTGAAAAGATAAAGTACTGAATAATACAACCAACAAAAGTGATAGTTTGCTGTTCCTGTAAGAGGTTGGAGAGCATCTTGGGGACTGTGGAGCTGATATAGCAGACATCTATGAAGGACAGGTTACTGAGGAAGAAATACATGGGTGTATGGAGGTGGGAATCCATCCTTATTAAAACAATGAGGGAGAGGTTCCAGGCCAGAGATGTAATGTAGATCACCAGGAATATAGTGAAGAGCACTTTTATGATCCTGGGAAAATCTGAGAATCCCAGCAGGATGAAATAGGTGATTTCTGTAATATTTCCTCCCCCAGTCATTGGCTCAGTGCTCCTAATATCAGAAAGGAGACAAGAGAATGGATTGCTAACTCAGTTGAAGTGATAACATTACCGTCTTCATATGTGTACATCTTTTCTTCCAACAAGCACTGGAAATGGACAAATGTTTCACTCTTCTGATGGAAAGACCCCAGCCTTTCTTGAATTGTCAGCATGTACCTGCACAATGCTTCAGGTTCTTGATTAATTCATGGAGTATCATGAGAATTAAAAATATATTTTAAAAGTTGACTGGTAATTTTTAAAAAATATGCTATAGAAATGCTGAGAGTATTACGTATAAGGTAAAGATCACTAATTAAGATAATAGTTTTTCTTCAAAAAGACCTCTGGTGATTCATTATATAACTGTTGCTTTAAAATTATGAAAGCTTAGGCTGGGCGTAGTGGCTCATGCCTGTAATCCTAGCACCTGGGGAGGCTGAGGTGGGTGGATCACCTGAGATCAGGAGTTTGAGACCAGCCTGGCCAAAATGGCAAAACCCCATCTCTACTAAAAATACAAAAATTAGCTGGGCGTGGTTGCACAGACCTGTAATCCCAGTTACTCCTGAGGCTGAGGCAGGAGAATCACTTGAACCCAGGAGGCAGAGGTTGCAGTGAGGTGAGATCATGCTGCTGCTCTCCAGCCTAGGCAACAGAGTGAGACTCTGTTTCAACAACAACAACAAAAATTATGAAAGTTTAAATGGCATCCTTCCAAAATATATTTGATGGACAACAGTCCTGCCCTGGATTGTTATCTAAGTAGATTTAAAATACTTTTTATTTTACCCTTTAGAAAAATTGCTTTCCCTGTTTATAATAACTTCTCCTATTTTAATAAAAATGTATTTAATATAACATATCCAAACTGGCCTTAACAATAATATCATAAATTCTGATAATATTTTGAGGCAGACAGAGCGTGGGTGTCCAATAAAGTTTTGGAATAAGTTTTCTCAGGGAAGCCTTAATACAAAGCATTCCAGAAGGAGGCTAGTGCAGCTCACTCTTGGCCCCAACTATTGTCTCAATTTTAGAGTATCTGGGAAACAGCATAGTAATGTGGCTAAGGGTTCAGACTTTGGAGTTTATTTCCAATACCTTCTTCTTCTATTAACTTGTACCAGTGACATAAAAACATTAAGCTTAATTTACTACTAATAATGTAAGGACAATAAAAGCTTCTAACTTCCCAGGTTACTGGGAAGGCTGTAAGTGAAAATTCATGCAAAAACTTAGCACACATTTACGTATACAGCAATTGTTCAACAGAGAATGGCTATTGTTATCATGGACTGCTTACAGATAATCATGAGTGACAGGTATACCTGTGGGTAGGAATGTGAAAAGTAATATTTTCATGGGTTAATTTGAGGAAATTCATGAGACAACATCAGCCCTATAGACAGCCAGGCCTCATTGCCTCCAGGCAGGTGTAGATTGAGACCTAGTGTCCATGCCAGTCAAGCCACCTAGAGCCATAATGATATAAGCCATTTTTTCTTCAGTTTGCTTGACTTTGGGTACACTAGGTCAGTGGAAAACCAGCATCAAATTATGATGGATCTTGAACTAGGAAAAAGGTCAAAGTAAATATTTCAATTCTCTAATAATACAGAGGTATATCTTTTTATTTTTTGGTAGATTCAATCAGCAAGTCAGAGCTTACCAACAGACTTATAGTATTAGGTTGGTGTAAAAGTAATTGCAGCAACCAAAGGTATGCATAGATAGTGTACATTCACTCTGCTCCATACTCAGACTGTCCTTTCTTGAGATCAAAGAGCAAACCAATGATAGATAATAGCCAAGACAATTTTGAAAAAGATGAATAATTAGAAAGGATTTTAACTTTCAGATATTAAAAAGTATTTTGAACATTGATAATTCATTATTCTTATAATAATAGACATGCCAAAAGAACAAATAAAAATTTCATAAATAAATGTGTGTTGGTAAGAATTTTATATATGAAAAAGTATTTTTGGTTGACAGTGAAAGAACAAACTCTTCTATAAATGGTCTGTGAGACCTGCCTCACTATGGGTAAAAGAGTATTTGAGGAATAAATAGATGTGTATTTATATAATCTTGGGATGGAAGTGATATTCCTGAAAAATAACACTAAAACAGAAATTATAAGAGAAAAAATATGGCAAAGCAATTTAAAACTTGGTTACGGCAGAAAAACTCTTACATAAAGCATATTTGAAAGACAGTTGATGAATGGGGGAAAATAGTGATAAGACAGAAAAAGACAATATAATTATTACCTTAATATATAAGATATTGCATAAATCAGTAAGGAATGGGCACTCATATGACCACTGATGAGTGCACAAGGTAATTCTACTTTTCTGGAGAAAAATTATGTGCTTTTTATAAACTCTTTTGCATGCATGAGCTCTCTCTCCAATCCCCCGCTCTCTTCTCTCTCTCTGTCACACACACACACACACACACACACAAACACACACACACTCCTTACAAACCATTTATAATGTCAAACATTAAAATTAATGGATGGTATCATTTTGATTTTCTTCTTTATACTTATCTGTATTCTCTTGTTTTCCTACAGCTTCTGCATTTATGATAAAAATATTATTAAATGTAAAAATCATTAATAGGGTGGAGAAAGGGGGAGAAGAAGGAAGAGAGAGAGAGGACAGAGAAAAAGGGGGAGAAAGAGATAGAATGTGAGAGAGTAGACTTTCCTGAATCTTACTTGCAGGCTGTGCGATGTTTAGCACATGATTAACTTCTCTTTACCTCAGTTGCTTCATCTATATGTGAAGCTGATAATCATTAAACCTCAAAGCGTTGTTGCAAGGATGGAAATGACATAAAGGGCTTAAAACAATAAGGCCTCAGCCAGACGCGGTGGCTCAGACCTATAATCCCAGCACTATGGGAGGCCGAGGCAGGTGGATTGCCTGAGGTCAGGAGTTTGAGACCAGTCTGGCTAACATGGTAAAGCTCCTCCTCTTTGAAAAATACAAAAATTAGCCAGGCTTTGTGGCGCACGCCTGTAGTCCCACCTACTTGGGAGGCTGAGAAGGGGAATTGCTTGAACCTGGGAAGCAGAGGTTGCAGTGAACCGAGATTGTGCCACTGCACTCCAGCCTGGGCAACAGAGCGAGACTCCTCAAAACAAAAAACAAAAACACTAAGGCCTCAAAAAATGTTAGCAATGATCATTCCCATCATCACTTCTCTCTTAAAGGGGAATAAAGGAAGAACTAGTACTGAAGTATCAAGGACCTCTTAATAAAATTATTTATGATTTCTAAACCAGACTAAAGATATTGTTGACAAATGATTGTACTTCTTTCTATCTTGTAGTATTGTGTTATCTCCCACACAGCTGAATTGTCAACTCCTGATGCTGCTTTTTGTTCCAGTACCACCAAGTACCCTCAAGCTGAGAAAGCTGACTATACAGAGCACACCTATAAGTAGAGACGTTTGGTTACTTAATGCTAAGCATTGTATATACTAATATTTGCAGAACTCAACAAGTTTGTGTCTAACACATTAATAAATGGTTCTTTCACTCAGGCTTGGATGTCAAACTAAGAAAATCTTATTTTTATTTCCATTATGGTTTTGTTAACTTGGAAATCTTTCTGTTTACTCTTAGAATAGCCATAAAAAGGAATGAGATCATGTCCTTTGCAGGGACATGGATGGAGCTGGAAGCCATCATCCTCAGCAAACGAATGCAGAGTCATTATCCTCAGCAAATTAGTGCAGGAACAGAAAACCAAACACTATATCTTCTCACTTACAAGTGGGAGCTGAACTATGAGGACACATGGATACAGTGAGAGGAGTAACACACACTGGGGCCTGTCAGGGGGTGGAGTGAGGGGAGGGAGAGCATTAGGAAAAATAGCTAATGCATGCTGGGCTTAATACTTAGGTGATGGGTTGATAGGCGCAGAAAACCACCATGAAACACATTTACCTATGTAGCAAACCTGAACATCATGCACAAGTACCCCAGAACTTAAAATAAAAATAAAAATGAAAAAAAGATTCAAAAATAAAAAAACCCTCTAATACAATATCTCAGATATGTTATCCAAGGTGAGTTAGATTTAATGGAAATATTTTTAAAATATAAGCTCTCACAGATAACATCCCCCAAACATGAATATAACTGGTCAATTCAGTGACAATAAGTCAAATTGTTGATCAATTGGTTGCACTGAAACTCTTTACTTTTTTATTACATTCTGGTGACACAGGCAGACATAATTAAATGTACTCTATGTAATCTACCATTTCCAGTAAAGAACAAGGAGTTGTGGATTGCTTTTCTTATTCATGATAAAATTTATCCTGAAAACTTACCTTGTTGACATTTGATAAGCTAGAGAAAAAGAGAAAAAACTCTGGATACATTCACTCTCTTTGATTAATTCCTTGCATATGTTCACCATCTCCTGAGACAATTCGCATAGGAAAAGATAATTGATGTAAAGATAGGTTAAAGATTTTACTAGATGAATATAGGTGATCAAAATCCTATCCAGTGCTAATCTAATAAGGACATGGTCAGTTTGCAAAGTTGTGCAGGGTACAAAATCAGGTAAACCCAGAAACGTTGCTCAATAAAGAACAATATATGTACAAGAAGATTACAAAGAATATTTAAAGCAACACTTCTTGTGCTTGGAGTGGGTATCTCTGATATCTGTGTTGCCCAGGACAGTGTCTTCAGATCCCAGGGTCTCCAAAAATTACAACAGAGAGCAATTTGAAGTATTTCAGAAGTTCTAACAGCCTTATATAGGAGTACTCCGTCATATCATTAAGACTCAGTGTGTCTCTTGCTATTCAGAGATCATAAATCAAAGCTATGTATTTAAACAGAATCAAGTTAATTATTAGCATTTTGAAAACAGAATCCTGAAGAGCAAAAATTAAATTAAAAGGGTCCTTGGGGTGGAGAAAACTGGGAAACATACCCAAGCAGGTTTTGATCTGAGGAAATTCCTCTGAAACTCAGTAAATTACTATTTTTGATGCATTTTTCAGGCTTTATAGACAACATATATTTGACTGTAGTTTATCCCAACATCCCCATTTTACAGGTGAAAAAGAAGAAGATAGCAGTGTTCAAGGTCACATCCTTAAGAATTCAATACCCATCCCTCACTCCAGAATAATACCTGAAATTTTATGTTTGAGGTTTTTCTTTTTACAGAAGGTTGAGTAAGGAGTAAGAGAATCCAACGAAGAGCTTTAGGTACAGAATGTGGAAGTGAGGAAGTGGGAAGAGTTGAAGAATGAGAGAGACTGAGGACCATAAACTCTGTTCCATGTGTATCCTTACTGGAAGAATTACATGGATATTGAGACGGTACAGAATCCACTGTTCTAAGTCTTGTCCTGTGACCTTTACCCAGGTCCTCCAAGAAGACAGGGTTCTTGCCAAAGGTTGAAATTGCTTATTTCTTTTCCAATGGAATTTTTCAGGTGGGCGTATCACACTCCAAGATGGGCATGTTTGACCACAAAATTGGCTGTCCACTCACAGCAAGAGAGATGGCCTCAAGTGGGGATCATTTTAAATGTGTCTCTGAGAGCAGAGATGAAAGGAGAAAAGCCAATTAGAGAGAGAAAGCATGCCAGGTACTTGCTCTCTGGTGCCATGGTTGTCATGGAGTTTTTGTCCCTGCTGATCTCACGCCCCACTTTGCTATGTGGGTCAATTCCCTATTTCCCTATCGTCTTATCATGATGTCAGGATTGCAACTTTTTACAAAACTTGAAGTCATTGGAGTTGGAAAGAAGATAGGGACCATCTAGTCCAAAACTCTCAATTTCTGGGTGAAAAATCTGAGACCAGAGTGCTGAAGAGTTTGCCCAAGATGACGCCCTAGCCAGTAATATAGCTTGATAGCAATAAATTTGATATGTGCATGCTTCTCTGCTTACAAAACACTTTCATTCTAGGCAATTACATACATATTTCCTCAAATACCTGACTTGAGTCAATTATCACAGCAGTCCTGCAAGGCAGACATGGCATTATTTCCCATGCATAAGTGAGGAAATTGAGGCACTAAGGAATACAATAAGATTAATTCATAACAAAGCCATGGCTTCTCATGGTTATGACTGTGGGTATTGATATCATACAATTTGGGTTGAATTTTGGCTGGCCACTTGCTACTTGTGTGACCTTGAGCAAATTAACCTCTCTAAGCCTCAGTGTTTTCACCTGTAAAATGGGGCTAACAGTAATAGCTACTTCACAGGGTAGGTTTTCATTGAGAATTAAATTGGATAAAGACTATAAAGCACTTATCAGAGTATGTAGTATAAATCATGCTTTCTGTTTAATAGTAGATATAACTTACATGTTTTGATTTGGAGATCTTTCCAACATATTATGCTGTATTTCTATCCTTTGTTAAAATTCTTCATTAAAAATATCTACTTATGGTCATTTCTACAAACATTTTGGGTTTATTTGGGGGTGGGGAGAGGAAGCTCATTTATCTTTGCAGTTGCAAGGGATATAGAAATGTTTTGGACAAGGTCCCATTCTCAGTTTGATCTACCTCAGCAAATCTTACTTAAAGGAAGAAATGGATGGGTGGTGGCAATAAGTTAATGATCTAACTCTTGTTAATGAATGAGTACTGATATGTTTTCCTCCCATAAGGACTATAAGAATACAATCCCTTAAACTGAATAGCTTTTTTAAAAAAATAAATTTTATTGTATATAATCAAAGTGTACAACATGATGTTATAACATACATATCGACAGTAAAGTGGTTACTATAGTGAAGCAAATTAACATATCCATCATTGCACATAGTTACCCAGTTTGTGTGTGTGTGTGTGGCAAGGGCAGCTAAAGTCTCATTTAGCAAAAACCCTAAGTACAATAGTATTAACTATAGATTTCACTTATATGTGGAATCTTAAAATAAATAGCTTCTTAAGATTTGCTGTTATTTTTAAGAATAACACCAAAAGTATGGAGTTTAGGCACAGTGGCTAACCAATAGTGGGATTATTTTGGACCAATAAGAACTATTATATTCCATAACTCACACTTTGTGAGGTTTGAGATATATTGTTACCTACAATGAGAAGAGGATGACAGGCCTCAGTATACCTAAATATTCCATCTGCAATCGGGATAATTTCTCACCTGCCAATCTCATGTGGGTATAGGAAAAATCAAATCTATGTGATGCAACTACATGAAGTGTTGTAAAATGTTGTATAAATGCTAATGTAATATCAATGAAATTTAGTACATAAACTCTAGACTAGAGAAATATCTCTTACACATTTAAAAAAGTTATCTCGGTCAGTCTCCGAGCCTCCATGATACCCCTAGATCTGGTGCTTCTGCTGCTCCCTGGTCAAACTTAAGGCCCTGGAATCCCTGGGAGGCTCAGGCCTCAGGTACTTGGGTCCATCCTCGCTACACATACCATGATAGCCATCATTTCTGAGGTTTTGCGCAGTCTCTGGGAGGCTACCATGAAGCATGCTCCAGGTGTACCTTTGCCAAGAAATTGCTGGCTTTGACTTCCTTGCACCTCTAGAAATCTCCCCAACTCTTCACCTTAAAAGTGGCCCTTTCCACCTACCATTTTTTTCTCCCCTACTTTTTTTAAAAAAAAATTTACCTCCTTCTGTGGACTCAAAGGGTAAGGTGGAAGGAACTGGGTTATTTGGGAATAAACCCAAACAAATATTGCCCTCCTGCACCTTGGTCCCCTCCCCTCCCCTCTCCTCTCCTCTCTTCTTCACTCCCCTTTCATGCCCTCTTCTCCTCTTCTCTATTTCTCTCTTTCATTCACTTACTCTCTTCCTGTCTTTGCTTGGATGTAAATATTTTATTTTATACATTGTGTTATTTTATTTGTATTGGAATATAAATAAATGCTTAACAATTAAAAATAAAATAAATGAACAGATTCAGAGTAATGTTAGCAAGATGGTCAATTACAGGTGGCTACTGTTCATCACCCCCATAAAAAAGTACCAAAACAACAAGCAGCCACAATTTGACCAGACTGACTAAAGGAGAATGCGGGAGTACAGCAAGGGAGTGGTGGAAATTTTGCAGTGCACAGTAACTCAGGATGGCCACCTAGAGCAGGAAGAAACCACCTTGCTTCTGCCACCCATTCCCTCCAGTGGGGATCAGCTCGGAACCAGGAGTGGGTTTCTCCCAGTGAGGAAAAGGTAAGCAGAAGGCCACAGCAGCCCCCATCACTGTCATGGACACCTACAGTTTTCACTACTTATGAGTCCTGCAGTCCTCATAGGCCCTGTGCCCAGCTTAGGCTGCCTGGAGTTCCAAAGGCTGTACGACTCCAGAGGTGGAGCCCATCTCATATGCACTCTCTGCGGTCCAAACTGCTACTGTGCAATCCTGAAACTGGAGCTATTGTTCCAAGGGCCCATAGCCACTGCACCCCTTCATCCCTCAGGTTCTGCCATTATTGCTCACACACGGCAGTGCACACACACGGCAGTGCACCTTTTACCAGCTGAGCTGCTGCAGCTACCTGTCACCTAAGAACAAGCTGCTTAATCTTCCTATGCCCTAGGAACAAGCTGATGCAGCTTCATACTGTCTGGGAACAACCTGACAATCTCCCCTATCCCATTTGCTGCTACATTTCATCCCTTGGCTACTCAAAGCCTGTGCCCAGCAGAGAAGCCACATGCCCCAGGTGCCCAAGCTGATGTGGCATGTTGCCTGCCAGGAACCAGAAGTTCAGGCCCAGTGGAGCAGTCACAGGCCTGCACCTCTGCCTAGTGGCTTCTGCTCCTTCAGGAATCTGACCTTCTGCCCCTATAGCAGAGCAACTGTACCCGAGTAACTAAGCTCACGTGGTGCCTGTCTCTTGGCGACCCAGAGTCCAGTATAGCAGAGCCACCCTGCCTGAGTCAAGACAGAATCCTGTCCTTTGGGGACCAGCAATCCTGGCCCTGTGGATTAGTCACACACCCAGCCCTGTGGGGCCCCAGGCCTAGGGCCCAGTGAAGCAGCCACCTCCCAGGCACCTGAACTGATGTGGTGTCCCGGTCTCCAGGGAAACAGAGCCTTGGCTGAGCTGTGACTCCTGCTGTCTGGGTCAAACAGCCACAGATCCCCACCTCCCTGAATCTGATTCCCTTCCAGAATCTGACATGCTGAGGCTCCCTGCCTCCCTAGGGAGTAGGACCATTGTTGCCCTGCTCCTCAAGCCCCAGAGAATAAATCACAGCTCTACCCCATCATTCCTGAGTTCTTGCTGCTGCTGCACCGAGGCTTATGGAGCCTAGGCTACTGCCTTTTCCTACTTCCAGAGTCATCACTACAAGATACCCACTCCCCTGGTGCCCAAGTTGATACTGTGCCCCATTAGTGTGGGGACTGACTGTTGTGCCCTGCTAGCCATGGCTTGAGCCTCTGGAACACCCCTTCTTCCTTAGAGCTGTGTCAGTGCTGTAGCCTGATTCCCAGGATCAGAGTCACAGCTACATCCCTGCTTTTTGGGACTAGGCTATTGGGCAATGCCTCAGAGTCACAGCCCCTAGATTTGTTGGAGAGCTGTGTTTACCTATGTTCCAGAGAGGGAACCTGAGCCCACATTACAGGTGCCACAGTAGTTCAGCAAGACACTGAGCACAGAATCCCAGGTCCACAGCCATTGGAAATACTGTTACACAGTTTCAGTGAGTCTGCTTGTGATCCATGTCAGACTCAATACCATGAGTGATTCTCTCAGCTAAGGTTCTTCACTATGGGGAAAATAAGAACAGGACGACTCTTAACACCTTTGCCACTAAAACTCTAATAATCTTCAGTGCCAAAACCATTGCCCAAAATACCTGCATCCTAGGCCACTGAGGTACCTGTAGTCATTACTGATGTTAACCATAGCTAAAGAAGCTTCACACAGACTACACTACTGGGCTCATCCAGCACCAGAGCCAACACACCCTCCCAACTGACACCCTAGGACCCATCTTCAGGTGAAACTCTACATAAACTATAAATTTGGAATAAGTGACTGCTCTACCAGATGCTCAGACATCAATGCAGGGACACAGGAAACATGAAAAGGCAAGGAAACATAACACCACCAAAGTAACATGGTAAAGTTTTGGTAACTGACTCCAGAGAAATAAAAACTTACGAATTGGCTGAAAATAAATTTAAAATAGAGATCTTAAGGAAAGTTAGCAAGGTACAGGACAATATAGATATATAATTCAATAAAATCAGGAGCACAATTTATCATCTAAATGAGAAGTTCAACAAAGAGATAGATACCATTAAGAAAAAAACACACACAAATCTTGGGGCTAAAAAACTGAATGAATGCAATTAAAAATACAATTGAAGTCTTCAACAGCATACTTGACCAAGCAAAAAAGAATATGTGAAGTTGAACACAGGTCATTTGAAATAATCCAATCATGGGGGAAAAAAGCAAAAAGAAAAAAAAAAGAGGGAAGACAGCCTACAGGACTTATGGAATATCATTAAGTAAACTTTTTTTTTGATTATGGAAGGCCCGTAAAGAGAAGAGAAAAAGTCACAGAAGTCTTATTTAATAACATAAGTGTTCAAAGCTTGCCATTTTAGCTTACAGACACACAGGCAGAAAATGAAAGAATGAAAAAAGATATTTTATGCAAATAGTAACCTAAAGAGAACAGAAGTGGCTATACTTACATAATGTAAAATAGACTTCAAATCAAAAATTTTCACGAGAGACAAAGAAGGTCATTATTTAGTAATAAAGCAATCAATTCATCAAGGAAACATAACAATTGTAAATATATATGAACCCAAGATTGGAGTACCTACATATATAGAGCAAATATTAATGGACATAAAGAAAGAAATGGATAGCAATGCAAGAATAGTAGGGAACTCCAATACTCCACTTTCAATAATGGATAGGTCAACCAGAGAAAAAATAAACAAGGAAATATTGGACTTGAATTTTGCTTCAGACCAAATGGGCCTAACAGATATATACAAAACTTTCCATTCAACAGCAGCATAATAAACATTCTCTAGTGCACATGAAACATTCTTCAGGATAGACCAAATGTTAGGCCATGAGACAAGTCTTGACAACTTCAAGAATATTGAAATTATATTTAGTATTGTTTCTGACCACAACAGTATGAAACTAGAAATCATTAACAGGAGGAATTTTGGAAAATTCAGAAATACGTGAAAATTAAGCAACATGATCCTGAACAACTAATAGCTCACAGAAGAAATCAAAAGAGAATTTAAATATTTTGAGACAAAAAACAATGGAAGTACAACATGACAAAACCTGTGGGATACAGCAGAAACATTTCTAAGAGAGATGTTTATAGCAATAAATGACTACATTAAAAAAGATCCCAAATACATAACCTAATATTATGCTTCAAGGAACTAGATAAGAAAACAAACTAAACTCAAGCTCAGCAGAAGAAAGGATATAATAAATATTAGAACAGAAATAAATTAAATAAATAAAAAACAGAAACACCATAGGAAAAAATTGATAAAACAAAGGTTGCTTCTTTGAAATAAACAAAATTGACAAACCCTTAACTAGAGTAACAGAAAAAAGAGAAAACTCAAATAAATAAAATCATAAATGAAAATGGAGACATTACATCAGACACCTCAGAAATAAAAGGAACAATTATGAACAATTATGTGCCAACAAGTTGGATAACACTAGAGGAAGTGGATAAAATCCTGGAAAAGTATAACCTACCAAGATGGAACCAGGAAGAAATAGAAAGCCTAAACAGACCAACGACAAATAAACTGAAGTAGTAATTAAAAACCTTCCAACAAAGAAAAGCCTGGGTCTAGATGGTTTCATAGCTGAATTCTACCAAACATTCAGAGAAGAATTATTACCAATACTTCTCAAACTCATCTAAAAAAGAAAGACAGAGAAAATACTTTCAAACACACTTTATGAGGTCAGCATTACCTTGGTACATAAGTCAGACAAAGACACTACATGAAAGGAAAACTTTGGCCAAATACCTCTGATGCAACTAGAATTTTGATACAAAAATCTTCAATGAAATACTAGCAAACTGCAGAGAGCACAAGAAGGCCAACTAGACACAGTCAGGTGGAACAGCTGTCACTGAGAGACCAAGATGACTGGCATACTCCTAACAGATCTACAGAGGGAAGGCACTGAGAGTGGACAGAGGGAAGACACAGAAGGTGACTTGAAGGGGGAGGAAGCTGGGAACACTGCACCTGGTTACCATGCACCAGGACTTGTTTCTGGCTCCCAGTGATCCAAGGGGAATGGGTGAGTTGAAGTGGCCAGGAGCAACCCACTCACACCATGGGCCTTGGGAATCCCAAAAGGAGGAGACCCCTTGACCACTACAGATGCTTGAGTTGGCTGTGAGAGATGTTTAGAGAAGCGATAGGGGCAGGATTCCAGCTGAAGCAGAACCCAGAGGATATAATGTGGAAGCATCTGTAGTGGAGCAGGGTGAGAGAAGCTCATCTCCCTTGGCTGGGCTTGCTTCCATAAGAGAATTTAGCCCTAGTGGAACTGTTGGACCTGAACTCTGCAGTGTGGTTGTGCCTATCAGATGGGTCTGGTTTGACCTGAGCACCTTGGTTTGCTGGCCTCTTGCAGAACTCCAGGCTGGCTTTCAGGAAAGCCTTGGGTGCCCTAGGGGTTCACATTACAGCTTCTGTGCTGGCAGATCATGCTCAACCAGCAGAGAACTCAAGAGAGACAGCCCCTACTGCCATACATCAGCCTGCCTACTCCCTCCCCAAACTGCAGCTTCCCCTGTGTTCATAGCAACCCCCAACATCGCTTTTTCAGTGCAGGTGTGCCTAGTGGGTTTTGCCTTCCTTGCCTCACCAGCACACCTATGTGTGTGCACTTTGCCCTGCCACTATTGTGGTGGGAGTGCACACCTCCCCTTTTCCCCTACCTGACCACCATTGCAGTAGGAGCCTTGGGAGACATAGAGCCAGACATCCCTGCCCCACCAGGACCCTACCCTTGCACCAAGACTTCCATGAGAGTGAAAGTAGGCACAGAGGACAGTGGACACTCCATTGTCCAGAGTGACCACTGCTGCCTGCAGCACTCAGTGAAAATACACAGACCTGTGCCCACCAATGACTTGTCCCTGTTCTAACACCACCAGCAGCATGACCATGTGCACAGTCACCATCAGGTGCCCCAATGCCCCCAGAGCCATTCTGCCTCTGCCACTGTGAGTAACACCCATATGGAGACAAGTAACCTGGCACCTGCTAGTACCCTGCCACAGCCAATGAGTGTGTACCCCATTGTAGTGTTGCTGCTCTTGCTGCTCACATGTGAGAATGAGGACAGATCCCACTGCCAATGCACTATGAAGTGCTTTGGCTGACACCACCCATCAGAGTGTAGTGACCAACAGTCTGGAAGCACCTCTGTCCCCTCAGCATAGGGGATTCTTAACTTCAAGAAGCCAGAGAACAAAGTCAGGGCCCAATACAAGTGCCCCAGAGTTAGATTATGCAGTCCAGGAATTGGTAGCCGAGTGTTGGCTCCCTAAAATCTTCCAAAAATGAAGCCAGTTGGTTGACTTCACCTTATACTTCCATGAAAACCTCAAGGTCACCAAATAGGATAAAAAATCAATTGAAAAGTCAGCAACATCAAAGATTGAAGGAACATCAGCCCACAAAGATGAGAAAGGACCAGCAGAAGACCTCTGACAATCAAAAAGTCAGAGTGCCTTCTCTTCTCC
Source organism: Homo sapiens (assembly GCF_000001405.40). NCBI lineage: Eukaryota > Metazoa > Chordata > Mammalia > Primates > Hominidae > Homo > Homo sapiens. Next base: position 59,350,665 of record NC_000011.10, on the reverse strand, counting down.
AAATGACTACACCACCTCTCCAGCAAGGGTTATGAACAGGGTTGAGATAGCTGAAATGAGTGAACTAGAATTAAAAGTATGGATAGGAACAAAGGTCATTGAGATGCAGGGGTATGTTGAATCCCAAACCAAGGAAGATAAGAATCACAATAAAATGATGCAAGAGCTAACAGACAAACTAGCCAGTATAGAAAAGCATATAATTGACATGATAGAGCTAAGAACACATTACAATAATTTCATAATGCAATCACAAATATTAATAGCAGAATAGGCAAAGCAGAAGAAGAATCTCAGAGCTTGAAGACTGGCTTTCTGAAATAAGACAGTCAGACAAGAATAGAGAAAACAGAGGGTGGAGCCAAGATGGCCAAATAGGAACAGCTCCAGTCTACAGCTCCCAGCGTGAGCGACTCAGAAGATGGGTGATTTCTGCATTTCCAACTGAGGTACTGGGTTCATCTCACTGGGGAGTGCCAGACAGTGGGTGCAGGACAGTGGGTGCAGGACACCATGCATGAGCCCAAGGAGGGCGAGGCATTGCCTCACCTGGGAAGCCCAAGAGGTCAGGGAATTCCCTTTCCTAGTCAAAGAAATGGCTGACAGATGGCACCTGGAAAATCAGGTCACTCCCACCCTAATACTGCACTCTTCCAAAGGGCTTCACAAACGGCACACCAGGAGATTAAATCCTGCACCTGGCTCGGAAGGTCCATGGAGCCTCACTTGTTGCTAGCACAGCAGTCTGAGATCAAACTGCAAGGCAGCAGTGAGGCTGGGGGAGGGGCACCCGCCATTGCCGAGTTAGTTGTTTGATTAGGTAAACAAAGTGGCTAGGAAGCTCAAAATGGGTGGAGCCCACCACAGTTCAAGGAGGCCTGCCTGCCTCTGTAGGCTCCACCTCTGGGGGCAGGGCACGTACAAACAAAAAGACAGCAGTAACCTCTGCAGACTTAAATGTACCTCTCTGACAGCTTTGAAGAGAGTAGTTATTCTCCCAGCATGCAGCTTGAGATCTGAGAACAGGCAGACTGCCTCCTCAAGTGGGTCCCTGACCCTCGAGTAGCCTAACTGGGAGGCACCCACCAGTAGGGGCATACTGCCACCTCACACAGCCGGGTACTCCTCTGAGACAAAACTTTCAGAGGAAAAATCAGGCAGCAGCATTTGCGGTTCACCAATATCTGCTGTTCTGCAGCCACTGCTGCTGATACCCAGGCAAACAGGGTCTGGAGTGGACCTCCAGCAAAATCCAACAGACCTGCAGCTGAGGGTCCTGACTCTTAGAAGGAAAACTAACAAACAGAAAGGACATCCACACCAGAAACCCACCTGCACGTCACCATCATCAAAGATCAAAGGTAGATAAAACCACAAAGATGGGGAAAAAACAGAGCAGAAAAACTGGAAACTCTAAAAATCCGAGCACCTCTCCTCCTCCAAAGGAATGCAGCTCCTCACCAGCAACAGAACAAAACTGGATGGAGAATGACTTTGACGAGTTGAGAGAAGAAGGCTTCAGAAGATCAAACTACTCCAAGCTAAAGGAGGAAGTTCAAACCAATGGCAAAGAAGTTAAAAACCTTGAAAAAAAATTAGACGAATGGCTAACTAGAATAACCGAGGCAGAGAAGTCCTTAAAGGACCTGATGGAGCTGAAAACCACAGCACGAGAACTACATGATGAATGCACAAGCCTCAGTAGCCGATGCGATCAACTGGAAGAAAGGGCATCAGTGATGGAAGATGATATGAATGAAATGAAGTGAGAAGAGAAGTTTAGAGAAAAAAAAAATAAAAAGAACAAAGCCTCCAAGAAATATGGGACTATGTGAAAAGACCAAATCTACATCTGTTTGGTGTACCTGAAAGTGACAGGGAGAATGGAACCAAGTTGGAAAACACTCTGCAAGATATTATCCAGGAGAAATTCCCCAATCTAGCAAGGCAGGCCAACATTCAAATTCAGGAAATACAGAGAATGTCACAAAGATACTCCTCGAGAATAGCAACTCCAAGACACATAATTGTCAGATTACCAAAGTTGAAATGAAGGAAAAAATTTTAAGGGTAGCCAGAGAGAAAGGTCGGGTTACCCACAAAGGGAAGCCCATCAGACTCAGCTGATCTCTTGGCAGAAACTCTACAAGCCAGAAGAGAGTAGGGGCCAATATATAACATTTTTAAAGAAAAGAATTTTCAACCCAGAATTTCATATGCAGCCAAACTAAGCTTCATAAGTGAAGGAGAAATAGAATACTTTATAGACAAGGAACTGCTGAGGGATTTTGTCACCACCAGGCCTGCCCTACAAGAGCTCCTGAAGGAAGCACTAAACATGGAAAGGAGCAACCGGTACCAGCCACTGCAAAAACATGCCAAATTGTAAAGACCATTCAAGGCTAGGAAGAAACTGCATCAACAAATGAGAAAAATAACCAGCTAACATCATAATGACAGGATCAAATTCACACATAACAATATTAACTTTAAATGTAAATGGGCTAAATGCCCCAATTAAAAGACACAGACTGGCAAATTGGATAAAGAGTCAAGACCCATCAGTTTGCTGTATTCAGGAAACCCATCTCACATGCAGAGACACACATAGGCTCAAAATAAAGGGATGGAAGAAGATCCACCAAGCAAATGGAAAACAAAAAAAGGCAGGAGTTGCAATCCTAGTCTCAGATAAAACAGACTTTAAACCAACAAAGATCAAAAGAGACAAAGAAGGCCATTACATAACGGTAAAGGGATCAGTTCAACAAGAAGAGCTAACTATCCTAAATATATATGCACCCAATACAGGAGCACCCAGATTCATAAAGCAAGTCATTAGAGACCTACAAAGAGACTTAGACTCCCACACAATAATAATGGGAGACTTTAGCACCCCACTGTCAACATTAGACAGATCAATGAGACAGGAAGTTAACAAGGATACCCTGGAATTGAACTCAGCTCTGCACCAAGCAGACCTAATAGACATCTACAGAACTCTCCACCACAAATCAACAGAATATACATTCTTTTCAGCACCACACCACACCTATTCCAAAACTGACCACATGGTTGGAAGTAAAGCTCTCCTCAGCAAATGTAAAAGAACAGAAATTATAACAAACTGTCTCTCAGACCACAATGAAATCAAACTAGAACTCAGGATTAAGAAACTCACTCAAAACTGCTCAACTACGTGGAAACTGAACAACCTGCTCCTGAATGACTACTGGGTACATAACAAAATGAAGGCAGAAATAGATGTTCTTTGAAACCAACGAGAACAAAGACACCACATACCAGAATCTCTGTGACACATTTAAAGCGTGTGTAGAGGGAAATTTATAGCACTAAATGCCCACAAGAGAAAGCAGGAAAGATCTAAAATTGACACCCTAACATCACAATTAAAGGAACTAGAGAAGCAAGAGCAAACATATTCAAAAGCTAGCAGAAGGCTAGAAATAACTAAGATCAGAGTAGAACTGAAGGAAATAAAGACACAAAAAACCCTTCAAAAAAATCAATGAATCCAGGAGCTGGTTTTTTGAAAAGATCAAGAAAATTGATAGACTGCTAGCAAGAGTAATAAAGAAGAAAAGAGCGAAGAATCAAATAGACACAATAAAAAATTACAAAGGGGATATCACCACTGATCCCACAGAAATACAAACTACCATCAGAGAATACTATAAACACCTCTATGCAAATAAACTAGAAAATCTAGAAGAAATGTATACATTACAGGACACATACGCCCTCCCAAGACTAAACCAGGAAGAAGTTGAATTTCTGAATAGACCAATAACAGGCTCTGAAATTGAGGCAATAATTAATAGCTTATCAACCAATAAAAGTCGAGGACCAGATGGATTCACAGCCAAATTCTACCAGAGGTACAAGGAGGAGCTGGTACCATTCCTTCTGAAACTATTCCAATCAATTGAAAAAGAGGGAATCCTCCCTAACTCATTTTATGAGGCCAACATCATCCTGATACCAAACCTGGCAGAGACACATCAAAAAAAGAGAATTTTAGACCAATATCCTTGATGAACATTGATGCAAAATCCTCAATAAAATACTGGCAAACTGAATCCAGCAGCACATCAAAAAGCTTATCCACCATGATCAAGTGGGCTTCATCCCTGGGATGCAAGGCTGGTTCAACATATGAAATTCAATAAACATAATCCAGCATATAAACAGAACCAAAGACAAAAACCACCTGATTATCTCAATAGATGCAGAAAAGGCCTTTGACAAAATTCAACAACGTTTCATGCCAAAAACTCTCAATAAATTAGGTACTGATGGGATGTATCTCAAAATAATAAGAGCTATCTATGACAAACCCACAGTCAATATCATACTGAATGAACAAAAACTGGAAGCATTCCTTTTGAAAACTAGCACAAGACAGGGATGCCCTCTCTCACCACTCCTATTCAACATAGTGTTGGAAGTTCTGGCCAGGGCAGTTAGGCAGGAGAAGGAAATAAAGGGCATTCAATTAGGAAAAGAGGAAGTCAAATTGTCCCTGTTTGCAGATGACATGATTGTATATCTAGAAAACCTCATCATCTCAGCCCAAAATCTCCTTTAGCTGATAAGCAACTTCAGCAAAGTCTCAGAATACAAAATCAATGTACAAAAATCACAAGCATTCTTATACACCAATAACAGACAAACAGAGAGCCAAAGTGTGAGTGAACTCCCATTCACAATTGCTTCAAAGAGAATAAAATACCTAGGAATCCAACTTACAAGGGACATGAAGGACCTCTTCAAGGAGAACTGCAAACTACTGCTCAACAAAATAAAAGAGGACACAAACAAATGGAAGAACATTCCATGCTCATTGGTTGGAAGAATCAATATCGTTAAAATGGCCATACTGTCCAAGGTAATTAATAGATTCAATGCCATCCCCATCAAGCTACCAATGACTTTTTTCACAGAATTGGAAAAAACTACTTTAAAGTTCATATGGAACCAAAAAAGAGCCTGCATCTCTGAGTCAATTCTAAGCCAAAAGAACAAAGCCAGAGGAATCACGCTACCTGACTTCAAAGTATACTACAAGGCTACAGTAACAAAAACAACATGGTACTGGTACCAAAACAGAGATATAGACCAATGGAACAGAACAGAGCCCTCAGAAATAATGCCACATATCTACAACTATCTGATATTTGACAAAGCTGACAAAAGCAAGCAATGGGGAAGGGATTCCCTATTTAATAAATGGTGCTGGGAAAACTGGCTAGCCATATATAGAAAGCTGAAACTGGATCCCTTCCTTACACCTTATACAAAAATCAATTCAAGATGGATTAAAGACTTAAACCTTAGACCTAAAACCATAAAAACCCTAGAAGAAAACCTAGGCAATACCATTCAGGACATAGGCATGGGCAAGGACTTCATGTCTAAAACACCAAAAGCAATGGCAACAAAACCCAAAATTGACAAATGGGATCTAATTAAACTGAAGAGCTTCTGCACAGCAAAAGAAACTACCATCAGAGTGAACAGGCAACCTACAAAATGCGAGAAAATTTTCACAACCTACTCATGTGACAAAGGGCTAATATTCAGAATCTACAGTGAACTCAAATTTACAAGAAAAAAACAAACAACCCCATCAAAAAGTGGGCGAAGGACGTGAACAGACACTTCTCAATAGAAGACATTTATACAGCCAAAAAACACATGAAAAAATGCTCATCATCACTGGCCATCAGAGAAATGCAAATCAAAACCACAATGAGATATCATCTCACACCAGTTAGAATGGCAATCATTAAAAAGTCAGGAAACAACAGGTGCTAGAGAGGATGTGGAGAAATAGGAACACTTTTACACTGTTGGTGGGACTGTAAACTAGTTCAACCATTGTGGAAGTCAGTGTGGCGATTCCTCAGGGATCTAGAACTAGAAATACCATTTGACCCAGCCATCCCATTACTGGGTATATACCCAAAGGATTATAAATCATGCTGCTATAAAGACACATGCACATGTATGTTTATTGTGGCACTATTCACAATAGCAAAGACTTGGAACCAACCCAAATGTCCAACAATGATAGACTGGATTAAGCAAATGTGGCACATATACACCATGGAATACTATGCAGCCATAAAAAAGGATGAATTCATGTCCTTTGTAGGGACATGGATGAAATTGGAAATCATCATTCTCAGTAAACTATCGCAAGAACAAAAAACCAAACACCGCATATTCTCACTCATAAGTGGGAATTGAACAATGAGAACACATGGACACAGGAAGGGGAACATCACACTCCGGGGACTGTTGTGGGGTTGGGGGAGAGGGGAGGGATAGCATTAGGAGATATACCTAATGCTAAATGATGAGTTAATGGGTGAAGTACGCCAACATGGCCCATGTATACATATGTAACAAACCTGCACTTTGTGCACATGTACCCTAAAACTTAAAGTATAATAATAATAAAATAAAAAAAATGTTAGACCTAAAACCATAAAAACCCTAGAAGAAAACCTAGGCAATACCATTCAGGACATAGGCATGGGCAAGGACTTCATGACTAAAACACCGAAAACAATGACAACAGAAGCCAAAATTGAGGAATGGGATCTAATTAAACTAAAGAGCTTTTGCACAGCAAAAGAAACTACCATCAGAGTGAACAGGCAACCTACAGAATGGGAGAAAAGTTTTACAATCTACCCATCTGACAAAGGGCTAATATCCACAGTCTACAAAGAACTTAAACAAATTTACAAGAAAAAATCAAACAACCCCATCAAAAAGTGGGTGAAGGATGTGAACAGACACTTCTCAAAAGAAAACATTTATGCAGCCAATAGACACATGAAAAAATGCTCATCATCACTGGCCATCAGAGAAGTGCAAATCAAAATCACCATGAGATACCATCTCACACCTATTAGAATGGTGATCATTAAAAAGTCAGGAGACAACGGGTGCTGGAGAGGATGTGGAGAAACAGGAATGCTTTTACACTGTTGGTGGGACTATAAACTAGTTCAACCATTGTGGAAGTCAGTGTGGCAATTCCTCAAGGATCTAGAACTGGAAATACCATTTGACCCAGCCATCCCATTACTGGGTATATACCCAAAGGATTGTAAATCATGCTGCTATAAAGACACATGCACACGTATTTTTATTGTGGCACTATTCACAATAGCAAAGACTTGGAACTAACCCAAATGTCCATCAATGATAGACTGGATTAAGAAAATGTGGCACATATATACCATGGAATACTATGCAGCCATAAAAAATGATTAGTTCATGTCCTTTGTAGGGACAAGGATGAAGCTGGAAACCATCATTCTGAGCAATTTATCACAAGGACAAAAAACCAAACACACCACATGTTCTCCCTCATAGGTGGGAATTGAACAATGAGAACACTTGGACACAGGGTGGGGAACATCACACACTGGGGCCTGTCCTGAGGTACGGTGGGATAGCATTAGGAGATATACCTAACATGAATGATGAATTAATAGGTGCAGCAACCAACATGGCACAGGTATACATACGTAACAAACCTGCAGGTTGTGCACATGTACACTAGAACTTAAAGTATAATTGAAAAAAATAAAAATAAATAAGGATTACAAAAAAGAAATACACCAAAATAGAACCCCCTTAAAGCATAAATCTAACAGGACCTACGTAACAATCACACAATGAAAAAAGAAAGGTATTCACGCAACAAATAGCATGATAAATGGAATAATACCTTACATCTCAATGGTAACATTGTATGTAAATGGCCTAAATGCCCCACTTGAAAGATACAGAATGGATAAGAATTCACCAACCAAGTTTCTGAGGTCTTCAGGAGACCTACCTAACACATAAGAACTCACATAATCTTAAGGGAAAATGGTGGAAAAAGATATTCCATGCAAATGGACAGGAATAGTGAGCAGGAGTTGCTATTTTTATATCAGGCAAAACAAACCTTAAAGCAACAACAGTTAGAAAAGACAAAGAGGGACATTATATAATGATAAAAGGACTAATCCAACAGGAATAAATCACAATTCCAAATATATATATGCACCTAAAACTTGTGCTCCCAAATTTATAAAACAATTACTACTAGACCCAATAAATGAGATAGACAGCAACACAATAACAGTAGGGAAATTTAGTACTTCACTGACAACACTAGACAGGTCATCAAGACAGAAAGTCAACAAAGAAACAATGAACTTAAACTATGTAAAGAACAAATGAACTTAACAGATATTTACAGAACATTTTACCCAACAACCACAGAATACATCCTCCAAGATGGATTACATAATAGGCCACAAAACAAGTCTCAATAAACTTAAGAAAACAGAAATTATATCAAGTACTTTTTCACACCACAGTGGAATAAAATTGGAAATCAGCTCCAAAAGGAACCCTCAAAAGCATGCAAATACATATAAATTAAATAACCTACTTCTGAATAATCATTGATCAACAATGAAATCAAGATGGAAATTAAAAAATTATTTGAACTGAATGATAATACTGACACACCAAATCAAAACCTCCAGGATACAGCAAAAGCAGTGCTAAAAGGAAAATTGATAGCACTAAATGCCTACATCAAGAAGTCCAAAAGAGCACAAATAGACAACATAAGGTCACAACTCAAGGAACTAAAGAAATAAGAACAAAGCAAACCCAAACCCAGCAGAAAAAAAAGAAATAACAAAGATCAGAGCAGAACTAAATGAAATAGAAACAAACAAAAAAATACAAAAGATAAATGAAATGAAATGCTGGTTCTTTGAAAAGATAAATAAAATTGATAGACCAATTGGTGAGATTAACCAAGAAAAAAAGAGAATATCCAAATAAGCTCAATTAGAAATGAAATGGGAGGTATTACAACTGATATCACAGAAATACAAAAGACCATTCAAGGCTACTATTAACAACCTTATGCACATAAACTAGAAAACCTAGAGGAGATGGATAAATTCCTGAAAATATACAACCCTCCTAGGTTAAACCAGAAATAAATAGAAACTCTGAACAGACCACTAACAAGCAGTGAGGTTGTAATGGTAATAAAAAAAATGTCAACAAAAAAGTCCAGGACCACATGGATTCACAGCTGAATTCTATCAGATAGTCAAAGAAAAATTGGTACCAATCCTATTGACACTATTCCACAAGATAGAGAAAGGGTATTCTCCCTAAATTATTCTTTAAAGCCAGTATCACCCTAATATCAAAACCAGAAAAAGACATAATAAAAAACAAAACTACAGACAAATATCCTTGATGTACATATGATATGGTTTTGCTGTGTCCCCACCCAAATCTCATGTTGAATTGTAGTTCCTGTAATCCCCACGTGTCATGGGAGGGACCTAGTGGGAGGTAATTGAATCATGGGGATGGTTACCCTCATGCTCTTTTCGTGATAGTGAGTTCTCATAAGATCTGATGTTTTTAGACGGGGCTTTTATCACTTTGCTTGGCGCTTTTCTCTTCTGCCACCATTTGAAGGAGGACATGTTTGCTTCCCCTTCTGCCACGATTGCAAGTTTCCTGAGGCTTCCCCAGCCATCCAGGACTGTGAGTCAATTAAACTCCTTTCCTTTATAAATTCAAAATAAAAATTTTGAGTATTTCTTCACAGCAGCATGAGAATGAAGTAATACAACATAGATGCAAAAATCCCCTATGAAATACTAGCTAACCAAATTCAGTAGCATATAGAAAAGATAATTCACCATGACCAGTGGGTTTCATACCAGGGATTCAGGGATGGTTTAACATATACAAGTCATTAAACATGATACACCACATAAACATTATTAAAGACAAAAATCACATGATCATCTAAATAAATGCAGAAAACGCATTTGACAAAATCCAGCATCCCTTTATGATTAAAATCCTCGCAAAATTGGCATAGAAGGGACATACCTTAAGGTAATAAAAGCCATCTGTTGCAAACCCACAGCCAACATTACACTGAACAGGAAAAAGTTGAAAGCATTCCCCCTGAGAAATGTAACAAGACAAGGACACCCACTCTTACTACTTCTATTTAACATAGTACTGGAAGTCCTAGCCAGAGCAATCAGACAAGAGAAAGAAATAAAGGGCATCCAAATCAGTAAAGAGGAAGTCAAACTGTCACTGTTTGCTGATGATATAATTGTATACCTAGAAAACCCTAAAGCTTCATCCAAAAAGATCCTAGAACTGGTAAATGAATTCAGCAAAGTTTCAGGATACAAAATTAATGTACACAAATCAGAAACTCTACCATACACCAACAGTGGCCAAGCTGAGAATCAGATCAAGAACTCAATCACTTTTACAATAGCTGCAAAAACAAACAAACAAAAAAACTTAGGAATATACCTAACGAAGGAGGTGAAAGACCTTTATAAGGAAAAGTACAAAGCATTGCTAGAAGAAATCATAGGCAACCCAAACAAATGGAAACACATCCCATACTCATGGATGGGTAGATTCAATATTGTAAAAATGACCATATGGCCAAAAGCAATCTACAAACTCAATGCAATTCCAATCAAAATACCACCATCAGTCTTCACAGAACTAGAAAAAACAATCCTAAAATTCATAAGGAATCAAAAAAGAGCCTGCATGGCCAAAGCAAGACTAAGCACATAGAAAAAATCTGGAGGCATCGCATTACCCACTTCAAACTATAGTATAAGGCCATAGTCACCAAAACAGCATGGTACTGGTACAAAAATAGGCACATAGACCAATGGAACAGAATAGAGAATCCAGAAATAAACCCAAATACTAACAGCCAACTAATCTTTGACAAAGCAAACAAAACCACAAAGTGACAAAAGGACACCCTATTCAACAAATGGTGCTGGGATAGCTGGCAAGACAGATGTAGAAGAATAAAAGTGTATCCTCATATCTCATCTTACACAAAAATCAACACAAGATGGATTAAAGACTTAGATCTAAGACCTGAAACCATAAAAATTCTAGAAGATAACATTGGAAAAACCCTTCTAGACGTTGGCTGAGGCAAAGACTTCATGTCCAAGAACTCAAAAGCAAATGCAAAAAACCCAAAAATAAATAGATGGGACTTAATTAAACAAAAAAGCCTCTGCACAGCAAAAGGAATACATCAACAGAGTAAACAGACAACCCACAGAATGAGAGAAAATCTTCACAATCTATACATCTGACATAGGACTAATATCCAGAATACATAAAGAACTCAAACAAATCAGCAAGAAAAAAACAAACAATCTCATAAAAAAGTGGGCTAAGGACATGAATAGACAATTCTCAAAAGAAGATATACAAGCAGCCAACAAGCATATGAAAAAATGCTCAACATCACTAATTATTAGGGAAATGCAAATCAAAACCACAATGCAATACCACCTTGCACCTGCAAGAATAGCCATAATAAAAAAATAGTTGTTGGCACAAATGTAGTGAAAAGGGAACACTTTTACACTGTTGGTGGGAATGTAAACTAGTACAACCACTACAAAATACAGTGTGGAGATTCCTTAAAGAACTAAAAGTAGATCTACCATTTGATCTTGCAATTTCATTACTATGTATCTACTCAATATGCTTCACAACTCTTTTATTATTATTATTTTTTTGAGATGGAGTCTCACTCTGTTGCCCAGGCTGGAGTGCAGTGGTGTGATCTTGGCTCACTGCAACCTCCACTTCTTGGGTTCAAGTGATTCTCCTGCCTCAGCCTGCCGAGTAGCTGGGACTACAGGGGTGTGCCACCACATCTAGCTAATTTTTTTATATTTTTAGTAGAGATAGGGTTTCACCCTGTTATCCAGGATGGTCTTGATCTGCTGACCTTGTGATCTGCCCGCCTCGTCCTCCCAAAGTGCTGGGATTACAGGCGTGAGCCACTGCGCCTGGCCCAGAACTCTTAATTGGTTCACGAAGGGCCCATAAAAGACGGTCGGATGGGACCAGCTGAGAACATTTCCCACTCATTTTCCTTATCCAACTCTCCTGAGAATAATTAATGGAAAATTCTGTCTTCTGATAATTGCTTCTTCTTTTGTTTTTTGTTTCCCTAAGGAAACATTTAAGAGAATCTCTAGTGGAAGGGATGTCTCCTGGAAAATAACTCTATGCTATTCTGAGGACCAAGGGCAAGGCTGAGGTATAGCACCAAGACAAACCAGCGGTGTTAGCCGTACTCCCAGGTTCCACTTAGGCACAGAAATGTGAAGGATATCTTTGTAAGTAATGTTGGCAGAGGCATCCAAGAACAGTTTGTCTTCAGTGTCTCCAATTCACCATCAACACTTGCTCCATACTGTTCTTTGCTTTTCTCTTTCCTCTTCTGTCTTGCTCTCCTAACCCACGGGTGGGCTTAAAGTAACGATGTTTGCTCCTCCCTCTTATTATCTATCTTCCCTTTTCCAATACCTACTATTTGTTGTTTTGTCATACTACCTTCACTTCTCCAAAGTAGTTACTTATGTTTTAACAGACACCAAGGTCTCTTAGCTAGAAGTGAAACCTCTTGTGTGGAATGATAAGCATTACCCAGGATGTGGAGTGGTAATGGAGAGTAGAGATTTCCTGAGACCACACCATGTAGGACCATGGTTCCAAATTCCACATTGCCAAATGATTCCCCTTTTTGCTATTATTAACCCCAGCCTTGAAAGATTTACCCTCAAAGCACCATTTAAGTAATAATAATTATTATTAACAATACTAGTAAAATAATAAACTCTTACTGTAACAACTATTAATCAAGAGCCTGCTCTTGTATTAGCTACTATTTCCTGTCTTAACTAAGAGCTTTAAATGACCCTGTGAGGTAGGCATTATTATCATTTTATATAAGATTAAAATAAAGCTCAGAGGAATTAAGTAATCTAGCTAAAATCATACCATAAACAAATATTGAAATTTAACTTTCCTCTTAATAATAAATTTCTCCATTTTAATTCATCAAAGACAATAAAATATTTAGTCTGACATACAGAAACCACAGTAAAGTGCTGTTATTCTCATAGAAAGCAAAGGAATTTAATGGTTTAATGTCTCTGTATAGTGTACTTTAGAATAAATTTACATATTTCTATTAGCATTTGATATATTGATAATGGCTTGTTGCTATTTTCATAGGCTCTGGCAATTAATAAATATTGTAATTGTTGATATAGGAGGTGACTTGCCAATAATTGATATTGGGCCTGCGTACCCCTTTTGACCTCTTACATTATTTTTTAACTTTAGAAAGCCAAAACCTCACATATTATTGGACCCCCAAAATGTCTAATATGTATATGTTTCCAGAAAAATCTTGGATGATGTTAATTTAAGTCTTTTCAAAGGCAGGAAGATGAACAAAACAACATCTGAAAATTCCCATTAATACCAGGAAGGTGATAGTATTTTCCAGCAATAAGAAAATCCAACATTGTTCTTTCCATTTGTTTAGATTGGAATGGTTCAACCTAAACAAAGCTTTGTAGGTCCTGATGGAGTCTGTTGATTCTTGCAAAAACTCATCTCCTCTGCTCTAGAGTATTTGAACTATTGGAAGGGTTCACAGAAATTTACAGGAATGAATATGGTTCCCTTTTGGAATGAGTTGAGTTATTTTCCTTTATTCTGTTGGAATTTTTTTGTTTCAAAACTGGCCTTTATGCAATGAGGAAATTATCTTACTTAAATCATTTATTTTTTAAATTTTTCTTGTTTTTGCTTTTTATTGTAAAATTTTTACACATGTACAAAATACATAAAGTATAAATGTGCGCTATAATGGCATAGAAAAACACTAGTGTAACTATAACTAACATCAGGAAATACAGCACACCATCATCCCAGAGGCCCTCTGTGTCTTTCTGAATCACAAAAACCTCTTTCCACATCCCATGTAACCATTTATTGCTTTACTTTATAATTTTGCTGTGTATGTATGTATGTATGTATCACTAACCAAAGTAGTTTAGTTTTGCTTCTTCCTAAGTTTAAAATTTTTGCAATCCTATTTAAATATCCTTTTGTGTTTTGCTTCTCTTACTTACTGTTATAGTTACAACTTTCTTCCATGTAATCGTGCAATCATAATTTGTTTCATTTTTATATAGCATTTCGGTGTATAGACCAAAATTTACATATCCATTCCACATTGATGGGTATTTGAGACTAATATAATGTTGTTCTGGAGAAGTAGAACTACTGAGTCATAATGAATAACCACGTTGTGTGAATTTTCAGCTTTCCTGTTTTGCAAAGTCGCTGTACTATGTTGGAATTCCAGAAAACAAGCTGTGAGGCCAAAATTTGCCTGCAGGAGATTTATTGGGGAATATTCTCAGAATCAACACTTGAAATAAAGTGACTTTCCATGTACATTTTAGAATCAGTTGTCAACAATTGGTCACCTTGTATATTAGTCCGTTCTCACACTGCTATAAAGAAATACTGGAGACTGGGTAATTTAGAAAGAAAGGAGGTTTAATTGGCTCACAGTTCCACAGGCTGTATAGGAAGCATGGCTGGGGAGGCCTCAAGGGACTTACAGTCATGGCAGAAGGAGAAGTAAGGCACATCTGACATGGTGGCAGGAGAGAGAGCAAGCCATGGGAGGTGACACACCTTAAAACCGTCAACTCTCGTGAGAACTTACTTTCTATCAGGAGAATAGCAAAGGAAAAATCTACCCCCATGACCCAGTCATCTCCCACCAGGTCCCTCCTCTGACACATGGGGATTACAATTCAAGTTGAGATTTGGGTACGGACACAGAGTTAAACCATATCAGTGGCCCCACTGCTGGGGGCATCAAGGTTGCTACCAATGGCTCACACTTTGACCTGGTGGCAGCAGCTAGCAGAGGCAGTGGCTGGGGGTGGAGTATGTCCATGGGGTTCCAGGGATGTGGAGATGCATGGGCTGTTGTGCCCAGGGCAGGATGCAATCTGTTAGGGGCTGGGCTTTTAAGGTGGCACTGTGCTGTAGCTGCTTAGGACTCAGGGAGTATGTGGGATCCAGTGTGAGCTCCCTCTCTGGAGCAATGTCATCATATGGTCTTCAGGAAGCTCTCTAGATTAGTCTAGGACCCACATAGATTGATGGTTTTCCTGTGGTTAAGATTGCAGGAGTTCTTGGTGGAAATGTGGATCACTGGGGTTCTCTCACTTATGCTTTGCTCTCATTGGGGAGCCTCTGCAGGCTCCCAGCTGATCCCAGCTGAGCAGACTGCCTTGCTTCCCTCTCCTTCCTTGCCTTAGGTGTTTCCTGTTACTTCTCTGTAGAATTCCAGTGTTCTTTCTTAGACAATCTTCTTGAAGTGTGATTATCTACTTGCTATTTTGGTTCTTCTTTGTGGTGGAGGAGAGTAACAGATGCCTCTAGTCAGCCATCTTAAAGCTCCTCCTCCTCTTTCCCTCTATTTTTAAAAGCTCTTTCTTTTTTCCAAATTTCATTTTTCTCACTTTTCTTGCAGCCTATTTTCTACATCATTTGCTGTTTTTAGCAGCTTATTTTTGTCCTCATTGCTACTCCCACACAAATTTCATTTTTGCATTTCTGTGGTGTAATTTTTTCTCCTTCATAGCTGAGCTATGCCAATACATTTTTCATCCTCTTCTGTTATCTTTTCATTTCTGTCTTAAGCTTTCATATCACTGTTTTAACTTTTGCATTATAGGTTTTAAAAAATTAACTGTTTTGATTTCATGGCAATATGTAGAAACCTTGTTTTCATCAGCTATTAGACAATAATTTTTAGGTGTATTTTCTTCATTTGCCATTTGTTTTAGTTGTTCCCTTATTTTTCTTTTGTTATTTTTGATGAATTTTATAAAGATTTATTTTGTTTTTATTTTCATTATTTCTTGGTCTTTTTGGATAGATTAAAAATCTTTTTACATTTTCTCCTCTACTTGTTGAATTTGCACATTCTATTTCTATTCCTTTAGTGATTTCCCCAGAAACTTAGTTATGTGTACATCTTATCAAATTTTAACTTTTTAATCAATACTTTTATCATTTTCCTGTGTGACTCAAGGACTTTTGAAATATTTAATTCTAATTACCCCTGAATTTGTGTATGATTTTTATTTGTATTTTAATTTCATATAATTTTCTCACCACATAAAATCTTATTACCAGTTTTATAAAATATGTATTTTTAAACTTTATTATATATTTCTACTTCCTATGCTTTTCACTCTTACTACATCTCACAAGCTTCCATTTAAAATCACTTGCCTTTTGCCCAAAGTACAAACTTCTTCAAGAATGCCTTTTGTTAGTGTCTCCGTTTGGCCTGTCCAAAAACATGTTGTATTTCCCTTCATTCTTCAAGTTACTTTCACTGGGCTGAGACTTTTAGGTTGACTGACTTGTTAATGTGTGTTGGTGGGGAGCATTAATCAGGGCTATTGCCCCTAACTTGGATCAATATTTCACTTGGTTCTGTGTTCAGTGTGGATACATGGTGGTTTATTTCAATGGAAATTGGGGTGACAACTGACTTAGAGATTTATACAGATTCCAGAATCACCAGTGCAATGACTGTGGAAAGGAGTAGCATGACAATTACAAAGTTCATTCTCTTGGGATTCTCTGAATATTCAAAGACCACTATTTTTCTCTTTTCAGTATTCCTAGGGATATACCTCCTGACCATGTCCTGAAACGTGAGTCTCATCGCCCTTATCAGGACGGACTCCCATCTACATGCACCTGTGTACTTTTTCCTTAGTAATCCGTCTTTTCTGGACATCTGCTGTGTTTCCACTATAGCCCCCAAGATGCCCTCAGACTTTTTCAAGAAGCATAAATTCATTTCCTTTATGGGGTGCACCATGCAGTACTTCTCTAGCCTGAATGTGACTGAGTGCTGTCTTCTTACAGCCATGGCTTATGATTAATATGCTGCCATTTGTGATCCTCTGCTCTACACAGCCATCATGTCACCTGCTCTCTGTATGCCAATGGTGGCAGGATCTTGTACAACTGGATACTTTGTCTCATTTATCCAACTCTGTGCCTTGCTTCTGCTCCATTTCTGTGAGTCAAATAGCAGCCATTTCTTTTGTGACCTGCCCCAACTGCTGATTCTATCCTGTTCTCATACTGTTTTTTTTTTCTCAAGTCATGACCACTATGCTCACAGTAACCTTTATACTCACCTCTATCTTGGTTATCATGATAACTTATGGTTATATCATTGCCAACATTCATCTCTTTTATGGGATGCACCATGTAATACTTCTTCTCTAGCCTGGGTCTGACTGAGTGCTGTCTTCTGGAAGCTATGGCTTATAATTGATATGCTGCCATTTGTGACCCTCTGCTCTACATGGCCATCCATGTCCCCAACCTCTGTGTGCACATAATGGTTGGAACCTGTATAACTATTATCTTTGGCTCATTTATCCAACTATGTGCTTTGCTTCAGCTCCATTTCTGTGGGCCAAATAGCAACCATTTCTTCTGTGACCTGCCCCAACTCTTGATCCTATCTTGCTATGACACCTTTTTCTGTCAAGTCATGACATCCATGCTTACAGTGGTATTTGGACTCACATCTGTCTTAGTTATCATGATATTTTATGGCTATGTCATTGCTACCATTCTGAAGATCATCTCAGTTGAAGGCAGGTCTAAGGTCTTCAACACTGGTGGTTCTCCCTGATAGCAGTGACTCTCTTCTATTGCTCAAGAATCTTTGTCTATATGTGCTCTCACTCTGATGCTTCTCTGAGTAGAAACAAGGTGGATTCTATTGTATACACTGTGGTGATCCCCAGGTTGAATCCATTGATCTACAGCCTGAGTGACAAGTAAATCAAAGATGCCCTAAAGAGATGGACGAAGAGAATATTCTCCTGGCCTTATTGACTATAGGGTGCCTTTTGGAGCTGTGGACATAACACATAGAGAATAGTGAATGAAAAATGGAAATAAGACTTATGAAACCTGGAATAGGCTATGTAGCTCTGCATCAAAATCTGTTTCCCTTCCACTCCCTGAGATTGTACTGTAGTTCTTCCTACCTTTGAAGTCCATGTGACTTGCTCTGGAAAAAGAAATGTAAGAATATGTGACACATCTCTCTTCCAGGCAGAGGCTTTATATGTATGTGTTTTATACCTTCTCCTTTCCCAATGCTCCCATTCATAACTGACTCATAAGGAACATGATGATGATGCAGGAGAAGCTCTCCCAGAGAACCCAGCATGGACACGTAGTGTTAGCAAGAAATAAATCTATTTTGAATTGTTTTCTACTACAGCGTACTCTATTACAACTGTTAAGGAAATTTGTATAGGTAGTAGTGTGCTATTGTAAAAAAGAGTGTTAACATTCGTAAGTTTCTTTGGGGGCAAGCAGTAGGTGTCAAAGAATCTGTTATTGCCAACTGGAAACATAGCAATTCATGTTTGGTACAATAAAACGTTTGGTACAACTGTTACCTGTGATAACTTGGAAGGGAGATTATGTAAGAAAACAGAATGCTTGTAGCATTAAGTGGTTCTTAGATGCATATAACAAAGTTCTATAAAAGCACGCAAAACAACTGGTCATTTTGTAAACAAGAATGAAAGAAAATATAGAAGGAGCTGAGAAATTTGGGGACTTTTAGAGTTAGAAGAGAAAACTGATTTTCATTTCCACCCAGTCGCAGTAAAAAAGACCAATAAAACTCAGACTTGTTGCAAGGAGCAAAGCAAGATTATGGTCATCTGAGTACTCTGCTAAAAGCTCTAAATGGTTGAAGATGATGTAAAGAAATAAATATTTTAAGTTTGACAAAATGGCTTACAGAAAGTAAGTTTAAGTAGAGTGACTATCCCAGAGAAGGCTGATAGCCTTGGGGTATTTGAAATTAAAAGAAGATAGAGAGCTATAGATAGAGATAGAGATGATGATGGAGACAGAGATAGGCATAGAGGTAGAGGTAGAGAGGGAGAGAGACACACAGAGAGAAAGAGAGATAGATCTGGAAAAAATTATGAATGTGGCTGGCTATTGATTTATGTAGTTGACTTGAATAAGTAGATAAGAAAAGAGCTATTAATCTGGACTAATAAAAATTTCACTATTTGGGACTTAAAAGAATCCTTGGGCCATCAGTCTTCAATGGCCAAGAAGCAGAGTGAGGCAGCTAACCAGGCTTCCAAGGAGGAGACATTCTTCAGGTTCCTCTTTAAATGTAGCCAAAGAGGATAAATGCCCAAGTAAGAACTTGACAGAGGAAACAACTACATGTCATGGAAAAGAACAGATTGGGGAAAATGAAAACAGTGCCTAATCATGGAATAATCCACACCTCCAATGTAGGGTTCCTCATAAAATCTGCCTGGTAGGATTTTGGGATTGCTTTAGACCATCGAGTGTCATATGTCTTTGATTCTTAACTTTCTAAAGAGGAGCATTTATTGCCATTATCCTACTCATGTTTCACTGCTGAATTTTGGGTGTGTGGAAGAAACATAACTTGTCTTTTAGTCCACAGGCCTCCAAACCAAGAAGAACCATACAGGCATTTTTATGAGACTTCTAGAAGTCCCTCAAAGATTCTGAATGCTGAGCATGAAGCAGTATTTGAGGGGAGTTTGGATTGCCTCTTTTGTAAAGGACATAAGTAGGTTCTACATGGGGGATCAGGAAGAAATCAAATATTATGTTGTTAGAAGGACAGATGGCAGTAGACTGTACTACTATCCCTCAATTTTCTTTCCTTTTTTTTTGTGGTATAGGGTTATACTTTGAAAATGATCAAAGTTACTTTTGATCATGAGGCTTTTTTAGGCCAATGAAATAGGAACAATAGTTATGTAGACTTCTAGACAGAAGCCTTAAGAAATAGTTCATCCTTTGGTCTATGTGTTTTATTTTTTTGCCATGGGGACTGGCAGTGTTGCAGATGGTGGTTGCCCTATCAGTCATGGTGTGAAGGTGAGAGAAAATTTACTAAACCTTGGTGGAATGTAGTGTGAGTAAGAAGTAAACCTTTCCTTTTTGTTTTGAGCTACTGAGATTTTTGGTTGTTTGCTGCTATAGCAGAACTAAGCCTGTGTTAAAGCATACACAATTTGAGTTAATATGGTCTGACACTGTAAGCTCATGATAAGCTAAACATTATGGATTCTGAGTTCTAACTATTCCTTTTACCTTATACCAATGAAAGCCTAATCAATGAGTGCCCACATATTTATATGACTAGCTGCAAAATACCTCTTATAATATCTTTTTAGTAGTTGGAGAAAGACAAATGGAATTTCATGAGGTCATCAATTATCCTAAGCTTGAATATGTCAAGGAGTATAAGATAAATGGATTCTTAACAACTCAAAGGTGAGACTTTTCCAATAAGTTTATCATTTACCTGGAATGTAGGAAGAGACTTTAAACTAGTCTTACCTGAAAACACAACTACAGATTTTACTGATATTATTCAATTTTTTTCTGGATCTTATTTGAGTATGTTCTTTCAGTAAGTTTTCTAAAAATATTACTGAATAACTTTAAGTGCAAAAAATTATGGGGAAGTATTTACCCATAAATTTGAGGGCATACATTTTTCATATCTAGATTTGATCTATGTTCCCCAAAGCCATTAGAGCTGTGTCTACCCACAGCTAATATAATACCCAATAGTGAACAGTTGGAGGCTTTTTCTCTAAGCTCAGGAACAAGACAAGGATGCTCAATCTCACCACTTTAATTGAAAATAGACTGGAAGTTTTTGCCAGAAAAATTAGGCAGAAAAAGGAAATAAAAGGCATCCCAAAAGAAAAAGCTATTTTTTTTTCGTTTGCCAATGACATAATCTCATCAATAGAAAGCTCTAAATACTGTACTTCAAACTGGTGGAACTGGTAAATAAATTCAGTGAAGTTGCAGATTATAAAATTAACATATAAAAATCAGTGGCATTTCTATATACTAACAACAAGTTAGTATATAGAACCTCTATTTTTTTTTTTTGCCCCGGGGACTGGCAGTGTTGCAGATGGTGGTTGCTTTATCAGTCATGGTGTGAAGATGAGATAAAATTAACCAAACCTTGATGGAATGTAGTGTGAGTAAGAAGTAAACCTTTCCTTTGTTGTCCTGAGCTACTGAGATTTTTGGTTGTTTGCTGCTATAGCAGAACCAAGCCTGTGTTAAAGCATACACAATTGGAGTTAATATGGTCTGACACTATAAGCTCATGATAAACTAAACATTATGGATTCTGAGTTCTAACTATTTCTTTTACCTTAAACCAATGAAAGCCTAATCAATGAATGCCCACGTATTTATATGACTAGCTGCAAAATACTTTTTCGGATTGTTTGTTACAGATCAAGCAATCTGAACAAACAATTGCCTGAGGTCAGGAGTTTGAGACCAGCCTGGCCAACATGGTGAAACCCCGTCTCTACTGAAAATACAAAAATTAGCCAGGCATAGTGGTGCACATCTGTAATCCCAGCTATTCTGGAGGCTGAGGCAGGAGAATCGCCTGAAACTGGGAGGTGGATGTTGCAGTGAGCTGAGATCATGCCATTGCACTCCAGCCTGGGCAACAGAGCAAGACTCCATCTCAAATAAAATAAAATAAGATAAAAATAAACAACAAAAAAGAAATTAAGAAAACAATCTCATTTACAATAGCATCAAAAACTTAAAAAAATACTTAGGAGTAAATTTAACCAAGGAGATAAAATATCAGTGTACTGAAAACTATAAAATGCTGATAAAAGAAATTGAAGATAACACAAATAAGTGGAAATATATCCTGTGTTCATGGAATGAAGGAATCAATATTGTGAAAATGTCCATACCTCCCAAAGTAACCTACAAATTCAGCATAACCCCTATCAAAATTTAATGTAATTCTTCCCAGAAATAGAAAAAAAATCCTAAAATAGCCAAAGCATTCTTGAACAACAACAACAACAACAACAAAAAGCTGTAGGCATCATACTACCTGATTTCAAAATAGACTACAAAGTTGTAGTATCAAAACAGCATGATACCAGCATGGAAACAGACACATCAACCAATGGAATAGAATAGAGAGCCCAGAAATAAACCCATAAAAACCTTGATTTTTGACAAGGTTGTCAAGTATGTACAGCGGGAAAAGGACAGTCTCTTCAATAGACGATGTTGGAAAACTGGCTATACACATGCAGAATAGGGAAATTGGATCCTTTTCTCACTCCTTGTACAAGAATCATTTCAAAACAGAATAAAGATTTAAATGTGAGATCTGAAACTGTAAGACTACTAAAAGAAAACATAGGAGAAAAGCTACATTACATTAGTCTGGGCAATGATTTCTTGCCTCAAAGGCACAGGCAACAAAAGCAAAAATAGGCTAATGGGATTATATCAAACTAAAAAGCTTCTGTAGAGAAAAGAAAAACGGAGTGAAGACACAACCCACAGACTGGGAAAAATATTTGCAAATCAGACATCAGATAAAGGGCTTATATCCAAAATACATAAGGAACTCAAACAACTCAACTACTAGAAAACAAATAACCCAACTTAGAAATGGGCAAGGACCGTAATAGACATTTCTCAAGAGGAGGCATTCAAATGGCCAACAGATATATGAAAAAATCCTCAACATCACAGATTATCAGGGAAATGCAAATTAAAACCACAAAGAGATATCACCCTACACCTGTTAGAGTGGCTATTTACTAATATAAGAGATAACAAGTACTGGCAAGGATGTGGAGAAAAGGGAACCCTTGTACATTGTTGGTAGGGATGTAAATGAGCACAGCCATTATGGAAAACTGTACAGAGGTTCCTCAGAAAACTAAAAATAGAATTACCATATGATCAAGAAATCCCACTTGTGGGCATATATCCAAAGAAATTAAAATCAGTGAGTTGAAGAGCTGTCTGCACTCCCATGTTCATTGCAGCATTATACACAATGTTCAAGATATGGAAGCAACCTAAGTGGATTTTAAAATGTGGGTATACAGAATGCAATACCATTCAGCCTTTAAAAAGAATAACATTCTCTGACTTGTGACAACATGGATGAATCTGGGGAGCATTTTGCTAAGTGAAATAAGCCAGACGCTGAAAGATGGATCTAGCATGATCTCACTTACATGTGGAATCTAAGAAAGTCAGATTCATAGAAGTAGAGAGTAAAATGATGCTTTCCAGAGGCTGGGGAGGTGGTGGGCAGGGAAAGGGGTACTGTTGGCCAAAGGACACAAAGTTTCAGTTAGAGAAGAGAAATAATTCTGGTGATCTATTGCACAGTAAGGTGACTGTAGTTAATACTAATGTGTTGCGTATTTCAAAACTGCTAAAACAGTGGATTTAAATGTTCTTAGCACAAATAAATGATAAGTATGTTAGATGATGGATATATTAATTAGCCAGATTTGCTTAATACACAATGTATACTTGTATTGAAAAATATATACAATTATTATCTGTCAATTACAACTTAAAATTTAAATTTTAAAAGAACTATGGCTAGCAGACATTTAGATATTGCACACTTTTTTTTTTTTGAGATGGAGTCTCACTCTCTTGTCACCCAGGCTGGAGTGCAATGGCACGATCTCAGCTCACTGCAACCTCTGCCTCCCAGGTTCAAGTGATTCTCCTGCCTCAGCCTCCCAAATAGCTGGGACTACAGGTGTGTGCCACCACACCCGGCTATTTTTTTGTATTTTTAGTAGAGATGGGGTTTCACCGGGTTAGCCAGGATGGTCTCAATCTCCTGACCTCGTGATCTGCCCACCTTGGCCTCCCAAAGTGTTGGGATTACAGGCATGAGCCACCTTGCTTGGTCTATTGTGCACATTTTATAAGCTACTTTATACTCTTTTAACTTCACCTGTCACTACTCCTTCCTAGAGACTTCTCTGTTAATTCCAAGATAACCACCGCCAATCAATTGATACCCATGCATATTTAACATGGAAATATGAATAAATTAACAATGAGGCAAATCTTTGAGCAATAAGAGAAGAAACTGAAGGATAAAGTCTTCTACCTTACTTTTCCAGGGCACATTGTTCAGAAACATGCTTTATGCAGCTTTTTTTGACAGGAGTCCTCTGAGGTCAACCAATTAGTTGTATATTGCAATAAGCAACTTGATTATGCACTTTTGTATTGGTTTCCTTCCTTTTCCTGTCTCATTCCCTAAAAAGTAGTGGTTCATAAAACTTTGTCTCAGCTTTCGTGTTCTAGGAAATCCAGATTAAAGCATTCTAAGATCAGTGGTACTGTAAGCAGGGTGGTGATAACTCCTGGCTTGCAGTGGCATAAAATTCATGTAGCTAATAGAGATCAGGTTTGAGTGAAACATGAGGCATTTGAATATGCAATGGTTGTGGTTTGAAGTGGTGTGGAGGCAATGGTAATTATGAAGATTTGTTGAATGAACTGACTTTTATCAATGACAATGGAAACATTCATAAAAAGAAAATAATAAACTCAGAGCAGGCAATTTACCAACACAAGCTGATATGGTTTGGCTGTGTCCCCATCCAAATCTCATCTTGATATAATCTCCATGTGTCATGGGAGGGATGTGGTGGGAGGTAGTTGAATCATGGGGGTGGTTTTCCCATGCTATTCTCATGATGGTTAGTAAGTTCTCATGAGATCTGATGGTCTTATAAGGGGCTTCCCCCTTTGCTCAGCTCTCATTCTTCTCCTTGCATCCACCATGTGAAGAAGGATGTGTTTGCTTCCCCTTCTGCCATGACTGTAAGCTTCTTGAGGCTTCCCCAGCCATGCTGAACTGTGAGTCAATTAAACCTATTTTATTTATAAATTACCCAGTCTCAGGTATGTCCTTATTAGCAGTGTGAGAATGAACAAATACACAAGCTATGCTGTGAAAGCCAGAGGACCTCTCTGGAAGCTTCTATAAAAACTATTATTTCCTATAACTGTAGCATAAACTCTGTTATTAATAAAAACATAGTCTACTTTTTGAGACTAGCAGAGCTTCAAAGAAGACTGAAAGAACAGCCTTAAGTCTTCTATATCAACATCAGGGTACTTTCAGAAAAGACTGGTACTTTAAAACAGTTTGGGGAAAATCGTGGATATCAGCCTAACAGTCCTGATTCCCCGGATTTTGCTGAACCCTCTAGCAGAAGCTGGCCTTTTCTTTTTGAAGGAAAAGAGTTGCCATCCCTTGCCAGCTTTCCAAGCAATAACTTCAATCTAAGGCAGCTGCCTTGTAAAATGGCACTTGTTGATGTTGAGATATGCTGTGCCCTCTCTCATTACTTATAGGTTAATAACCATAGTCAGTTTTCATCACCACCCAAATGGATAAATAGTCCAACTCTAAGAGGAAATAAATTACATACAAAACGTTTTGGAGTACATGGAAAATATGTGATCACAAGAAAGTAAATCTTGAAGATGCTGGACCAAGGTACATGGAATATAATATCAGTGGAAAATTTATGGACAGGATTCAATATTTTGACAAATACACCTGAAAGTGATGCTAATAGTCTATTAGAAAGGGCGCCATGAAATCAACCTAGTGATCAATCAATGGTAGACTGGATCAAGAAAATGTGGTATACATCTACCACTGAATACTATGCAGCCATAAAAATGAATGCCATTTGCAGCCATATGGATAGACCTGGAGGCCATTATCCTGAGTGAATTAATGCAGAAATAGAAAATTAGATACTACATGTTTTCACTTATAAGTGGGAGCTAATCATTGGGTACTCATGGACATAAATATGGCAACAATAGGCACTGGGAAGGGAGAGGAGGGACAAGGGTTAAAAACCTACCTATTGGGTTCTGTGCTCACTGCCTTGGTGATGGGATCCATACCCCAAACCTGAGCATCATGCAATATACCCAGGCAACAAACCTGCACGTGTACTCCTGAATCTAAACTAAAAGTTGGGAAAAAAAATGAAAAAAATAGAAATGGCTTCATGAATTTGGACAATCTGATGGCTTACATGCATGAGGTAGAAATGCCAGAAGTTTCATAGGATAGTGTTGAGAAATAGGTCACAAGGCCCAAAGTAGTAGCAAAGACAGCATGAATTTACCAGGTAACGGCTGAGAACCTACCACCTCACTATGTTTTCAGAGGATACTTTTTTCTGTAAGGTACTAAATAATGCATGGGTGTGGGGTACTTACGCATCTTTGAGAAGCTTGGGGATGGTTATCTTCTGTAGAATAAAGCTGGTAGTGGAATGGAACTTGGAATTGGGCTCACATTTAGGCTTTGACCCAAGCAAGTCCAGAAGGCATATGTACATTACAGGAATAAGTGGCCCAAGCTCTGATGTCACCTCCTTCAATTCTACCTATGGCCTCATCTAGGCCAATTACCTATGACCAACTGAAAGGTATAGAAATAATTCAGGACTTATTTACAGATGTGTTGGTGTGCCAATGTAGCCATGTGATCCACTGATCTTATATTGTATATTATTATCCAGAAGTATCTGGCTTGACAGCCCAATTAAGGTGTCAGCTAGAGAAAACATACATTTGTGGTTAAGACAGTATTCTCCAGGAAGCTGTATGTGCACTAATCAGTTAATATATGATGCTGTTCCCGCAATAACTAGAATATATGCAGCTATTTTTACTCCTTGACTGTCATTCTCAGTGACCCACTTCTATGGCTTGTGCTTTCTTTCCCCACATATTTAGATTCCATTAAGTTAGAGGTTCTAGATTTCAGGGGCAAAAACATCTTCCAGGCAACACAGTAGGATTCCAGTAAACATGAAACTGAGACTTCCACCTGATGCTAACAGACTAGCAGGCAAATAAAGGACTTCCTGTATGGTGGGTATAATTGACTTGAGAAGTTGGGGTTGCTTTTATGCAACAGGGACTGGAACATGTCTGGAGCCCAGAGGATTAACTGGAATATCCTGGGACATTTCGGTGCTTGGGGCAAATATTTAATTAGAAATTGTAGCAACCAGTAACTATTAAGAGCAAGGCAACTAAGGGATCAGATTCTTCAGGGGTGTGGGGTCTGGATTAACCCTCTAGACAATCTAGATGACAATCTAGACAATCTAGACCAGGTTGAGCAATGGCTAAGAATGAGGGAAATCTGGAATCAGTGGTGGAGAAAGTTAAGATTAATCAGTTCTGACCTCAGAATCACCTGCTATAGCAAGGATGATAACCTGCTTAACTAGCCAATTCATTGTACCTCATCTTTTGGGGAACAAGTGAGGACATCTAGTTTTTGCAAAAATGGAAGCTCCATACTGTAGCATTGGAGTCTGATACAATGGGAAGCTGTAAATGGGTCTGAATTGTACAAAGGGCAGATAGTTATTACCCACCTTGTCAGATCATCTGAGCCTCACCTATGTCTGAAAATTTTTGTTGTAGCCCCAGCTATTGATGTGGCACCCAATCTTTGAACCTTCTAACTCTTCATTCAGATGCTGCCTGACAATATCTTGCCTCAGGATTGCTCCTCATTCCACACAAAATATTAACTGTATCTCTAATCTAGAAGAAAAAACACCCACCTACTTTTTTTCTTTTTCTCTTAATTGTTCTGAAATATTTGAACAGGTAAGCACACATTCTCTAATCAAAACCTTCTCATTGCATAGCAATGAACAATGCTAGGGTAATGAAAGAGAGAAAAGTCTTTAAGGGGCTGAGGTGGGTAGATCACAAGGTCAGGAGATAGAGACCATCCTGGCTAACATGGCGAAACCCCATCTCTACTAAAAAAAATACTTAGCCAGGTGTGGTGGCATGCACCTGTAGTCCCAGCTACTCGGGAGGCTGAGGTAGGAGAATCGCTTGGACCCAGGAGGCAGAGGTTGGAGTGAGCTGAGATCACATCACTGCACTCCAGCCTGGGTGACAGAGTGAGACTCCATCTCACACACACACAAAAAAAGAGAGAGAGAGAGAGAGAGACAAAAGTCATCCCTCACATGAAAGATGCACAAATTTAAAACCAGAAGATATATTTAAATAATCAGAATAAACCCCTATGAAATGTACTTACTGGTGAGGAAAACAGAAGCAGAGAAAGGCTTTTAAAAATCCACTGAATGACATTTAACAGGCACCTATGAATCTACAGGACTTGTGATCATTTCTCATGGCTTCCCATAGGCTCTCGGAGAGGGGATCCAAGCAAAGCGCCAGGCTTGTAAACTGACACAGGTGGAGGCATGCATCTTCTAAATTTGGATATTAAAAACAAGTATGCAATATCACCTATGAGACAGTCTTGCTAAAAATATCAAAAGTGAATCATATTAAGTATATCCAGGTCAGGCATGGTGGCTCCCACCTGTAATTCCAGCACTTCAGGAGGCCAAGGCAGGATTGCTTGAGCCCAGGAGTTCTCAAACTCCAGCCTGGGCAGCATGATGAAACCCCATATCTACTAAAAATACAAAAATTAGCCAGGCGTGGTGGCATGCATCTGTGGTCCCAGCTACTTGGGAGGCTGAGGTGGGAGGATCACTTGAGCCTGACAAGTTGAGGCTGCAGTGAACTGTGATAGCACCACGGCACTGCAGTCTGGGTGACAGAACGAGACCCTGTCTCAAAAAACAAAAAACAAAAAAAGGGAACTCCAACTGCCAATTTATAGGAAATATGGAGGACAGAAAATCTGATTAAACTACTACAGGGAGAGAATCAGCAAAATTCAGATTGTGTGAAGCTCCAAAGGAAAAACAAATAGATTTGAGAGAGAGACAGGGAGGGAGGGAGGTAGAGAGAGAGAGAGAGAACTGACACATTTTAAAAAGCCAAAACTAGTCTTAGCAACTTGACATTTAGGTATGTACATTTGAGTGATAAAGCTATAAGGAAAAGTAAGGAAACAATTATCACAAGATCAGAATAGTGGCTACTGTTAGATGTGAAGCATATTTTCATCATAACTCATTAAGCTGAATGTTTTAATGCTGTTTTCTGTATTTGATTATTTTTGAAAATAAAGTTAAAAAATTTAAATAAAATCCAAGTATAACCTGTTATTTCTTAATGTTTAAAAGTTAGGGTTTCCTTCCAAGATGGCCGAATAGGAAGAGCTCCGGTGTGTAGCTCCCAGTGTGATCAATGCAGAAGATGGGTGATTTCTGCATTTCCAACTGAGATACCTGGTTCATCTCATTGGGACTGGTTGGAAAGTGGATGCAGCCCATGGAGGGTGAGCTGAAGAAGGGTGGGGCATCACCTCATCCGGGAAGTGCAAAGGGTCAGGAGATTTCCCTTTCCTAGCCAAGGGGAGCTGTGACAGACTGTACCAGGAAAATTGGGCCACTGCCACATAAACACTGCACTTTTCCAATGGTCTTAGCAAATGGCACACCAGGAGATTATATCCTGTGCCTGGCTCAATGGGTCCCACACCCATGGAGGTCGAAATGCAAGGTGGCAAGCCAGGCTGGGGGAGGGGTGTCCACCATGGCTGAGCCTTGAGTAGGTAAACAAAGCAGTCAGGAAGCTTGAACTGGGTGGGGCCCACTGCAGCTCAACGAAGCCCACCTGCCTCTGTAGACTCCACCTCTGGGGGCAGGGCATAGCTGAACAAAAGGCAGCATAAAGTTCTACAGACTTAAACGTCCCTGTCTGACAGCTCTGAAGAGAACAGTGGTTCTCCCAGCATGGTGTTTGAGCTCTGAGAACGGACAGAAAACCTCCTCAAGTGGGTCCTGAATCCCATGTAGCCTAACTTGGAGACACCTCCCATTAGGAGCCGATTAACACCTCATACAGACGGGTGCCCTTCTGAGACGAAGCTTCCAGAGGAAAGATCAGGCAGCAATATTTGCTGTTCTGCAGCCTCTGCTGGTAATACCCAGGAAAACAGGGTCTGGAATGGACCTCCAGCAAACTCCCACAGACTGAGCACCTCCAACAGGCTGAGGGACCTGATTGTTAGAAGAAAAACTAACAAACAGAAAGGAATAACATCAACATCAACAGAAAGGACATCCACACCAAAATCCCATCTGTAGGTCACCAACTTCAGAGACCATAGGTAGATAAAACTACAAAGATGGGGAGAAACTAGAGCAGAAAAGCTGAAAATTGTAAAACCAGAGTGCCCCTTCTCCTTCAAAGGATTGCAGCTCCTCACCAGCAATGGAACAAAGCAGGACAGAGAATGACTTTGATGAGTTGATAGAAGTAGGCTTCAGAAAGTCAGTAATAACGAACTTCTCTGAGCTAAACAAGGATGTTCGAACCCATCGCAAGGAAGCTAAAAACCTTGAAAAAAGATTAGACAAATGGATAACTATAATAAACAGTATAGAGAAGACCTTAAATGGCTTGATGGAGCTAAAAACCATGGCATGAGGACTACGTGAAAAATGCACAAACTTCAGTAGCCTATTCCATCAAGTGGAAGAAGGGTATCAGTGATCGAAGATCAAATGAATGAAATGAAGCAAGAAGAGAAGTTTAGAGAAAAAAGAGTAAAAAGAAATGAACAAAGCCTCCAAGAAATATGGGACTATGTGAAAAGACCAAATCTGTGTTTGATTGGTGTATCTGAGAGTGACAGGGAGAATGGAACCAAGCTGGAAAACACTCTTCAGGATATTATCCAGGGGAACTTCCCCAACCTAGCAAGGCAGGGCAACATTCAAATGCAGGAAATACAGAGAACACCACAAAGATACTCCTCGAGAAGAGCAACCCAAAGACATATAATGGTCAGATTCACCAAGGCTGAAATGAAGGGAAAAATGCTAAGGGCAGCCAGAGAGAAAGGTTGGGTTACCCACAAAGGGAAGCCCATCAGACTAACAGCGGATCTCTTGGCAGAAACTCTACAAGCCAGAAGAGAGTGGGGGCCAATATTCAACATTCTTAAAGGAAAGAATTTTCAACCCAGAATTTCATATCCAGCCAAACTAAGCTTCATAAGTGAAGGAGAAATAAAATCCTTTACAGACAAGCAAATGCTGAGAGATTTCATCACCACCAGACCTGCCTTAAAAGAGCTCCTGAAAGAAGCACTAAACATGGGAAGGAAAAACCGGTACCAGCCACTGCAAAAACATGCCAAATTGTAAAGACCATCAATGCTAGGAAGAAACTGCATCAACTAAAGGGCAAAATAATCAGCTAACATTATAATGACAGGATCAAATTCACACATAACAATATTAACCTTGAATGTAAATGGGGTAAATGCCCCAGTTAAAAGACACAGACTGGCAAATTGGAAAAGAGCCAAGACCCATCAGTGTGCTGTATTCAGGAGACCCATCTCACATGCAGAGACACATATAGGCTCAAAACAAAGGGAAGGAGGAAGATCTACCAAGCAAATGAAAAGCAAAAAATAAAATAAAAGCAGGGGTAGCAATCTAGTCTCTGATAAAACCTACTTTAAACCAACAAAGATCAAAAGAGACAAAGAAGGCCATTACATAATGGTAAAGGGTTCAATTTAACAAGAAGAGCTAACTATCCTAAATATATATGCACCCAATACAGGAGCACCCAGATTCATAAAGCAAGTCCTTAGAGACCTAAAAAGAGACTTAGACTCCCACACACTAATAATGGGAGACTTTAACACCCCACTGTCAATGTTAGATCAACAAGACAGAAGGTTAAAAAGGATATACAGGAATTGAACTCAGCTCTGCACCAAGAAGACCTAATAGACATCTACAGAAGTCTCCACCCCAAACCAACAAAATATACATTCTTCTCACTGCCACACTGCACTTATTCCAAAATTGACCAAATAGTTGGAAGTAAAGCACTCCTCAGCAAATGTAAAAGAACAGAAATCACAACAAACTGTCTCTCAGACCACACTGCGATCAAATTAGAACTCAGGATTAAGAAACTCACTCAAAACCGCTCAACTACATGGAAACTGAACAACGTGCTCCTGAATGACTACTGGGTAAATAACAAAATGAAGGCAGAAATAAAGATGTTCTTTGAAACAAATGGAACAAATACACAACATACCAGAATCTCTGGGACACATTTAAAGCAGTGTGTAGAGGGAAATTTATAGCACTAAATGCCCACAAGAAAAAGCAGGAAAGATCTAAAATTGACACCCTAACATCACGATTAAAAGAACTAGAGAAGCAAGAGCAAACAAATTCAAAAGCTAGCAGAAGGCAAGAAATAACTAAGATCAGAGCAGAACTGAAGGAGACAGAGACACAAAAAAACCCTTCAAAAAATCAATGAACCCAAGAGCTGGTTTTTTTAAAAGATCAACAAAATTAACAGACTGCTAGCAAGACCAATAAAGAAGAATAGAGAGAAGAATCAAATAGATACAATAAAAAAATGATAAAAGGGATGTCACCACCCATCCCACGGAAATAAAAGCTACTATCAGAGAATACTATCAACATCTCTACACAAATAAACAAATCTAGAAGAAATGGATAAATTCCTGGACACAAACACCTTCCCAAGACAAAACCAGGAAGAAATTGAATCGCTGAATAGACCAGTAACAGGCTCTGAAATTGAGGCAATAATTAATAGCCTTCCAACCAAAAAAAGTCCAGGACCAGACAGATTCACAGCCAAATTCTACCAGACGTACAAAGAGGAGCTGGTACCATTCTTTCTGAAACTATTCTAATCAATAGAAAAAGAGGGAATCTTCCCTAACTCATTTTGTAAGGCCAGCATCATCCTGATCCCAAAGACTGGCAGAGACACAACAATAAAAGAGAATTTTAGACCAATATCCCTGATGAACATCAATGCAAAAATCCTCAATAAAATACTGGCAAACCAAATCCAGCAGCACATCAAAAAGCTTATCCACCATGATCAAGTGGGCTTCATCCCTGGGATGCAAGGCTGGTTCAACATACGTAAATCAATAAATGTAATCCATCACATAAACAGAACCAAAGACAAAAACCACGATTATCTCAATAGATGCAGAAAAGGCCTTCAACAAAATTTAACAGGACTTCATGCTAAAAACTCTCAATAAACTAGGTATTGATGGGACATATCTCAAAACAATAAGTGCTATTTATGACAAACCCACAGCCAGCATCATACTGAATGGGCAAAACCTGGAAACATTCCCTTTGAAAACTGGCACAAGACAGGGATGCCCTCTCTCACCACTCCTATTCAACGTAGTGTTGGAAGTTCTAGCAGGGCAATCATGCAAGAGAAAGAAATATAGGGCATTCAATTAGGAAAAGAGGAAGTCAAATTGTCCCTGTTTGTAGATGACATGATTGTATATTTAGAAAACCCTATCGTCTCAGCCCAAACCTCCTAAGGCTTATAAGCAACTTCAGGAAAGTCTCAGGATACAAAATCAATGTGCAAAAATCACAAGCATTCTTATACACCAATAACAGACAAACAGAGAGCCAAATTGTGAGTGAACTCCCATTCACAATTGCTTCAAAGAGAATAAAATACCTAGGAATCCGACTTACAAGGGATGTGAAGGACCTCTTCAAGGAGAACTACAAACTACTGCTCAACAAAATAAAAGAGGCTACAAACAAATGGAAGAACATTCCATGCTCATGGATAGGAAGAATCAATATTATGAAAATGGCCATACTGTCCAAGGTAATTTATAGATTCAATATCATTCCCATCAAGGTACCAATGACTTTCTTTACAGAATTGGAAAAATCTATTTGAAAGTTCATATAGAACCAAAAAAGAGCCCACATTGCCAAGACAATCCTAAGCCAAAAGAACAAAGCTGGAGGCATCACGCTACCTGACTTCAAACTATACTACAAGGTTACAGTAACCAAAACAGCATGGTACTGGTACCAAAACAGAGATAGACAAATGGAACAGAACAGAGCCCTCAGAAATAACACCACGCATCTGCAACCATCTGATCTTTGACAAACCTGACAAAGACAAGAAATGGGGAAAGGATTCCCTATTTAATAGATGGTGCTGGGAAAACTGGCTAGCCAGATGTAGAAAGCTGAAACTGGATCCCTTCCTTACACCTTATACAAAAATTAATTCAAGATGGATTAAAGACTTAAATGTTAGACCCAATACTATAAAAACCCTAGAAGAAAACCTAGCCAATACCATTCAGGACATAGGCATGGGCAAGGACTTCATGACTACAACACCAAAAGCAATGGCAATAAAAGCCAAAATAGACAAATGGCATCTAATTAAACTAAAGAGCTTTTGCACAGCAAAAGAAACTACCATCAGAGTGAACAGGCAACCTACAGAATGGGAGAAAAGTTTTGCAATCTACCCATCTGACAAAGGGCTAATATCCAGAATCTACAAAGAACTTAAACAAATATACAAGAAAAAATCAAACAACCCCACCAAAAAGTGGGCAAAGGATACAAACAGACACTTTTCAAAAGAAGACATTTATGCAGCCAACATCCACATGAAAAAATGCTCATCATCACTGGTCATCAGAGAAATGCAAATGAAAACCACAATGAGATACCATCTCACACCAGTTAGAATGGCGATCATTAAAAAGTCAGGAGACAACAGGTGCTGGAGAGGATGTGGAAAAATAGGAACACTTTTACACTGTTGGTGGGAGTGTAAACTAGTTCAACCATTGTGGAAGATATTGTGGTGATTCCTCAAGGATCTAGAACTAGAAATACCATTTGACCCAGCCATCCCATTACTGGGTATATACCCAAAGGATTATAAATCATGCTACTATAAAGACACATGCACACGTATGTTTAGTGCAGCACTATTCACAACAGCAAAGATTTGGAACTAACTCGAATGTCCATCACTGATAGACTGGATTAAGAAAATGTGGCACATATACACCGTGGAATACTACGCAGCCATAAAAAAGGATGAGTTCATATCCTTTGTAGTGACATGGATGAAGCTAGAAACCATCATTCTGAGCAAACTATCACAAGGAGAGAAAGACAAACACCACATGTTCTCACTCATAGGTGGGAATTGAACAATGAGAACACTTGGACACAGGATGGGGAACATCACACACCAGGACTTGTCGTGGGGGGGGGGGGATGGGGGAGGGGTAGCATTAGTAGAAATACCTAATGTAAATGACGAGTTAATGGGAGCAGCAAACCAACATGGCACATGTATACATATGTAACAAACCTGCATGTTGTGCACATATACCCTAGAACTTTAAGTATAATAAAAAGAAAAAGAAAGAAAGTTATAAGTAAAAAGCTAGCATGACATGATATTACAGTTAAGGTTAATGAGATCAGGAACATCTGGGTTGCATTAATGTTATTAAGAAGACAAAATACAAGAGTTCAAGAGTAAAATAATTATTAAATTTTGAAGTAGATTTTACAAAGTTTTAAAAACATACAATGTCATGTAACAAAAGCTGAATTTAAAAAACTATACTTATAAAATGAGCACAGTTTTTTTATAGAAATATGAACAGAAAATGGAGAAATTAAAACAATAATATTATTAACAAAAACAAAATGCTAACATTTATTGAGTGTTTCCAGGTACTTTCCAGGTATCTCATTTAAATTCATCACAACCCTATAAGATAACCTCCCTTTTACTGATTAAGAAACTGAGGCATAGTGAGATTAAGAAAGACGATCAAGGGCTCATATCTCATAAGTAACAAAGTCAAAATTCAGCCCCAACCAAGTCTGTTCAGAGCCAGAGTACATAATCATGAAAGACACAATAAATAGCAGGTTTTGACTTAAAATGCTGGGGACCATACAATGTCATCTGCTAAAACAATCTCTGTTTATGCTTGCTGTCCTGACATGATTATTAATAACTCCCTTTTTCATGCCCAAAGCTGTCCAGTTTAGGTAATATATGTAATGGTCACCCTACCTTGAAAGTCCCTCCCAGATATCATGATTCTAAAAGTATGAAAAGAAAAATTAGAACTTGATTCAATTAGGTGATGAGGGGCACACTGTAGTGTAAAGAAATGGAATCAACTGGGAATATTTATCTATGTTTTCTCTAGAGTTTCTCATCATTCTAGAGAATAATTAATGGTGCTTTCTGTTAATTGCCTCTTCTCTCCCCACACCCAAAGGAAACATTTAAGAGAATCTTTAGTTGTAAACACCTTTTTGCAGCAATGGCCATTAGGAGCCATGGCCAAAGGCACAGAGCCTAGGGGAAGCTGAACACTCATATTTTGATGCTTGTGGCCTCTAATTTCTGAAAGAACATGACACTCATCTGGGGATGACAGCACACTCCATTGGAAGGCAGCGTGGCAGCAATACCTCCCAGAATTTCACCAAGATACACCTGTCAGGAGCCAAACACCTGCATGAACATTTGGGTGGGTAAAATCAGAATGGGGGTAACTTGGCTTCCATGCTTGAAACACTTTCCTTCTTTCTTCTTTCTCCTGTAACCCTGCTCTCTCATGCACTTGACAAAGACCTCATGCTTCCAGGCTCAACATCGGTTTTTGTTTGTTTTTGGAAAACTCATGATCCCTCTTTCCCATTCTCATAGAATAATATTAATTTTAACAGAAACCAAGGTATTGGAGCTGAAAAAAATAATCTCACAGTGTTTCAAACACTAGCCAGTGAGTAAAGTGGAATTGGGGGCATGGAGTTTTCCTGATAGCTTATCATCTGGACTATGGAACCTAATATTTTTACCACCAAATAATCCCATTTTCCCTAAAAAAATGTGTTTTAGTTAGCAAACTACCTTTAGGATATAGTTATTATTATTCATTATTAGTATAACAACTCCCATTTTTGACAGCCTAGTTGTTACTTTACATATCATAGTTAAGTTCTCGCAAAAGCCTATGAAGTGGTAATGATTCTTCCCATAGAGATGAATAAATGAAGGCACATAAAGGTGAATTACTTTGCCCCAAATCATCAAGTTGATTAATGGTGATGCCAAATATACTCTGCTTTTCCGTAGTTAATTTCCCAAGTTTATTTATCAGAGATAATTAAAACTTTTGCTGAGTCTAAAATAGAGTAGCCAAAGGGAGTTAATGTAATTTTATGCTAAAGCAACTTGATAGTGTTTTTTGTATAAATATATACTTTTAATAACTTTATGAAATATTAAAAATGATCATTTATGGCCATCTTTGCATGCCAAGGGGATATTAATCATTTCAATAGTTGATGCAGAGGGCGATTTACTATAGCTACAATTTATGTTGGGCCAGTGTGACCTTTAGACTCCACCTACTTTTATTTTATTTATAATTTAAAATGAATCCTCAAAGCTCTAACAACTTATTCATTAATTTAATTAAATGGTGCAATGCTAATAGTGACCAGGAAAATAAAGATGAAAGAGATAAAAACTGTATGTAAATTGGTAGTATAGCATAATTGTTCAATGCTGGACCCTGGTGTCGGTCTATCTGAGAGGGTTCCTAGCTGTATCACTTATTAATATTGAGATCATGGGAAAGTTCCCTGACTTCCTGTGCTTTATATTAAAATGAGGTTGTTGTGAAGATTAAATAAATATATTAGAAGAATGTCTAGGACAGTAAGTGCTGAATAACTGTTACATATTATTATTATTGATGATGTACTCAAAAATTATAGTTGATTTATCTTTTTGATATTCAAAATCCATTAGTATGCAAACAATGTTGATAGATTTAAGCCACTTATCACTCACTAGTTCTGTTCTGCTTATTTTCTTCACTCATATATTAATTATGCCTCATGTTCCATTATTGGAACGCTAAGCATGTGGGAGTCATTTATTTATTTATTTAATTTATTTATTTTTATTTTTTATTTTTTCACTGTGCTTACTTTAATGTAGTAATTTTTCTGTTATTACTATATTTTAAGTTCTAGGGTACATGTGCACAACGTGCAGGTTTGTTACATATGTATACATGTGCCATGTTGGTTTGCTGCACCCACTAACTCGTCATTTACATTAGGTATTCCTCCTAATGCTATCCTTCCCCCATCTCCCCACCCCATGACAGGCCCCAGTGTGTGATGTTCCCCACCCAAGTGTTCTCATCATTCAGTTCCCACCTATGAGTGAGAACATGCAGTGTCTGTTTTTCTGTCCTTGCGATAGTTTGCTCAGAATGATGGTTTCTAGCTTCATCCATGTCACTACAAAGGACATGAACTCATCATTTTTTATGGCTGCATAGTATTCCATGGTGTATATGTGCCACATTTTCTTAATCCAGTCTATCAGTGATGGACATTTGGGTTGGTTTCAAGTCTTTGCTATAGTGAATAGTGCCACAATAAACATACGTATGCATGTGTCTTTATAATAGCATGATTTATAATCCTCTGGGTATATACCCAGTAATGGGATGGCTGGGTCAAATGGTATTTCTAGTTCTAGATCCTTGAAGAATCACCACACTGTCTTCCACAATGGTTGAACTAGTTTACACTGCATGTGGGAGTCATTTATATCCTACTGCTCAAGGTCATCACAAAGGTCTGATTTTTCAAATTCAAAAAATTGCAACCTCAGGCATAAAAGGGTTAATATGATAAAATATTTTAATAAAATAATGTATAAAAATCAATAACTATCTAAAATAAAAATAGCTTGTGAACAGTAGCATTGTTCTACAGTTTTGAAAATGTCATAAATGTCTGCTTCATAGAAGGTGGCTGGATTCTTATATTCGTTTCTCTTTTAATCTGTTGAAATAAACAGTTTTGGTTGAGGTGGATGAGGAAATCTGGCCTCATATAGATATGTAACTGGAAAAAGAAGGAGTATTTTAACAGTCTTTTCAGAGAGTCATGTATAAACTTCTTTAATACTATACCAAAACTCCTCAGATGGTAGTTTCCTAAAGGGTGGTTGTAAAATTGAAGACCGTATCAATGAACTTAGCATACATAGTTACATGCACTAGTCTATCTTGCCTTTGAATGGATTTTTTTTACCCAGGCAGAATTTTGATCTTTCAGACCACCTTTGAAAGGGTTTCAGTGGCCTCAAAATAGAGCACCACACTTGGACTCAACTCTCTACTACCCCTTGTATCTATTATTTGAGTTTTTGTTTTATAGAGGATTTTGTTTTCTAGAGAATACACTTAGTATTGGAATTTGAGGGTTATATTGTGTTTACATATTCTTCCATATTAAATGTTACTGAACTGCTTTCCAAAGCAATCATAGTAGTTTGCACTCCCAATAACAGGGGATGAGGATTCCATTTATTTTATGTTCTAGTCAATACTTGATATTGCCCCACTTCTTCATTTTTGTCAAAATGGCAAGTGTGAAATTGTATCCACTGTTTTAATTTGCATTTCCATAATTACTCATTAGATTTAACATTATTTAATATTAATAATGTTCATGAATAGTTTCAAAATATGTAATTAGTTTTCAATTATATTTCTCTATCAATTTGCTACTGATTTCTAACTTCATAACACTGTAGTCAGAGAATGTTACCTATATGACCCATTAAACAGTTAAATTTAAGTTTTTCACAAACCAAAAGAGTGCTTCAAAATTATGCTAGAAAGATATCCCCTAATGACACCACTTTCATACAATTGTTGCTATGTGCATGACAGATACCATACATAACCTCAGTTAAAACCTGAGACAGGTTTACTATCCCTATTTTATTGATGAAATAACAAGCACAAAGATACTAACACAGTTTGTAGGTAGCAGAACCACAATCCAAAAACAGCAGTATGACATGTAAGTCCATGCTCTTAGTCACTGAACTACGCACAGGGATTGTAATTCCATTAGCAATATGTTAAAGTTTCCGAAGCGTCTTTTAAAAAGTCTCTTCCAAGTGTTCTTATACTTTCTTTTGTTCTCATAAAAGCCTGATAGGTTAACAATGAAAAGTGTAGTTATCCTCTTTTACATGTGGAAAAACTGATGCCCAGAACCATTGTAGTTCTTAAGGGCCAAGGTTAATCAGGGTTATTTCCTTTAACTTGGATCAATATTTCACTTGATTCTGTGTTCAGTGTGGATACAAGGTAGTTTATTTCAATAGAAATTGGGATAACAACTGACATACAGATTTATACTCTTTTTTCCTACAGATACTAGAATCACCAGTGCAATGACTGGGGAAAGGAACAGTACGAGAATTACAAAGTTCATTCTCTTGGGATTCTCTGAATTTCCAAAGAACCCTATTTTCCTCTTTTCAATATTCCTAGGGATCTACCTCCTGACAGTGTCCTGGAACATAAACCTCATCACCCTTATCAGGACGACTCCCATCTGCATACACCTATGTACTTTTTCCTTAGTAATCTGTCGTTTCTGGACATCTGCTATGTTTCCACTATAGCCCCCAAGATGCTCTCAGACTTCTTCAAGAAGCATAAATTCATCTCCTTTATGGGGTGCAGTATGCAGTACTTTTTCTTCTCTAGCCTAGGTCTAACTGAGTGCTGTCTTCTGGCAGCCATGGCTTATGATCGATATGCTGCCATTTGCAACCCTCTGCTCTACAGGGCCATCATGTTTCCCACCCTCTGCGTGCAGATGGTGGCAGGATCTTGTATAACTGGATTCTTAGGCTCATTTATCCAACTCTGTGCCTTGCTTCAGCTCCATTTCTGTGGGCCAAATGTCATCAACCATTTCTTCTGTGATCTGCCCCAGCTGCTGATTCTATCCTGTTCTGACACCTTTTTCTTTCAAGTCATGACCTCTGTTCTCACAGTGATCTTTGGACTCACGTCTGTCTTAGTTATCATGATATCTTATGGTTATATCATTGCCACCATTCTGAAGATCACCTCAGCTGAAGGCAGAGCCAAATCTTTCAACACTTGTGCTTCTCACCTTACAGCAGTGATCCTTTTCTTTGGCTCAGGTATCTTTGTTTATATGTATCCTAATGCTGGTGATTCCCTGAGCCAAAACAAGTTGGCATCAGTCTTATACACAGTTACAATCCCCATGTTAAATCCAGTGATCTACAGCCTGAGGAACAAGGAAATCAAAGATGCTCTAAACAGATGGAAGAAGAGAATCTTCTCCTGGTGTTATGGAATGAAATAATGGAATTTATTTCAGATGTATAAACAGTGTAGGAAGAACAACAACTAAACATTTATTTTCAACTCTCCT
Organism: Homo sapiens; assembly: GCF_000001405.40. Taxonomy (NCBI): domain Eukaryota; kingdom Metazoa; phylum Chordata; class Mammalia; order Primates; family Hominidae; genus Homo; species Homo sapiens. The sequence goes on along the minus strand of NC_000011.10, from coordinate 59,309,566 downwards.
GATTGTTGGCAGAATTGCAGTTGTTCCTTATATAAACCTAGGGCTGGCACAAAATCAGGCAAATGCATAAAAGATATCTTCAAATTTAATAGCCATTCTTTATCAGTTGTAAACTCATAAATCAATAGGCCAGGCAAACCACAAGTATTTTTTGTAGCTAGTTGTGGCAATGGGACAGTTCACCTTGAATATTTAATTTCTATCTAACATAGCATGACCTTAAGAACCGGAGATGCTGTTACAGGTCAGGGCTTTCAGAAGACTAGCAAGCTTTCTCATAGCATCTTATTTTAGGTAGAAGAGGGATGACTGTTAATACAGAGAGATCCTTTTAAAAGTAATTTCCCAATTAAGTTAAAACTCACATTTAACCTATTCTTTCATATCTGGAAATTTTGGATTAATTTCTTCATTTATGCATTTGTCCAAAGCCAAATATTCATATCAGGTAAAAGGCTTGCTAAAGCCACACAGATAGAAATTTGTTGTAATAGGAATGCTTAACATATCTGCTAAGTTAAGATTTGGTTGACCAGTTAGCTAGCTAGGTATTCCTAGACAATTCCTTGTATGTTATTGCTATAGTGTCTTTGTTTTTCCATCTTATCTCTACCATGTAACCAGAAAAGAGAATCAGAAACTGGTCCCCTGTTGGTGAGGTAATCGAGTTCCTGATTTTGGCATTTCCAACTGTCTTACTGTTAACATTTTTGGCTTGTTTAATAGGTCAAGTCCCTATTAGAAAGTTGTTTTTCCAATAATTAACAAATAGGAAGTGGTTGGTAAAATTATCTATAGAGAACGGAACCTGTGGAACCACAAGAAAGTCTGAATTTGGCTGTTTCCCTTATAACTTACTACAAGATACAGAGGAATACTAGAGAATTGAGACTTAAAATACCAAACAAGGAAAGGAAGCTGAGGCAGAAAGCACATTTCTGTTGTTTAATCTTCTGGTAGGATTCTGACTTCCATAATCTTAGGCCTGAAATCATGGAAATTTTCAAGAGATTATTTCCAGTAAAAGGCATTTTTTATATCCCCCCACCTCCCTCTGTATTCAGAAGGGAAAATTTCAAATCCCCATGAGTGTTCAGTTGGTAAAAAACTTACAACAAACCTTTTAGATAACTGTAGGCACTACAATATGAGAAGTTCTGCTTCTAATAAATATTCCATATCCCTGGGGGTAGAATCCAATTTCAGGGAGCTTGGAGATGAAAGGGAAAGTTATTTTGGAAGACAACTGATTTACAGTTATCGGATAGGATTTTGTCAAGAGAAGTTTGAGATGGGGTTGCAGGCCTAGGTTTCATGTAAAGTTTTTTGTTGTTGTTTTTGTTTTTTGTTTTGTTTTTAACTAACTCTTGTTAGTGACCCCATTCAGACCTCCCTTGGCTTTAGTTTAAAACAAAGGATATTAGCTGGTGACTATACTGAGATTGAGAGAGAAGTAAATTCCTAAGTGCCATTCGTTTCATTTGGTTGGGTGTTTAATGCTTTTATGGTCACTGATTATTAGACTCTCTGAAGACAAATACTACTTGGAGTTGATATCACAACCAGCAGAAATGCTTTATTACATAAAATTCAAAATCTCCTTAATTATGAAAAATATGATCTTCAGAAAAGAATGATGTAGGCTTTGAGTCAGAAAGCCCTATCTCTACAGAAGACCAGAATACTTTTTATTTTGATATTCAAATCATCTCTAGGATATGGGTGTATATGATGTATATCTCTGTGCAGAAATTTCTTATGAACAACAAAGTTTCAGCGATTAACTGGTCATAACAGAGGCTCACAAATTAAAGACAGATTCTTGGACAATATCATATATTTCTCTTTTTCTAACTATTTGTGATTAACATTTTTGTATTGGTGATGTATTTTTAAAACAAAAAATGTACTTTATGTGGTGTACTATGGGAAAATTGTCTGCATATTTTAATTATATTCTATAATATTTTATCGGTCTCTAGGCTGCTGCAGAAGCTTAGCACCATGGCTGGGAATGAAAGGCCTTGGGATATGAAACAATAAATTCTGTGTTTTAAGAAGTTACATTTTCCTTGCTGTGTTCGTAGAAGAGGATAGGGTTTAGTAGCTTCTAGGACTCTGGGCATAGGCTAAACACTCCTGACTTAGCACTGATTGCTGATTGGCAGTTCTGTTTATCACTATTTATCTCAATTAATTTATATTCAAAATTTGGAAAATGATTTTATATATGCCTATATCACATTTTGTATAAGTGCTCTAATAGTTTATTTTTGGCACATGAAGGTGGAAAAGTGAAGATAATAGTGGAGCTTTCAACAGGTCCCTAAGTTTTCTAAGTTGAGCCACATCCAGAGAAGTAGATCAATGGATGGCTATACCTATGCAAAGGATGTTTGAGCAGGGTTAGCACGTGGTACACAGGGAATCAGTAGCCTGTTTTTATCTGAGGACATGATCACTATGCCTACTGTAAAAACAAGATCTGACTTGTTTTACGAGATATGCTTTCTATAAGAAACTCACTTTGCTTATAAAGACACATATAGACTGAAAATTAAGGGATGGAAAAAGATAGTTCATACAAATGGAAAACAAAAAAGAGCAGGAGTAGCTATACTTATATCAGATAAAATAGATTTTAAGACAAAACCTGTAAAAAAAACCAAAGAAGGTCACTATATAATGATAGAGGGGTCAATTCAGCAAGGGGACATAACAATTGTAAATATATATACACCCAGTGCTGAAGCACTCAAATATCTAAAGCAAATATTATTAGAGCTAAATAGAGAGACAGACCCCAGTGCAGTAATAGTTGGGAGTTCAACACCACACTTTCACCATGGTACAGATTATCTAGAAATATCTACAATCTAGAAATTATCTACAAATCAAGAAAGAAAAATCAGACTAAATTTGCACTACAGACCAAACTGACCTAATAGATATCTAGGGAACATTTCAGCCAACAGCTTCAGAATACACATTCTTCTTAAGAGGATGTAAAACATTCTTCAGTGTAGACAATATTTTAAGCCACAAAATGAGTCTCAAAACATTTAACAATGTTGAAATAGTATCTGGTGTCTTTTCTGACCACAAAGGAATAAAACTAGAAATCAATAAAAGAAATTTTGAAAACTATAAAATACACAGAAATTGAACAATCTGCTCATGAATGACCATTGAGTCAATACAAAAGAAGTAAATTTAAAAATGTATTGAAACAAATGAAAATGGAAACATAATGTACGAAATCTATAGGACATAGCAAAAGCAGTACAAAGAGGGAAGTTTATATCAATAAATATCTACATTAAAATAGTAAAAGACTTTGAATCAATAATCTAAGCAAGAGTAAAATGAACCCAAAGTTAGTAGAAGAAAATAAGTCATAAAGATCAGAGGAGAAATAATTAATTGAAACTAAGAAAACAGTACAAAACGTAAAAGGAAAAGTTTGTGTTTTAAAAGATAAACTAAATTTACAAAACTTTATCTAGACTAAGAAAAAAGTGAGATGACACAAATAAGTAAAATCAGAGATGAAAATGGAGGTATTATAAATGATATCACAGAAATTTAAAGGATCACTAGAGACTATTATTAGCAACTATGTGCCAATGAATTGGAAAACCTAGAAGAGACAGATCAATTTCTAGACTCACACAACCTACTAAGGTTGAACCACGAAGAAACAGAGAACCTCAATAGACCAATAACAAGTAATGAGATAGAAGGAGTAATAAAAAGTCTCCCATCAAAGGAAAGACCAGAATCTGATGGCTCGCATTTTCTTTGCTATGTTAGTAGAAGAGGATGGAGTTTAGTAGCTTCTCTTCATTGCTAAATTCCACCAAACACTTAAAAAAGAAGTAATACCAATCCTACCCAAACTATTCAAAAAAATCAAACACGAGGGAATACTTCCAAATTCATTCTATAAGGCTAGGATAATTCTGATACCAAAACAAGACAAAGAGACAACACAAAAAGAAAACTCTAGACCAATATCACTGATGAACATAGATGGAAAAATTCTCAACAAAATACTAGCACACCAAATTCAACAACACATTAAAAAGATACTTTATCATGATCAAGAGGATTCATCCCAGGGATGAATGGTTTAACATAGTATGGTTTAACATATGCATAAACATAACATAAACAAGTATGGTTTAACATATGCAAATCAATAAATGTGATACATCACATCAGCCAAATAAAGGACAAAAAACATATGATAATTTCAATAGACAGTGAAAAATCATTCCATAAAATTCAACATCCCTTCATGATAAAAGCTCTCAACAAACTGGGTATAGAAGGAAACTACTTCAACATAATAGAGGCCATATACAACAAACTCATAGCTAGTATCATACCAAATAAGAAAAAAATGAAAGCCTTTCCTCTAAGATGTGGAACAAGAAGAGAATGCCCACTTTCACCACTTTTATTCAACATAGTACTGAAAGTTCTAGCCAGAGCAATTAAACAAGAGAAATATAAGGCATAAAAATTGTAAACAAAGAAGTCAAATTATTCCTGTTTGCAGATATATAATCTTATATTTAGAAAAACTTAAGACTCCACCAAAAGCTATTCAAAGTGATAAATTTAGTAAAATTGCAGGATACATAATCAACATACAAACATTAGTAGCATTTTTATATGCCAACATTGAAAAATCTGAAAAAGAAACCAAGAAAACAATCCCATTTATAATAGCTATGAATAAAATAAAATACCTGTAAATAAACTTAACTGAAGAAGTGAAAGATCTCTACAATGAAAAATATAAAACACTGATAAAAAAATTGAAGGAGGACTCAAATAATGGAAAGGTATCCTATGTTCATGGATTGGAAGAATCAATATTGTTAAAATGTCAATACTACCCAAAACTATCTACAGATTCCATGCAAACCCTATCAAATTACCAATAACATTCTTCACAGAAATAGAAAAAACAATGCTAAAATTTATATGGAACCACAAAATACCCAGAATAGTCAAAGTGATCCTAATCAAGAAAAACAAAGTTGGAGGCATCACATTACCTGACTCAAATTATACTACAAAACTATAGTACCAAAACAGCATGGCACTGGCATAGCAACAGACATATAGACCAATGGAACAGAATAAAAAACCCAGAAATAAATACACATATTTACAGTAAATTTATTTTTGACAAAGCCGCCAAGAACATACATTGGGGAAAGAATTCTCTCTTCAATAAATGACACTGGGAAAACTAGACATCTATATGCAGAATAATGAAACTAGACCCCTCTCTTACCATATCCAAAAATCAAATCAAAATGAATTAAAGAGTTAAGTGTAAGATCTGAAACTATAAAACTACTAGAAGAAAATATTGAAAAAATGCTTTAGGACTGGTTTGGACAAAGATTTTTTTTAGTAAGACCTCAAGAGCATAGGCAACCAAAGCAAAAAATGGGCAAATGCAATACCTTTAAGCTGGAAACCTTCTGCACAGAGAAGTAAACAATCCATAAAGTGAAGAGACAACCTCTTGAATGGTATAAAAAAATTTCAAACTATTTGAAGAGAAAATCTCTTGTGACTAAGAGTGCCACATATGTGTAGAATTAATAAAACCAGTTTAAAGTAGATTCAAATATTAAATAAAGTCTAATTGTTCTGTAAGACTCTTAAGCAATATTTTATTTTTTAAGCTGAAGACCACCAACTTTATAAAACCATTTTTGCTCTGAAGACAAAGAGAGGAAATTGACAATTGTGATAAAGTGAATTTTACCAAGATCATTTTGTCCATTTTTCAGATAATCAGTTCCATCTCATAACAAAATGACTGTGTAATGATTAATACATCTCTATCCAAAAAAGCCAGGTTAGTAGAAATAAACATCTCTTATTAATAAATGAGTAAGAAGGCATTCTTTGACATTCCCAGCCAGACGAGGCTGCTTTTAAATTGATTGTCTGTATAATAAAAAAAAAAATTTGATTGTCTGAATCTATTGATGAGCAATTTAAGAAGAGTGATGTCTTGAGAGCTCGATCAAAGATATAATGTAGGCAGTGCACAGAGAGAACATGTTGTTTTTTATGTCTTCCTGCCTCATCTGGCAGAGACAATTTCAAGACTAATTTTAGATTTTCAGTACTAATTAATGATTCAGTAAAATAAACAGGTACTTCATGACCTATAGCTCTCCCTCCTCTTTGCCCCTTTTCTCTTCCCCAAACATTCAATGTCCACATAGACAGAAGTGTCCTTTATTTATCTGGATTTTTATGGCCTCCCATAGATGAGGTATTTCCCACCATCTGGGGTGCATCTGGGCAGCCCTTTCCAGTGAACATTCATCAACCTAACTGCCTGGCTCCAAGCCATAACTGCCTCTCTTCCTTGAGATTGAGCCCAGCCAACAAAATGCCACTTTCAAGATCAAGCAAGTTCAGGGTGATTATATTTTTCCCAAGTCACATCACCTCTGGATAATTTTCAGAGCTATTTTCAGGTCCATTTTAAGGGATAACTCGATGTCACAATGTACATCAAGTTAATTGAGTCAATTGGATGCATGATTCCCAATGACTCCATGCTTGCCCATATTCCTTGTCTCAGAAAGCTTTTTAAAGAAAGGCACAGGGTGAGCTCTATCAGCAGGGGATACCACAGCATTGTGGCTTCCCAGAAGAGGGTCTACCCCTCCCATCACTCCAAGCAGGATCAAAGAATCAGTCTCTTAAAAGAACAGACAGCAGACACTATGGGTGGAAGGCCACAGATGCCCTACAGATGTAGTTGGGCAACTATTTTCTAGGTTTTACCAGGCTGGTTTATAAGTCTATTTGAAGACTGAGAATGATTTTAGAGAACACCTTCTTATATTTACCCTGGACACAGTAAAATAAATAAATGACTGTTTACATTATTTTCAATGAGTGAAAACAGCTACTTACCAAGACAGACAAGACATGCTTTAAGCAAAAGTATAAAATTCTACAACTTTGTCCTCTGTGCCACTGCCTCCCTCTTTAAGCCCCTCTCATCCTAATTCTGGGTTCTTTGTTCCTTCCATTACCACTAGCCTGTGTTCTCATGCAGCTGTCTTTTCCTGTGACTGAAGGCGTCAGCTAAATTCTGGCCCTATCAATGACTGGCTGTGATAGCGTGAGCACTGCCTCAGAGTATCCCTCTCTGAAAAACACTGAAGTGTTTGCTTCAGTCTCAAAATCTGGTCCAGTTTCCTTAATTTTGAGGATTCCTTTGCTTGACATTGCCATCTACTGTTCCTACTTTTCCATTTTCTTCTCTCCTTTCACTGCTACACTGGCATAACTTCCTTCAATACCTGGCTTTGCTCTAATCCCCTCTCAGCCCCATTCCAGATATCCCTATCTGAGACTGGTGAGTTCTACCCTAACAAATCTGTTGAAATTGTGCTGGTAAGACCACATCTTCCTTCGTTCTTGCCAAATCAACAGCTCTCTGCTCATATTTTTCCCCCTTGAGTTCCATGTCATGTTCACTAAGTATCACCGGGTGGTGACAGCCTTGAGGATCAGGATAAGGAATTTGGATGTCATCAGGCCATGAATGAACAACAAAAATAATGAAGGCTCTTGAGCAAAGAATGACATGATTGGATTTGTACTTTAGGGAGGCTCACTTGCAGATTAAGGAGGAAGGATTGAATTGGAGAGTCTGAAGGCAAATTGTTAACAATCACTTTAAAATTGAGTGAGTCCCCGCTGATGTCAAAAAATTGCCTGGAGGTAGAGATGGCATGAAAGAAGGATTCTATTGATTCTATAGATAATTAGATCTATGGATAAGTAGTATCAAAGAACAGGAGAATCTATTCTGAAGGAGGGGGCAAGGGAGGCAGGAATTGTAAAACACCACAGTCTTCTCTTCTAGTTTGCTATCCTTACACCCTTCAGTCCACAATAAGAAGTGAAAAAACAGAGGTTTCTTTAGGTTTTCAGGTTTTTTTTTCCACACAAAAGATTTAATTACAAACTACTGCATTGGTCATAGTAATCATTTCCCCAATATCTAGCCTTAGAGAGAGACCCCAAGAATGCAGGCGTGATGCCCAGAGCTGGGAACTCGAGGAGGGGGTATAATTTGCTTAGCTTCACAGTAGGAGACTCTGGCCCTGGCAGAGGAGAAACTGATTGAATTTTGGGTGGAGAAGGGAAACTGTAACATATTTTTCTCATCTGGATGCAAGTTGAAGAGCTGCCAACATCAGCAGGGTATGGCCACCATCTTTCACAAATCCTTGAAAGAAGCTGTAGTGTCCTGTGGGTTTACACAATGCCCACTTCCTTCTGTTTCTTGAGTGTTCCTCCCCAAATAGAGCCCCAAACTATTTTTGTAAATAAAGACTTATTGAAACAAATTCATGTGCATGCATTTTCTTATCACCTACTTTTGTGGTACAATGGCAGTTAGATAGTTACCACAGAAACCATTTGGTTGCAAAGCCTGAAATATTTACTAGCTGATCATTTAAAGAAAATGCTTGTCAACCACATTCTAAAAAAGTCCTAAAATGAATTTTTTGACAAAGATACTAAATCACTTCTTTTTTTTTGGTCGGGGGAAGTCCCTCTCTGTCACCCAGGCTGGAGTGCAGTGGCTCAATCTCGGCTCACTGCAACCTCCACCTCCCAGGTTCGAGCAATTCCCCTGCCTCAGCCTCCCTAGTAGCTGGGATTACAGGCGTGTGCCACCAAGCCCAGCTAATTTTTGTATTTTTAGTAGAGGTAGGGTTTCACCATGTTGGCCATGCTGTTCTTGAATTCCTGACCTCAGGTGATCCACCCACTTCAGCCTCCCAAAGTTCTGGGATTGCAGGTGTGAGCCACTATGCCCGGCTGCAAGTAATCACTTCTCATTTACCTGTGCCATTAATCCAGATGACATTGCAATCAGATTGTTTTCCTTAGAGAGATTCATGGCTTTGTTTAGGATATTAGTAAACATATTGTCTCTGTGAGTCAATATGATGTCCCATAGTGTCAAATAGGTAACCAGGGAGAAAGTCAAGTTCCTTAGACTCTCTAACATGCCTCTTCCCCTACTCACATCCTGAAGACTGCATAGCAAGCTCAGCAAAACTGAGAGCTGATATACATTGAGCTCCTGTCTGCGCCTTGTAGAGCTTTACATGGAGGATTGCAGCCAATCCTCTCAGCAACTGCACCTACTGTACAGAGGAAGCTCCTATTGTTTGTGTTTCACAGTTGGTAAGATGAGGGCTCAGGGAAACTCCAGGACTTGTGCAAAGTTACCTGTTGGGCTAGAATGTTGTCTATATTTCAATTCTGAAATCTCTATTTCCCATCCATATTTGTCATTCTAGCAGTTGAGATATTTGAGTAACTAGCAAAGCAAGAACAAAGTCTAGAGACTGAATAGACTCACAATCCAGGCTTTGCTCTTAATCTCATATTGAGATTACCAATAAATAGAAGAGGCAATAGGAATATTTCAATAGGGGACCCAAAGCTCCCAATTCTACATAATTCTGTGATGGAAGAACCACTTAAAGTGCTTTATTCATCTTAACTTATTCATGGTTATTTCAGGTAGAAAGAAAAATGGTGGCAATTTTTACTTTGCTTTAGCTCAAGTTTATCTGAATATCCCATGGTAAAAGAGGAAAAGATTGAATGTGAGATTGGCTTTATGTTACCCAATAATGTAATAAATTTAGAAATATGAAATCTGCCAGTAGTTAACCTAGAGAGACCAAGCACAGTTCAGTCTCTTCTTTTGTTCAAATCTTCCTCAAGAAGGAAGTCATGTGACAGGGAAGATGTGGAGACTGAGAAATAAGGACATAAGAGAAATTCCACTGTGTGTTTCCAGTCTTGTGTGTGCAAAGCTCTTCATGTTAAATCATTTTCAGCTGAAGGAGAATGTAAGAGGCACTTTTTAGGTTAGGCTGATGTCATTTGGAAGCCTGAAGGCAAATGGGCTGGGGAAGTGGGTTGGTCCTAATGCTCAAGCCTTGTAGGGCTTAGCTTGGAGGGCAGATGGAGAGGGAACAATAGCTCTGAGGGGTCAGTCTGTCTCCTAGACTCTTCAAATGATGAATAACAGATGCTCAAGGAGTATTTATTTAATGATTAATGAACTAGGCTTTCACTAGAATGTCCTGGAGAACTGCATTGAGAATAATGGCGAGGCAACCTCAGAATAAAGTGAAAATCAAGGGTATGACTGCTCAGTTATGTCTGCCATGATATGGAATAGGAGTGTGGAAGCCTAAAGGCTAAGCTTTTGCCACATTAGAGTGTCCCTCCTTCCCGTCCCTTCCCTTCCCCTCCCCTCCCCTTCCCTCTCTCTTTCTTTCTCTCTCTCTTTCTTTCTTTCGCTCTTTCTTCTTTCTTTCTTTCTTTTCTTTCTTTCTTTCCTTCTTTCTTCTTCTTCTTCCTGCCTTCCTTCCTTCCTTTCTTTCCCTTTCTTTCTTTCTTTCCTTCTTTCTTCTTCTTGTTCTTCCTGCCTTCCTTCCTTTCCCTCTTTCTTTCTTTCTTTTCTTTCTTTCTTTCCTTCCTTCCTTCCTTTCTTCCTTCCTTCCTCTCTTTCTCTTTCTCTCTTTCTTTTTCTTTCTTTCTTTCCTTCTTTCTTTCTTTCCTTCTTTCTTCTTCTTCCTGCCTTCCTTCTTTTCTTTCTTTCTTTCTTTCTTTCTTTCTTTCTTTCTTTCCTTTCTTTCCTTCCTTCCTCCCTTTCTTCCTTCCTTCCTTTCTCTCTTTCTTTCCTTTCTTTCCTTCCTTCCTCCCTTTCTTCCTTCCTTCCTTTCTCTCTTTCTTTCTTTCTTTCTTTCTTTCTTTCTTTCTTTCTTTCTTTCTTTCTTTCTTTCCTTCCTTCCTTCCTTCCTTCCATCTGTCCATCCATTCATTTGTTCTTTGCTTCTTTCCTTCCTGCCTTCCTTCCTTCTTTGGAGACAGGGTTTCACTATTTTGCCCAGGGTCACCTTGAACTCTTGTGCTAAAGGGATCTCCTGTTTCAGCCTCTTGAGTAGCTGGGATGACAGGCTCACATCATCACTCCAGCTCCTCTTTAGTCCAGTGGAAGTACCACCTCAAATCACTAACATGTGTCCTCCAAATCTAAATTTGCAAAAGGCAAAGAAAAAAAGGAGCAGAAAGGGAATAACTGATGATGAGAAAATGGATCAGGGAAAGTGAAAGATAGTGAAAGAAAGAGTGCTAATCGGGAACAGAAGTGAAATGGCATGGGCTGCCAAATTCTAGCCTATCTTTTAATGGGAATATTTAGAATTTCACAAGGGCCTTCTGTTTTCACCCTCCAGATTAAAAAGAATCATGAAATCACTATGTTCTTATTTCTAATTTGGTTAGAGGCCAGCTTCAGAGGAGTTAGAGTCTCTCCTAAGACAGGCAGGGTTAAAAGCCCCTCTTAATAAAAGGAAAAGATGCTTGACCAAACTTGGGTTCAAGGTCCAACTTAGAAAGGTTAGAATCCTTCCTGAGATTTAGGAGTTAGAGGCTCCCTCTCAGTAAAGTCCCTCTGGGCTAAGAACAGGTTTGGCACTATGGGATGTTAACCATTATTCTCTTTGGATTATTCTGCCTTGAACTCTTTGCTGATTTCTATGGGTGATAGGATTAGGCATGTGCAGGACCATGGGACATGAAGAGCTTTTTTCTCCCTAAAAGGGGAAACTTGAGAGCTGATGGGACTGCTGGAAAAGATCTTTCGAGACTGACAAGTGGCCACCTGAACTTTACAGTGTCACTGCGATGGGTGGGTCTTTCTCTGGCCTCCCTGAGCTCCTCACCTTTCCCACTCTGCTGCAGGCAACACTTTTCTCCCTTCCCTTTCCCCTCTCTGTGCAAACTGAATGAATGGCAAAAGTTGCTATTTACCTGCTCTGTGAAGATTTGATTAATGGGACAAAAGATTTGTGAAGCTAGTCTTAAGCTGTAGCAAATCTGATATACCTTGTGCTATAAATTTGTCTTTCTGTATCATTCTGTCATAAAAAGGGGTACCTTAGGATAGAATGTGGGGCTAGGACCCCATAAGCCCTCTGTTTAAGCCAGCAAAGCAAACTGGTCAGTTACAAACTTCGTTGCAGGTCCTTGGAAAAAAAAAAAACTGGATGAAGTTTCCCTCTCATCTTGTTTTATGTCTTTGGGACCTTGAGCCTATAACCACGTTGTAGAATTTTCAACTGGTCTCTAACATCCAGGGAACAGGAATTTGAGGACTCATATCAGCTAGCCCTAAAAATTATCTTGAGCACTTAAAAGCCTTTGGAAGCTCGAAATTGGCTGCCTCTAGGCTTCTTCTGGGAAGGGTAATGGGAACTGCCCAGTGCTGTAGCTCAGCAACTAAGGTATTGCCATTTTACAATGGTGGCCAGGGTTCAATTTCTGGCACAGGGAATGAGTCCCTTCTGGTTTGATATCTGTGTGACCTTTACAATTTGTTAATTCTCCTCCCCTCCACGAACCGTCTTGAATTTTCTTTTCTCTGAGCACCTGTGAGGTTACATGGGAGGTTATGTTTGGTAAAGTTCAAAAGAAATGTTGGCTGTTTGGCCTGGCTAAAGTCAAGTAATAAGAGATTTAAAAGGACTTTTTTTTTTTTTTAAAGTGTGCTATGCTTAAAAGTCGGCTTAATTAAAAGTGAATATTCAAGCCTGGGACTCCTTGGGAAAAACAGGAGGAAACACAGACCCCATTTTGGGAAAAGCCTCTGTTTTTCTCATGAAACCCCAGGAATTGGAAGTGGATAGATTCCTTTCAAAATCTAAGGCTCTGTTCTGTTTTGCATTGTGTTATCTGACATTTTTGACTCTTGTTGGGGAATATCAGAAATTACTTCACATTATGAGAGCTTTGGTGTGTAATAACTAGGTAGAAAATATACTTTGAGGGATATCTAATGGCAGTTATGGGGGAATATGTGACTGCATGATTGGATTAGAGAAGCACGCTCTTGGCCACCTGGAAGGTATGGAGATGTCCTCACACCTGCACGGAGAGATAAGACTCCCGTTGGGGGATGGGCTAATCACAGAATGGGCGATCGGCTTTAGATTGCTTTGCAATAAAATGCACAGCAAAATCATAGCAATGTCTTGTTCCATAGCATTTCTCTTTTGGAGATCTAGGATCTGGTATAAAAATGAGACACTTAAGTGTAAGGGATCTGTTTTGCCTTCCAGCTGTGCCTGCTAATTAGGCTGTAGAGCCTGCATGCTTTCTTGGCCCTGTTCCTCCAAGGTCTCTGCCCTGAAGCCAGTAATCCAATTAAGAAACTGGAAAATGAAAAATCTTACAAGTACTGGATCTTCTGTCTGTGTATTTTTATGTGTTGTGTGTGTGATATGGAAGAGCTTTGATTAATTGGCTTAAAAATAATAAATGTTTAAATCAAATATTTTGTCAGAAAAATAAAAATTGTAATGCCTTTTAGTTCATGTGACTTAAGTAATCTTTGGTAAATAAAGACAGTTCTAAAGATTGTTGGTAAAATAAAAATATCTTCAAAAATTTAGACATTTGGTCTAAATTAGGCAGGTCAGATATTAGGTTTACTAAATGCTTTAAGGTCATAAACTGCTTCTTTGACTTTTGATAATTGTTCAATGTAATTGAAATTGCTTACTAACTAGGTTTTTCACCAAAAGTAAAAGTTGCTAAGAGTTAACATTGTAACATGTAATTGAGACTTACTGAAGAAACAGTTTTACAGTAGAGGTGTGTAAGAAAAGTGAAATGTGTTTTTGGTAAAGATTATATAAGAAGTCATGGGAATGTAAATTTTTTTGCCTAGGTTAAAGGGTTAAAGGATTGTTTTAAGTTAGATAAGATAAAACTAAAGGTTTGAGCAACTTGTGGAAAGTTTGTAAAAAATTAAACTTGTGAAAGCAGTTCTGTGTCAACATATTGGCTACAGTTAAAGGGATATTATTCAGTTTTCCCATAAATTAAATGTTGAAATAAAATCATAACAGTAATTGAGACTTACTGAAGAAACACTTTTACAGTAAAGGTGTATAAGAAAAGTGAAAGTGTAAGAAGAAACAGTTTTACAGTAAAGGTGTGTAAGAAAAGTGAAATGTGTTTTTGGTAAAGATTATATAAGAAGTCATGGGAATGTAAATTTTGTTGCCTAGATTAAAGGGTTAAAGGATTGTTTTAAGTTAGATAAGATAAAACTAAAGGTTTGAGCAAGTTGTGGAAGGTTTGTAAAAAATTAATCTTGTAAAAGCAGTACTGTGTGAACATATTGGCTAAAGTTAAAGGGACATTATTCAGTTTTCCCATAAATTAAATGTTGAAATAAAATAATAACAGTCTTTCTTAGAGCACTGATCTGCACTTTAACAAAATTTGTAAAGGGTTATAAAAGGTTTATGAGAATCTTATGGTCAAACTGATTAAAATTGGCTAGATTTATCTATAAGGTTTTATTAAGAATTGGGTTTAACATTAATAGTACACTAATGTAAAGGTGAAATTTGGCTTATTTGGTGTAAAAATCATACAGGAGCATTGTCAAATATGAAGTGGTGTTTGGCTCTCTTTGGGCTGTATTTGTATAAATATGTTATTGGTACATGTTACAAAATTATAGGAAATACTTATAATTCTGATATGATGTAATGTACATTATCAGTAATAATTATAATTGTTACATAAAATTGTTGTGGCCAGGCATGGTGGTTCATGCATTTAATACAGCACTTTGGGAGGTCAAGGTGAGTGAATAACTTGAGGTCAGGAGTTTGAGACCAGCCTTGCCAACATGGTGAAACCCTGTTTCTACTAAAAATACAAAAAAAAATTAGCTGGGCATAGATGCTGCATGCCTGTAATCCTAGCTACTCAGGAGGCTGAGGTGGAGGTTGCTTTGAGCTGAGATCATCCCACTACACTCCAGCCAGCCTGGGCAACAGAGCAAGACTCCATCTCAATAATAAATAAATACATACTTACACACATGCATACATACATAACTAAATAAAAATAAAATAAAAAAAAATTGTTGTATGCCACAGAAGAAACCAAAATTCCTAGTTGATTGAGTTTTAATAGAGGCTGCCCTAAGGCATTTTGTCATCCACAGACAATTGTTGTCTTGATTTAATCCTCTTTAAAAGGTGGTTTTTAATCAGTTATAGGACTTTGATAGGTGCTTTTAAATGCAGGTTTCTGATATTAAAATTGAGTAAAAAACTTTCAGAACTCATGGAGAGCTGAAATGTTCTTGAATATTAAGCAGAACAGGAGTTAACCATATGGAATGAGCTAATAGAAGAGTGAAGTTATCTTTTTTTGACTTTGTGTAAGACCTTGCTGATCCTTTGTTTTGTTTTTCAGAACCAAGAAAACTTTTCTATTAAACTATTCACAGCTTTTAACAGTTGAGTAAAGTATACTCTTATAAAAAATTGGGAGAATATTTGTTTTTCTCTACCTGATTTCTCCAGAATTTTGAAACTATTTATGAGTATTCTTAACTTATGGCAATATACTTATTTGCATAAGTGCAGTAAGAATCTGTTTTCTTTTGCAAGAGGACATAATTGGAGAAACTGGTTATTTTACCAAAGCTTTGACTGAAATAAAGTGCTTTCCTTTAAGGAATCAAATTTGAAAACTGGCCTCATATCTTGTCTACGCAGTTCTTGTACAGGGTTCCTAACGTGTGATAAGTAAAGAATGTCACTTTCTGACAGGCCCAGGAGCCCCAAGCTACCTTGGGACCTCAAGAGGAGAGGAATTTGCTCAACTCATAGGTATTTGAGTATACAAACCCATGGTTGAGCTTGCCTTAAAAAAGGTCTTATCTGAGGTTCCTTATGGAGCAGAGTTCCATCAAAGCCAATTTTAAAAACCTATGTGAAAACTAATTATTCTTGCTGCACTTTATACAAATAATCAGGTCAAGTATAATAAAGTAAATTGGTCTTACCATAATTTATCATTAGTAAAAATGGGAGACTGGAGAGAGGAAAGATTATGTTTCAAAATTGATGGTACACACGCTATTACTTTCTCTCATCAGTTGTTTTTGAGTTTTTTTCTGCAATTTATAATGACTATGTTTATTCCTGTGAACCAACCAGTGGTCTCTGGCTGTAGCTCAGAAAAAACAAGAGGGATAGGTAATGCAAAAACCTAGCTCAATATTCTAGTTCTGGACACATATTGGAATCAGCTAGTAACCCCATATCAGTTTGGTTCCAACAGTTGCCCATTTCATGGAAAGCCATCTTATTTAGTTTACTTGGGACAATTTTACTTATTTTGCTTTATGGTTGTGGATCATATTTGCTGTTGTACTCTTTGTGTAGGAATGCACAATAAGCTTACTGAAATGTCTTCATAAACTGAATACTTATTAATTTTCCAGATATCACCTTTTGTCAGAGTTATGAATGGCCCTCACCATACTGGTACTTTCCTACTGAGCTCCTTTCTACCCTGAATACAAGAGACCCTAACAGTTAGGCAGAAATATCTTGGCCCCTATTCAGCATGAAAAATTACAGAGGATAGATCTTCATCCCTCTACAACCCTTAAGATTAAGGGTTCTCTTATAAAAGGGATGGGGGAAATATGTCAGAGGTGTTTGAACCAGAGCAACTTCATCTTCACTAGGAGCTGGCTAAAATAAGGCTGAGACCCACTGGACTGCATTCCTAGTAGGTTAGATATTCTAAGTCACAGGATGAGACAGGAAGTTGGCACAAGATATAGGTCATAAGACCTTGCTCATAAAACCATACGCAGTTGACCGGGCACCATGGGTCACACCTGTAATCCCAGCACTTTGGGAGACTGAGGTGGGCAGATCACTTGAGGCCAGGAGTTCAAGACCAACCATGGCCAACACGGTGAAGCCCTGTCTCTACTAAACACACAAAAATTAGCTGGGTGTGGTAGTGTGTGCCAGGAGTCCCAGCTACTCAGGTGGCTGAGGCAGGAGAATTGCTTGAACTCAGGAGGCAGAGGATGCAGTGAGCTGACATTGTGCCACTGCACTCTAGCCTGGGCAACAGAGCCAGAGACTGTCTCAAAAAGTAAGGAAACAAACAAAAAAGAAACCAAAAAACCAACATGCAGTAAAGAAGCTGGTGAAAACCCATTGAAATTGAGATGGCAATGACAGTGACCTCTGGTCATCCTCACTGCTTATTATATGTTAATTATAATGCATTAGCATGCTAAATGACACTCCCACCAGTGCCATGACAGTTTACACAAATGCCATGGCAACGTTGTCAGGAAGTTAACCTATATGGTCTAAAAAGGGGAGGACCCTTCAGTTCTGGGAATTGCCCACCCTCTTCCTGGAAAACTAATGAATAATCCACCCCTTGTTTAGCATATAATCAAGAAATAACAATAAATATTCCTAGTCAAGCAGCACATGCCTCTGTTCTGCCTATGGAGTAGTCATTCTTTTGTTTCTTTACTTCTCTAATACACTTGCTTTCATTTTACTCTATGGACTCACTCTGAATTCTTTCTTGTGTAAGATTCAAGAATCCTCTCTTGGGATCTGGATCAGGACTGCTTTTCAGTAACATTATGACATAAGAATCTCGCATGCTATTAAAGTTGTTTGAAATAATTGTGGTGGCTGTAAAATATTTTGTCATATGAATACAATGTAATTTTACTCTTTTTGGTTCTTTTAGCTATTTTCCTTTTTTTTCTGTAATAAAATGAAGTCAAAGGCTGTAGAAGAAATAAAAATTACAGTGACTGGGCATCTGGAGAAATAGGAACACCTGAATATAGAATTATTTGTATTAACCTTGCTTGTATTCTCATTTCAGGAGAGTGAAGGCTCAACAGGATCTACTAAAGAGAAAGGAGAGGGTAGCAAATTGTCAGCTTGTCTCCAAAGTGGTGTAAGTGAGACAGTGTTCTAATTTTGATGAACAATCCCAGAAATAGTTTGAAGAGAAATGTGGATATATTTCAACAGATTTATTGGAAGTACTCAAGGGCATTCAACTCTCATTTTTCTAATTCTGGGATCATGCTGCTGAGGAATATATTTATAACTAACTGATTTATAAATTAACCAGAAGATCTTGCAAAAGTTTGGTTCTCTAGCCAAATATAGACTGGGCACTGGTTCATAAATTAATCTCTCTTGATAGCTGGTGCCAGCTCCCAGAAGCATGATAACCGTGGCACAAATACACTCAGAATGGACGGGCACAGTAGTGCATGCCTGTAGTCCCAGCTTCTCTGGAGGCTGAGGCAAGGGGATAGCTTGAGTCCGGGAGTTCTGGGCTGTAGTGTGCTATGCCAATCAGGTGTCCTCCCTAAGTTCAGCATCACTATGGTGACCTTCCTGGAGCAGACCACCAGGTTGCCTAAGCAGGGGTAAAAAGGCCCAGGTTGGAAATAGTGCAGGTCAAAACTCGCATGCTGATCATGGGACCGTGATCATAGTGGGACCATGCCTAGGAAATAAGCGAGACCCTGTATTGGAAAAAAAAAAGACCCAGAATGCAATATTTCTGGATTTACAGAACACCATCATGGTTTTTATAATAACTAGTGAAGCCGACCCTGGGAAGCTAGGCAACTAGCCTCGTTCTTTCTAAAAACACTTCTTAGTTGCATCAATGACCATCAGAGGAATTCAATTCCTTGGAATCTTCTTTCCAGGATGCATACAGGCGATGGTGTAGTGATACCTGTGAATTGCAACCTGACTTTTTCAGTCCCACACCGCATCAGGTACATGGTATAATTTTGGGAATGTTAAGGATGCAATTGGGAGCTTCATTAACTCCCCTGGATTCCCCAGCTACCACTAAGTGTACTAAGACACAGCTTAACTGTCCTCAAGAATTAACAGAGTTGGGTCTCAATCAATCCTGGCACCAGATCAATGGGCCTGGAAACATTGTTTTAAATTATGGGCTCTAATAGAGCTGGCATTAGCATATGAAAAGACATTTATGAAATTATATTCTTCTAATGATGTAACAAATGAATTGTTGCTTTTAGAAAAAATACTGAGTAATGAAGAGCCACCTTTTTTTATGCACCTAAACTGAATACACACACTTAGCAATGGAATGAAAAATTAAAGGTATGACAGGATGACAGGTACCAACTTCATGCAAAATGCATACACACAGGGGCTATATAAATGTGTATAGATATACACATATGTTCCTTGACCCCTGTCTGCCATTGATAAATCAAAATCTAGATAACAGTGTGGTTTTGTCCTAAATATTTCTACCTGAAAGAAAACAGGTCAGTATAGGTGCCCCTTGCTCTCACCCTGAATGCTTAGAACAATGCAAACTGGGGTTTTTCAGCATATTTTAACAGAATCCTCTTCAGGCCCTGTCAGCTCTGCCCCAGATAATGTCATCCCCAAAGACAGAACTATTAGGGCTTATAACAATGAAACCCACAGGACAAGTGTCCAAGAGTTTCACTCCTTTCTTTTGTGGAAACAGCCTCCACCCCCAGGCAAATGGGAAACCGGGTTGGCCTTGACTTACAGCTTGCATGGGTATGGTGGAGGCAGGGTGTTTCAGTAAGGATGATGTTGTCATTTGCCTCTGTGTTTCCAGTAAAAGGAAACTGGTATTGGAGTCCCAGGAAACAGCAGTCGGGGAAAATATAAAACATCAAGTCCAAGAGAGTGAGAAAAAAGAAAAGACAAACTTTCTGGTGGAGGACGCAGTAGGTTGTGGGGTCACACTTTTTCTAAGTGCACACCCCTGCAGCAGAGTAACCAGTCAGGGCTGGGGGAAAATTAGGATAGTTAACTGTTAGGCATGTAGGGCTGTGTTTGCATGTTTAGCATGGCATAAATTATTCAAAGTCCTGATGGACTTTAATATTCTAACCAACTCTCATTTCCTTATTTTGCAATTAGATTAGCTTAAAGAGAAACTGGTAGCTTTTGGAGAACTGTTGAATTTTGGAGAACTGTATCCACAGCTGCTTTCTTTTTCTCCATTTAGTTTGCCTGAAGCTTGCTGGCCACTGCGTAGGCTCCTGTGTGGCTGGGGCTGTCTGAGCCAAGAACAGCTTCAGGGCTGCCATCCTTTTCTGGACAGTGGCAGCATGGGTTACATCAGGCAAGCCTTTGGGAGAGACAGATGAAGTTGGATTTCAAAAATGCAAGGATGCCTGGAAACTGCCTATCCTGGAAGTCCTATCTGGAGGGGGCTGGGACAATCTGCGGAATGTGGATATGGGATGGGTGATGGACTTGACTTACACCAACTGCAGGACAACTGAGGATGGACAGTATATCATCCCTGATGAAAT
Source organism: Homo sapiens (assembly GCF_000001405.40). Taxonomy (NCBI): domain Eukaryota; kingdom Metazoa; phylum Chordata; class Mammalia; order Primates; family Hominidae; genus Homo; species Homo sapiens. The sequence continues at coordinate 59,289,237 of NC_000011.10, read as the reverse complement.
CTTCACCATTCTCCAGAAACAGAGCAACCTGGAAATGAACTCAGAAATCCTGGAATCTTGAGTTAATTACCAGAGAAGTATCTCCTACTACATCAACACAGATCTCTGTCTTTATTCCAAAGTCAATGCCAAGTTCTCTGCTGAGTTCCAGAGAATGAAAACACTTCAAGTGAAGGACAAAGCTATAACTACCCGAGTTCAGGTAAGAAACCTCGTCTACACAGTCAAAATCAACCCAACTTTAGAGCTAAGCTCAGGTTTTAGGAAGGAGCTCCTTGACATCTCTGACTGTCTAGAGAACAACCAGAGAAGGATGGCCACCTACCTGGCAGAACTCCTGGTCCTCAACTATGGCACCCACGTCATCACCAGTGTCGACGCTGGGGCTGCTCTTATTCAGGAGGACCACATCAAGGCCTCCTTCTTCCAAGACAGCCAGAGCAGTCGTAGTGCTGTGACCGCCTCTGCTGGACTTGCCTTCCAAAACACCGTGAACTTCACATTTGAGGAAAACCATACCTCGGAGAATGTCCTCACCAAGAGCTACCTCTCAAACCGAACCAACTCCAGGGTGCAGAGCATTGGAGGGGTTCCTTTTTACCCAGGCATCACCCTCCAGGCCTGGCAGCAGGGTATCACCAACCACCTGGTGGCCATCGACCGCTCTGGCCTGCCGCTGCATTTCTTCATCAACCCCAACATGCTACCTGACTTGCCAGGCCCCCTGGTGAAGAAGGTGTCAAAGACAGTGGAAACAGCTGTGAAACGCTATTACACATTCAATACCAACCCTGGCTGCACAGATCTCAATTCTCCCTACTTCAATTTTCAGGCCAACACTGATGATGTCTCCTGCGAAGGGAAAATGACCAACTTCTCTTTCGTTGGGGTTTATCAGAAATGCAGCCAGTTCTCAGGGAATAAAAATGTTGTTCTCTGCCCAAAGTTGGAGCAGAAGAATCCACTCACTGGTGATTTCTCCTGCCCCTCTGGCTGCTCCTCAGTGCACCTTCTATCCAAGACTTGCGAGGAGTGTTGCAACCATCTGGAGTGTCATAAGAAGTGCACCCTCCTTGTCTTCTGCAAGACCGTGTGTGAAGATGTGTTCCAGGCGGCAAAGGGTGAATTTAGGGCTTTTTGGTGTGTGGCCAGTAGCCAAGTACCTGACAACTCAGGACTGCTTTTCAGGGGCCTCTTCAACAGCAAGAGCATAAACCCCATGACAAATGCACAGTCATGCCCAACTGGCTACTTTCCATGGAGACTCTTTGAAAACCTCAAGGTATGCGTTTCTCAGGACTATGAGTTGGGAAGCAGGTTTGCGGTCCCTTTTGGTGGGTTCTTCAGCTGCACAGTTGGGAACCCCTGGTGGTTCCAGCCACATCCAAAGATTTAGGGGCACCTTCCCTGAAAAAGTGTCCGAGAGGCTTCAGCCAGCACCTAGCCCTCATCAGCAATGGATGCCAAGTGTCCTACTGTGTCAAGGCTGGGCTCTTTACAGAAAAGTTCCTTCCCCCTGCTAGTCTCCCGCCTTTCACCCAGCCACCCCTTATGAGTGAGGCTGATGCCAACACTGTCATAGTGACCAGTTCTGAGAATGCGAGATCCTAGATTAAAGATTCCCAGACCCACCAGTGGAGGCTGGGAGAACAATTAGAGCTGCGCAGCACCATGAGTGCCATCCATAAGGATGGTGGTGGTCTGTCAGGAGGGGCTACGGCTGGTATCGTAGTGGGAGCCACCACCATTCTGGCTGTTGTCATCACCCTGGCCATCTGTGGCACCCGGAAATTCAAGAAGAGGGGATACTTGGCATTTTGGAAGAGGCAGAGTTTGGTTCCAGGCACTGCAGCAACTGGAGACAATCCTGACGAAGAGCAGGGGCAGAGTCCAGCTTAAATCTCTCCCTGAAAAGGGTTTCTCTCATCTCCAAACAGCATGGTCATTTCTGATTACTTCTATTTTCCTAAGTGTTGAAATGGCAAGTGCAACCAAATCACACAGAAATTTGTGACTTCTTGTTTAGGTCTCTGGGCCAGGCAATTCATATTGCTACATGGACAAGGGTGGGGTTGGGGAGAGGGAACAGTTGGGACTCTTGAAGCAAAAGCCATCCTGGGACTAAAATAAGAAGCAGGTGTCCTTTCCCAATGTATCACTTTCTTCACCTGAATGCATTTGTGTAAAAACAGAGAAGGGGGAATGTTAACATTTGGATTTGGAAACTATGCATTTACTCTGAAGTCTGCAGTGGTTTCCAACGTGTGTGCTGTAAGAATTTCTGCTTAAATGCATCTCTCTCTCCTCTCCCACACCCCCTTTAAAGTTGTCTGGATTTCATGCTTCTAGAGCCTGGCAAAACCCTGAAAAGACACAAGTCCTGCTTGGCCACTGTTTTTTAACTTTTAGGGCTCCCTGTTGACAGACTGTGTTATCTCCTCCATGTCATCTAAACAGCATCTGAAAAGAAAGATGTTGCCTGCACCAATTCCACTTTTTTCTAGCTTCCCCATGAAGTCTTCCTTAGACCAGACCACTCTTGGACTTCTGACTAGTGTCATGAAGTCCTCCAAAAATATTTTAACATACAAGCTTCTATTAGTAGGTCAATGGGGAAGGGACAGTTTGTAGACAAGGAGTAAGGAAAGACAGATAAAAACTGAAAAAGATTCTCATGCTCAGGAGAAACTGAAATTCTTACCCACAACCAACTACCTGATTCCGTCCTGTTAGCTCATCACAAATGGGGCATTGAAAGGAGCTGTAGATTTGGATAGACCAAATTTTATGGTTTTATGTTCTATGTTACCAAAGTACAACCCCTTCCTCTTCCAAGGATGGTCCTTACCCTTCCCGTCTTCCTGCTATATGCACACACACACACACACACACACACGCACATGCCACATTTCAATAAGTTTGCATTGTTCTGGGTGTGAAAAAGGCAAGAAGTTAAAGTAAGCCCACATCTAAGTATTATTTCTTCCCTAAGACCAAAACAGAGTAGGTAACACCAATTATGGACCCTACTTTTTTTCCCCACAGAAAGGGAGCTGACACGATCAAATCCATGTTTTCAAATGAACTGAAAAAGGCATCCAGCACCATTTGTAACACATTTATTTCAGTTCCAGGCTGAGAGCCCTGGGGCAGTTAGCAGGACACATGATTGTCAGCTGGCAACAGTTGGGGCTTTACTCAATTTTAATACCAATCTCATCTGATTGTAATTACTCCACCACTGTCATGTTCCTCCACAAAATGTTTTTTAAAGGATACATTTATTCACTGAATCAAATATCATTACTGATTTATCTTCTATGAAGGATGACTGTTCTCTTTGTTAATGTTCACAATCAAGATCTTGGGCTGAAAAGATCATCCAAGGAGTCTGAAGTATCACAGCGTGTGGGAAGGTGGGAACCAGGATACCCATTCATTTCCAACTGAGATACAGAGAAGTGAGTCACAGAATTTGAGCCCTGCTCTCCTGACTGCCCAGCCAAGGACACTGATTTCTATAGCCCCTTTACTTAACTCTGCCTCTTAAGCATTAAAACGTTCTTCTAAACCTCTGAGTGTTTTGTGGGTTCTGAGTGTTTTGTACGTTTTAGCCAAGTTAACCACTTGTCTGCAAATACTGACTTTCCTATGAATTCTTTGAAGATTATTGAGTCAGAAAGGAAAAATACAGCCCCAAATTCCCAGACTTTTAATGCATTAACTGCCTATTGAAATGAGAAGTTCTTCACAAACTTATATTCCCACTAACAAGATCGCACATAAATATGCATTAAAGTATGTACTAAGAAACCCTCTGTCCAACGGCTCATGCATATGAAGTCCGAACATGGGAGTTTGCCAGTTGCATTCATCAAGTCGTTTTGCGGAGTCAGATCCCTGATGGAAGAGCTCACAGGCTCTGCCTTCCAAGTCCTGGGTCCCTAACTGGTAACCTTAGGCTAGGGTCTGTGGGGAGACCAACCCTGGCTTCCAAGAAAACCACATTCCATGGACTATCAGAAATAGACACAGATTTGGGTGACAAAGGAGGCTCTGCATTTACATTTTATTTTTGTGTTCTTGTCAGTTTTGAGATGATTAACATTAAACATTTATTTGAGAAACAACAGGCAGAAGCAACAATTCAAACATACTTCATATTGTAGTCAGGCGAAGGAACCTTTAAAAATGAACATTCACAATTTTAACGATGGTTTTTCTCCCACATGTTCACTTACTTATTTTCCCAGCCATATTGTCTGTTCCGTTAGGTGAAGAGTCTAACCAGGTCAAATGTGTGGGTGAGAACAATGTGGAAGATATATTTTTTAAGTGGGTGCTGAAGGGACTTTTCCCGCATCCAGTGGTAGGGCTTGTGGTTGCCCTCAGGAAGACAACCCAAATCCCTCACAGAATAGGTGCACTAATCTACAAAAGGCGGAAGGTTAACAACAGCAACAATTTTGTGGTTGTTCATTTGCCATTTATTGTTCTGCACAGACACCTCATGAACACCAGGTGGCGATGTCCTCTCTCAGAGCAACACCAAAGACTTCAAAACACTCCAGTTACAAACCGAACAATTCACATTAGGACATTCACCTGCCTCTCCCAGAACCCCCAATCTAATGCCGGGGACCACAGAGAAGGAAAGGGGTCAGGGGTTCTTTCTTGTACCACATGCGCATTCCCCCAATTCTCTCATGCATACAATAGTGCATCACCAAGACGAGTACTTTTGACCAAGTATAAAACCACACAGACAACCAAATTTAACAAAAAGCGGAAGAGAATGAAAACACAAAGGCACCCACAGCCACGTATACACAATTAACCTTTTAGGGGATGGGCACCTGACGAGGTTTGTCTCCACTTACATTTGCCATCCCTGGAGACTCTGGAAGGGAGAAACTAGGCTGCTGGTGCTAAGACCATGAAAGGGAAGGCATGGAATCCCCTACTTGGGCCAGGAGAGCACAGCAGGGCTTCTGGTGGGAAAACACCCTGTGTCAAGGTAGTAGATGCACAGGGCTCAGCTGGCAGGGTTCTCACTGAAATCTAGACTGCACCTTTCCAGGTTGGCACAAGAGAAAGGGCAGAGGAATGCTCCCCGCCTTGCTGGGCGTAGTGTTAGAAAGGAAATTCAAGATCCCTACTGCCCAGAAAGCCACACAAGAACAGCACGAGGAGGAGGAAATCTCACTGGACATCTGCAGAGAGGACAAGAAATGGGGCACCCACACAATCAAAACCCCAGGGGAAAAGGCTTGAAGGTATGAAAACGACCTCTCCAAGTGGTATTGCCACAGGCACAGCGGCTCCCTTTCCATCTTGAGTCCTCTTCCTTCTGCTCCTGGCCACCCCTTTCCCCACCTATACTTTCTTCTCCCTGACGTGGGGAAATTGATCTCTCCCCAGTGCCTAATTCCATTGTGAAAGTCCGTCTTCTTTTCTTCCCCACCTCCTACTGCCTCACTGTGTCTTTCTCCCCAAGAACCCTCAGCCTATTTCTTCACCCCTCTGTGGCCATCTTTCTGTGGCCTAGAAGTCCAGCAGATACTTGACCAGGTTGCTAAAGGCAGAGATGGCATGAGACTCTCCAAATTATATCTGGTAACCTGGCAATGGGCATCGGTGTGACATTAAATATCGCAGGGATGGCTCTTTTATTTAACTCAGGTGTTTCCTTGCTGAGTGTGGGAGGAAATTGCCCTGTGGTTCAGTAAGCTCGAGACCATTATCACTCTGGAGGTACTTAGGCAGTCCAAAGCAAATAATTATCTCATTGATTAGTACTTTTATTACCTCAGAGGCTTTCTCTGTCTGGCATGGGAATACTTCTACCCACTTACTGAAGGTATCCACCCATACGAAGAGATGCTGGATGTCCCTTATCCTTGGAATATGGGTGAAATCCATCTGCCAGTCTTTCCTTGGAATAGAATAGCATCCTATTCTTTGTGTTCTGGGGGAAGAATCTGTTAGTTGGAGTTATTTTTAAGGCAAGCCTCATAAACATTAAGTATCTGTTTGATCGTTTTAAATAAATTTTTACCTATTGCCATCCTCTGATTGTCACCATCCTGAGAGCTGAAAGCTCTTTCCCTGAGAGGTGGTCCATTATGTCTCCACAGGAGAATATTGAGGGTTTTTCTTTTATGGAGCCCTTCCAGATCAGGGGGACCTCAAGTGGATCAGAAATACGGGGCACTCTTGCTGCCAATTTAGCTTGGTCTGCCAACTTACTTCGCTCAGCTATTTTATCTGTCCCCTTTTGGTGGCCTTTACAATGTATTACTGCCACTTCCCATGGAAAGAAGATTGAGAATAGTAGCCTGTCAATTTCCTGATGGTGTTTAATGGGAGACCCATTGGCTGTGAGGAAGCATCTCTCTTTACAGATAGTGCTAAGGGCATGGAGAACTAAGAAAGCATACTTAGTATAAATATTAATTGCTGTATTAGAGTTCTCTAGAGGGACAGAACTAATAAGATATATATATCATATATAAGATATATATGATACGTATCATATATATAAGATATATATTATATGATACGTATCATATATATAAGATATATATAAAATATATATATGATATATATATAAAATATATATATGATATATATATATATATATATATATGATTTTCTTATTAACTCGCATGATCACAAGGTCCCACAATAGGCCATCTGCAAGCTGAGGGGCAAGGAAGCCAGCCTGAGTCCCAAAACTGAAGAACTTGGAGTCCAGTGTTTGAGAGCAGGAAGCATCCAGCATGGGATAAAGATGTAGGCTGCGAGGCTAGGCCAGCCTAATCTCTTCACGTTTAGCAGGGCTGGCAGTTGATTAGATGCTGCCCACCCATATTAAGGGTGGGTCTGCCTTTCCCACCCCACTGACTCAAAATGTTAATCTCCTTTGACAACACCCTCACAGGCACCCACAGGATGAATACTTTGGATCTTTCAATCCAGTCAAGTCGACACTCAGTATTAACCATCACAAGTCCACCACTTGTCAACTTGAACCCATACACATCTCCTAAGATCATACATAATCTTCAAAAAGGACAATAATAAAGTCATAACTACACCTAACATAATACAACTATCCTTCATACAACTGGAAATGCACCAATCCCCAACCCAAATACTATTACATAAAGTTAACAATACTTAAATTCTGATATGAAGTCAAAAAATCTTATGTCACATGATAAAGGAAAACTGAAATGAAATGAAGATATTTTCTTAGTAGAAGTGTGTACATGCACAAACATGTTTTTAACAAAAGAAGGAGGAAATCATAATGACAACTACAGTCCTCATTTCTGCAGCTCATTATATGGTCATAGCTGGTATTGATAACTACTTTCTTCTACTACCCATTCTGTATTCCCTTTGCCTTCAGCAAGCACCTCAGCAGGTTGTGGATTTTTTCCTGGTGGAGTGACCAAAACCTTTATTTCTGAAGGGTCTGGGCCATTTGTAGTTCTGCCTAGATTGGACTGTTACAGTTTTCCATTGACCTTAATCACAGGGTATGGCAATACTAAGGAGAGACCCTAATGGATCTCATGTATTCCATGCATACTCTTCCTTACCTCCATTGTGGAATAGTAGACTGATTTCGTCTTGACAGTCCGGGTTAATCACCCCAGCCAACACTGTAACTCCCTTCTTATCCTGTTGACTTAAAAGTAGGAGGAGCTCAAAGTGTCCAGGTGGCAATCTTAACTTCCAGTTTAATGGAATCATTGTTGTGTCAGCTGGTGGCAGCCTTCCTCCCTCTGGAACTAAGTCCTCTAGGCCAGCAGAACATAACATTGTGGAAACAGGAAGTAAAAATTTTGCTACTGAACACTAGGGGTGGTGGTGAGTGGTGCCATTTCCACTTTCACCCCTTGATTCCTGGACCCGTAAATCTTGGCTGTGGGAGAAACATATTGGATGCTGATTCAGAGCATACGCAGCCTTCTGGAGAGCTTTGTCTCAGCCCTGCAAAGTATTGTCACCTAGTTGACATTGTAGTTGTGACTTCAAAAGGCTATTCCACCGTCCTATCAATCCAGCTGCTTCAGGATAATGGGGAACATGGTAAGACCAGTGAATTCCATGAGCACAAGTCAACTGCCACACTTCTTTAGCCATAATGTGAGTGCCTTCATCAGAGGCAATGCTGTGTAGAATACCACGATGGTGAATAAGGCATTCTGTGAGTCCACAGGTGGTAGTCTTGGCAGAAGCATTGTGTGCAAGGTAGGCAAACCCATATCTGGAGTAAGTGTCTATTCCAGTGTGGACAAACCTCTGCCCTTTTCTTAATGGAAGAGGTCCAATATAATCAACCTGCCACCAGGTAGGTTACTGAGGCTGATTACTCTGAGGATTAGTGCCATATCGAGAGCTCCGTGTTGGTTTCTGCTGCTGGCAAATTGGGCACTCAGCAGTGGCCATAGCCAGTACAGTCTTGATGATTGAAAGTCCATCTTGCTGAGCCCATGGGTAACCTCCATCCCTACCACCATGGACACTTTGTTCATGGGCCCATTGAATGATGACAAGGGTGTCTGGGGAAAAGCTGAGTGGTGTCCACAGAACTTGTCACCCTATCCACTTGATTATTAAAATCCTCCTCTGCTGAGGTCACCCATTGGTGAGCACTCACATGGGATACAAATGTCTTCACAGTTTTTGACCAGTGAGAGAGGTCCATCCACACACCTCTTCCCCAAATTTCTTTATCATCATTTTTCCAATCACGCTTCTTCCAAGTCCCCAAATACCCAGCCAAACCATTGGCTGCAGTCCATGAATCAGTATATAATTGCACATCTGGCCATTTCTCCTTCTATGCAAAGTGCACAGCCTGGTGCACTGCTCGAAGTTCTGCCCACCGGGAAGACTTCCTTTCACTGCTTCAGGGATGTCCTAGAAAGGGGCTGCAGTGCTGCAGCTCTCCACTTTTGGGTGGTGCCTGCATATTGTTTGTGAACCCAGGCCTTAGTCTTCTCTTCATCTGTCAACTGATCATAGGGAACTCTCCATGAGGCCATCGGCTCAGGCTTGGGGAGAGAAGGCGGGGTGACAGGAGTGGAGACCACGGGCATTTGAGCCACTTCTTCATGTAACATACCTGTGCCCTTGGGACCTGCTCATGCGCGATCACATATATACCACTTCCATTTGATGATGGAATGCTGCTGTGCATGACCCACTTTATGGCTAGTTGGGTTAGAAAGCACCCAGTTTATGACAGGCAGTTCAGGTTCCATGATGACTTGATAACCCTCAGTCAAACGTTCAGTTTTCATGAAAGCCCAGTAACAGGCCAAGAACTCTCTCCAAAGGAGAATAGTATCTGCAGAAGATGGCAGGGCCTTGCTCCAAAATCCTAGAGGCCTCTGCTGTGATTCACCTATGGGGGCCTGCCAAAGCCTCCAAACAGCAACCCTATCTGCTACTGACACCTCAAGCACCATTAGATCTGCTGGGTCATATGACCCAAGTGGCAGAGCAGCTTGTACAGCAGCCTGGACCTGTTGCAGAGCCTTCTCTTGTCTGGGACCCGACTCAAAACTGGCAACCTTTTGGGTCACTTGATAAATGGGCCAGAGTAACACACCCAAATGAGAAATGTATTGCCTCCAAAATCCAAATCGTCCCACTAGGCTTTGTACCTCTTTCTTGGTTGTAGGAGTAGCCAAGTGCAGCAACTTATCCTTCATCTTAGAAGGAATATCTCCACGGGCTCCACACCACTGGACCCCCAGAAATTTTACTGAGGGCTGGGCACAGTGGCTCATGCCTGTAATCCCAGCATTTTGGGAGACTGAGGTGGACAGATCACCTGAGGCCAGGAGTTCGAGACCAGCCTGGCCAACATGGTGAAACCCTGTCTCTACTAAAAATACAAAAGTTAGCCAGGCTTGGTGGTGTGCACCTGTAATCTCAGCTACTCAGGAGGCTGTGGCAAGAGAATCGCTTGAAACCAGGAGGCAGAGGTTGCAGTGAGCCAAGATCATGCCACTGCACTGCACTCCAGCCTGGGTGATGGAGCGAGAATACATCTCAAAAAAAAAAAAAAGAAAGAAAAGAAATTTTACTGAGGTGGAAAGTCCCTGAATTTTAGTTGGATTTATTTCCCATCCTCTGGCACACAAATGTCTCATCAGTAAGTCCAGTGTGTTTGCTACTTCCTTTTCATTGGATCCAATTAGCATAATGTCATCAATATAATGGAACAGTATGATATCTTGTGGCAGTGAAAAGCAATCAAGTTCTCTCCGAATAAGATTATGACACAAAGCCAGAGAGTTGATATACCCTTGAGTAGGACAGTAAAGGTATATTGCTGGCCTTGCCAGCTGAAGACAGATTGCTTCTGGTGGGCCTTATGGACAAGAATAGAGAAAAAGGCATTTGCCAAGTCAATGGCTGCATACCAGGTACCAGGAGATGTGTTAATTTGCTCAAGCAATGAAACCACATCTGGTACAGCAGCTGCAATTGGCGTCACCACTTGGCTAAGCTTATGATAACCCACTGTCATTCTGCAAGATCCATCTGTCTTCTGCACAGGCCAAATGGGAGATTTGAATGGGAATGTGGTGGGAATCACCGTCCCTGTATCTTTCAAGTCCTTGATGGTGGCACTAATCTCCACAATCCCTCTGGGGATGCAATATTGTTTTTGATTTACTATTTTTCTAGGTAGAGGCAGCTCTAATGGCTTCCATTTGGCCTTTCCCACAAAATAGCCCTCACCCTACCAGTCACGGAGCCAATGTGGGAGTTCTGCCAGCTGCTAAATATGTCTGTGCCAATTATGCATTGTGGCACTGGGAAAATGACCACAGAATGAGTCCGGGCACCCACTGCACCCATTGTAAGTCAGGCCTGAACTAAAATTTCATTAATTACGTGACCTCCATAAGCCCCTACTTTAACTGGAGGACTACAATGATGTTTTGGGTCCCCCGGAATCAACATCAGCTTAGAGTCAGTGTCCAGTAGTCTTTGAAATGTCTGATAATTTCCTTTTCACAGGTAATGCACAGTTACCCTAGTAAAAGGCCAGAGGTCTCTTTGGGGAAGGATGGGAGAAAGAATAACAGCATAAATTGTCGGTAGTGTAATAAGGTCCTTCCCCAAGAGGACCTGGCCTCCCCTTCATTCAAGGGGTTCTGGGTCTGTAAACTGGCTTAAGTCTGGAAATTGACTGAGGGGCTGTGATTCTCTATTTTTATAATTTGAATTTGTATTTTTTTTCCATTTGACCTAGAAGATTCCTGCTTATATAAATCAAGTAGGAATGCAGTAGGCTTCCTATCAATTTCACTTCTAGGAACACCATGATTAATTAGCCAGTGCCAGAACTCTACATGAGTCAGACTACTCTGATTGCTGCTTTGCCTCTGCTGTCCATTATGGTAGCTACACCCACCTTGCCTTTGATGGTTGAGTGCCACCACTTGGCTCCTGCCACCTAGGGATCCCATTTTTCCCATTGTATTTAAATTTTGTAGTTGAGTGACTGCAGTTCCCACTGGTAGATCTGACATACAGAGAAGAGCAATTACAGGGCCTTTCAAAGATGCAGGTGCTTCCCTCACAAATCTACTTCACAAGGCATTGGTCAAGGGCATATCTTCTGGCCCTCCCAGCTGGGATAAGTAGGTCTAATATGACTAATTTACTCCACCATCCCAATCTCCCTAAGCCTTTGAATCCCTTTCTCTACATTAAACCAAGGGACATCAGGCATTTCCAGCTTGCTCATTTTTTAATCCATATTTCAGCTAACCAAGCAAATAAACTATTAGAACCTTTTCTAATTCCCTGAGCTGCAATATTAAATGCAGAGTCCTACTTAATTGGCCCAAATCAATAAATTCAGCCTAATCCATCTCTATGTTCTTTCCACTAATATCCCACACCTTTAATATGCATTTCCATGCCTGTTCTCCAGATTTCTGTTTATATAAATTAGAAAACTCAAGCAGTTCTTTTCAAGTGTAGTGCACCTCCTCATAGGTAACACTCTCAACCTCACCTCTAGGGGCCCACCAGGACTTTAGTCTAGTTATAGGTCTAGAAGCAAACAGAGGTGTTGGGGGTGGCTTCTGAGGAGAATCAACATTATCTTGCCTGGCAACCGCCTCAGGAGAGCCATCACTGTTGCCTCCAGCAGCACAGGGTTTATCTCTAAAGGTGTAAAGTCTGATGGCAGTATGGGTCAGGGAGGGGATGTTGCCGCTACTAGGGGTGGGGAGGCTGTTTTTTCTGGCAAAGAAAGGTTTATCAGAGTTTACAAACTCAGTGTCCCCAGCTTCATCAGGGTCCTCCCACACATCCCCACTCCAAGTTGCAGGGTCCCATTCTTTCCCAGTCAATGCCCTCACTTTAACAGTAGACACCTGGCCAGGTTGTGCATGCACCTTTTGTTGCAGGTCAGCCACTTGCATGATAAGAGCATGTGTCTGTTTTTCCACAATTTTAGCTCTTTCTCTACAGGGGATAAGACTCTCACTCAGGGCAATCTTAGCAGATTTAAGGCTCAGTATCTGCTTTTGAAGCTGGGAGTTAGAATCCCTGAGCTCACCATTTTCTTTCATCACTTTGTCCACTGAGCTTAGGGGCAACCAACCAGCTTCATTATGTTCCTTGGTTCTCCACATATAGTCAAAGGTATTATGTACACAGTCACTAATCTCCTAGCCTCTCATGAGCAGTGAATCAGGAGTGTCAAATGCATTTATTTTGCATAACTCTCTAAACAGTTCATGCCAAGGACTATCAGTGTTCTCCATAATATTAGAAGTGGAGTCCTTAGCATTTTTGAGTCTAATCATATTAAGCAGCCAACTCCAGAAACCCCCAAACCAAGGAAAGAACTCCATCCTTAATATTCTGTTCCTTTAGAACCATTCTAGTCTCAGTACAAAAATCTGTATTAGCCACAATTCTCTAGAGGGACAGAAATAATATATTAGTTTATTAAGTATTGACTCACATGATCACAAGGTCCCACAATAGGCCATCTGCAAACTGAGGAGCAAGGAGAGCCAGTATGAGTTCCAAAACTGAAGAATTTTTAGTTCGATGGTTGAGGGCAGGAAGCATCCAGCATGGGAGAAAGATGTAGGCTGGAAGGCTAGGCCAGTCTAGTCTTTTCATGTTTTTCTGCTTCCCTTTTTTTTTTTTTTTTTTTTTTGAGACAGAGTCTCTCTGTGTCACCCAGGCTGAAGTGCAACGGTGTGATCTCAGCTCACTGCGACCTCTGCCTCCTGGGTTCAAGCAATTCTCTTGCCTCAGCCTCCTTAGTAGCTGGGATTACACGCACGCACCACCATGCCTCACAAATTTTTTGTATTTTTAGTAGAGACAGGGTGTCTCCATGTTGGTCAGGCTGGTCTCGAACTCCTGACCACGTGATCTGCCTGCCTCGGCCTCCCAAAATGCTGGGATTACAGGCGTGAACCCCTTCCTAGCTTCTGGCTTTAGGGGATATTGTCTTTTGTTAGGGAATGAAGTGGGGTCCTTAAAATGGATTTGGACTGATGTAGCTGTGGTGGCTCAGCCAATTTTTCCCTGAATTGTCCAAACTTCTGGATTTACAGAGTCTGTCCTAGAGCCATAAGGATGGTGGTACTCATATGAGCTAAAATTTCCCTACCTAGCAGAGGAGTAGAGCTTTCAGGCATGACTAAAAAGCCATGAGTAAACAAGAGGTCTTCCCAGCTACAACTAAGGGATTGGGAAAAGTATCAGGTTAAGGGCTTTCCTGAAATGCCCATCACGATTGTCCTAAGGGAGGAGAGGAGAACAGAAATGGCAGCACTGGTATTGAGAAGGAAGTTCACCTTCTTCCCTTCGATCTCCAGAATCACCTGGGGCTCCTGGATGGTGATGGCAATCTGAGATGTTGGAGCCGGGGAGTCGAGTCCTCAGACCTTTCAGTTTTGCTGGACCATTGTGAGGCTGGCTCTGGACCCAGCAACCTGTACCTCTCGGGACAGTTCTGCCTGCCTTCCAGTGGTACCCACCACAGGCTGGACAGGGTCCAGGTGATCTTCTCTTGCTGCCTGGGCAATTCTTCTTAGAAGTGCCCTGGTTTGCCACATTTGTAGCAATTAGCAGGTGCACCTAGGCGATCCTGGGGTCTGGAGGCCTGTAGAGCAGCTACTAGAGCCTCTGCCGTTTTCTTATGTCTCCTCTCTTTCTCCTGAGCCTCCTCCTGATCGCTGTTGTAAAAGACCAAGGTGATCACATTTAGGTGGTTTTCTAAAGTGCTACCTGGTCCTATGGTCTGTTTTTGTAGCTTCCTCCTGATATCAGGTGTTGCCTGAATAATAACTTTATCATATAGGATTAGTTGTCTCTCTACTGAATCAGGTGATAGAGAGGTATGCTTCATCAAGTCCTCTCTTAGCCTTTCCAGAAAGCCAGAGGGATTCTCATCTAATCTCTGGTCAATCACAGTTTTGAGTAATTGAAAGGCTTAGCTCTAGTCCTTCCTAAGCCCTCCAATATGCACACCTGAAAGTGTTTCCTCCTCCATTCTCCCATGTTATCATCATGGTCCCATTTAGGGTCCTACAATGGTATCGCCGTCTTTCCAATTGAATAAGGTGCCTTGTCTTCTCTGGCACTATATGAGGTACAAAGCTCATTTCCAAATTTCTCTGCAACTTGCAGGGAGGCTGTTTCTCCACAGTGGTCAGGGTTTGCTTTAAGAGAAATATAATGTCCTTCCAGGAGAGTTCAAATACTTGGGTTAAATCCTGGAAGGCCTTTATATACCTGCCAGGGTTGCCTGAAAATCTACCAAGAGTTCCCTTTATTTGTCTTAAGTCTTGTAGAGAAAAGGGAACCTGTACCTTAATAGGGCCATATTCACAAGGCATTTCTTGTATGGGCATCAGGGAGGCTGGCACTCACCTAGAACAAAAATGTCTATGGTGGGGCAAGTTTAAGGGGGGACCTGGACAGGGTCGATAGGATTGACCCAGAGAACTGGCTTCAGGGGCTGGCGCCTTTTCTGTGGGCGTTCTAGGGTTTGTTTCCCTGGTCCACTAGGACTGTCCTTTGTGGGGTTTTTTGATATAACAATTAGGAGGGCTGGGTGAACTTTACAGTGTTAACAGAGGTCTGGGTTATCCTGGGTGAGCCCCTAAGAAATGTTGCAGTTTCCTTACTCTGTATTTTAGTAAGTTCCAAGTTCTTGTCTCGTGGCCACGAAGAAAGAGGTATGCGGATACAGGAGGGTGGGTAAGGGAGAGTCGAGTTTTATTAAGTGACAGAAAGACAGCTCTCAGTAAAGAGAGGGGACCTGAAAGTAGGTTGCTGCTGACCAGCTCATCCAAGGGTTTTTATCCCTCCTTTCTAGAGATGTTTTTCTCATTTGCATCTTACATAACCTCCTACTTCCAAGTTCCTTCCTAGTTCCACTTCTTACTGTGCAGGTGCCTTCTTGTCCACAGTTACTCCATTGTAATTATTACCCATAGGCACTACAGAAAAGCCCAGTTGGGGGTGGGGGTGGTGGTAAAACTGCAACGTAGATGTCATGTTCATGATATTATAATAAGCTGGGTCAAGTTAAGGACATTTAGTTGATTTATTGTGCTTGTGCCTAAGTTGAGACAGTCCATTCTGAGCAAACATCCTGGTATAAGAGGAAGTTCTTAACCACATCTCCACCTGCTAGCTACGTAACAGGGGAAGAATATACTTCCCTGTGGGTGTTGTTCTCTCCAGAGACTCTCCATCTCTACCTGCCTAGCCAGCCCCTAACTGCCTCCTCTCACAAAAGGTACAGTGACCGGCCCTAGGTCATGCAGAAATTTGGCTGGCAGAGGGGACAAGACCTGCATGAGGCCTAGGGACAGAACATTTTAAGGCCAAAGCCAATGCATAAAGCTGAGCCCTTACACCTGTGCTGGATGAAATCCCAACCCTACAATAAGAAGTTACTTCCTCTGACAACACCTGGGTTCACTGAAAAAAGAGGAGACAGAAAGCCTCCCGCAAACCCAGCTCAGGATGATGTGTCTTGCCTTGTAGTCAGCTTTGCCCTCCCTCAGTGGGAAAAGGGGCCAAGTTCAGTGCTGCCAGCAAACACAGGGCTGGCCTGGTGACCGCTGTTTACAGCTTGCACTGGGGCCCAGGGAAAATGGCAGGGAAGGGTCCCAACTGGGCCACTTTAAGAACACACAACCCCAAACACAAGGAAAGGGTGAAGGGACTTATTTGGGAATTTCCAGCTGGAGGAAATGGGTTTTCTTGGTTTCTGTTCTGGGGGGTCTGAGAACATGGAACTCCAGTTCATCGAGGTGTGGGGTGTATCGAGGAGGAACCAGCTTACAGGGGGCCAGCCGCAGTGCCTCAGTTCCCAAGAACAGGCCACACTCCTGGGCTCTTCCTCAGGCTTCTGGCACGGATGCCTCACAGCTGCACACTGGCACCTGAGAGACAATTACTCGGTTTTTCTGTAATGATGATTGCTATTCTGAAGATCATGTTCATGGATATACTGACAAGTTTTGACTTTTCTGTTTCTTTTAAGAAACTGTTCCGGGGAGTCCTGCATTAGAACAATGTGGGTGCCCTTGCTCTGGGTGGGAGGAAATTTTAGCATCTTGGTCCCAGCTGGCCAAGCTGAGGATGGACTTGGCCATGAACCCAACATGTGGTTCAGCCCCAGCGGGGATTTGCCAGGACAAACCAGGGGGGAAGGTTCAATCCGGCGTGGTAGAAAAGCAGCTGCCCACCTGGAGTTGTATATAGAAGTGGGCTTCCAGTCCCTTCAACTCTGTGAGCCTCTCTCCAATGTATGTGCCTGAGAAATAAACAAGTGAGGAGACTCATCTTGACTGTGTAAAGTGGGTGTCCCCCAAGCATACCTGTCACACCTGGAAGAGAAGAGAGGGACTTGTGACCTAAGTGGCTCAGAAACTTGCAGTGTAGGGTGCTGGATAGGATGGGGTTCTGGCAAGGAAGAGTAGACAGGAGCTGCTGGAGGGGAAAGGAACATTGACCAAGCACCTACTGGGCACCAGGCACATCCTGTGAGCTCCTGTAATCCTCATATCTAGTGGGTGTGTCTATGTGTGTGTTTGTGTGTGTGCACATGACATCCCAAGGTCAAGCCAGCATCTGTCCAACTCAACGCTCGTGTCCTATCTTCAGGCTGCTGCTCTCTACAGTTGATTGGTCTGGTCAGCTGACAGTAGAAGTTGTCCCCTGGGAGGTTGCACACACTATTTCTGCGATGTCCCATTGCTCCAAACACCTGGCATGGGCAAGAGGCTCCAGGGATGCTGGACTATGGGGTAAGACCCTCCCCAGATTTGAATTTTCCCTCAGCTGCTCATCAGGTCAGCGACCTCACAAATGACTCAGAGTCTCTGAGCCTCACTCTCCTTACCTGTGAAGGTTTATCTCCCTCCCCCAGGGTGTTCATGGAGATTGAACAGGGTAATGGCCTTCTGGGGAGTGATCACCCCAGGTCCTGATGCACTAGCTGATACCTCCATTCCCTTCCCTGAGTGGCAGCCACCTCGAGCCCACGATGACAGCTTGTGACTTTGCATTGATGCTTGTTTATTTATTATTCCAGGTTCAGCCAAAAATCCAGCCCCTCTCAAAGGACAAAGATCAACCTTCCAGAACAATTAGCAAACACTTCTCAGAGTCCTCCATGCTGTGCAGATGGTAAGCATCTCTGGGAGTCTCGCCAGCACTGTGAGTAAGGCAGCCTTTTTACCCATTTCACAGAAGGAGAAACTAAGGCTTAGTAAGGTCAAGTAACTAATTCTGCCTCCCACACTTCACTCCCTAGAGTTTTATGTGTGCATCTGTTAAAGTTCTCCTTTTATCGCCAGCAGTGTTTATGTATAATTAAAATAGCTCACATCTGTTGATTAACAGTCACATTACAACCTGCATTAACTCTTCCACTTAATGCCTGTTAAAGGATTAGCAAACCATTTTACAGATGAGGAAGGCAGGGCACAGAGAATTAATGTCCACACCATGCTTATCAGTGAGTGGAGCAGGGATTCAAACCTAGACCTTCTGGGTCTAGAGCCCTCCTCAGCCATCACCTCTCATTCTCCATTAGAGTTGGTTATCATGTGAGTTGAGGCCCAAAGGTTAATGGAAGTTATTATTCTTCTTCACCACCAATTGAACTTTTTATCTTTACCTACTGTCCTCTTCATCCTTTTAATGCTTTGTACCCTAAAATCCGCTTAGATATTAACTTTGCCAGTTCTTTCTTTTTGGTTACATGTGCCAGGTATACTTTGTCAAACTTTTAATTTTGGGTGTTTTGCTTTGTTTTTTGTTGGTGAGACAAGATCTCACTCTGTCGCCCAGGCTGGAGTGCAGTGGTGCAATCTGGGCTCACTGCAACCCCCGCCTCCTGGGCATAAGCAATCTTCCTGCCTTGGCCTCCCAAGTAGCTGAGACCACAGGCACGAGCCACCACACCCAGCTAACTACTTGTAATTTTTTTGATAGAGACAGGTCTTGCCATGTCACTCAGACTGATCTCAAAACTCCTGGGCTCAGGCGACCCACCCACCTTGGCCTCCCAAAGTGCTGGGATTATAGGTGTGAGCCACTGCACCTGACCCAATTTGTAATTTTGAACCTCTTCTTACTATCCTGTTTCAGTTTTTTTTTTGTAAACAACTATAGCTGGATTTTGTTTTCTAACCCAGTCTAAAGCAGTCTCAGATTTTGTTAGAACAACTGAAGGATCTGACATTTGTATGTCACTTTATTCTATGTGAATGGTTTATTTTACTCCTTTTTCCATAGTTTTGATGGTTTGGGCAAATTACTATTTATTCTCTTTCTAATTGTCAATCTATCATTACAGCAAATGGTTGCTTCCTGATCATTATATAGAAACAGGGTAAGCACCTGCCTCCCGCTAGGACTCTCTCTGCTTCCTTCCGCCCTACCCACCCCAGTAAGAGCTACCCAAGAAGGCTCCTATCCCTGCCACCTTCCACTGATATTTTCCTATAAACTGTGAGACTCAACTAACAAGGATTCCCTCTCCTTCCAACTTGGGGTCCCTATTCTGATCAACTGCCATTTCATTAGGGCCTTTCTTGATGATTTCCTTCATACGTAACACAAGCGGGAATATCCTCTGAATTTCGCTTGCTCGTCTGCAAAATATATTTCTTAGTCTGGTCAGGGAATGGTATTAATGCTCTGGTGAGGCTTCCTGGGCCCAGGCCAGCCAGAGTCCTCCGGTTTTCAGTGCTGCAAATGAGGAATCTGCTGCCAATGTGTTTCTTTTCTTCCTCCTTTGTCAATTATCTATTTATTCTGCTGGGAAGCCTCTTTGATTTTATCTGTAGCTTTCAAGAATGTCACCAGGAGATGCCAAGGGTGTATCTTTTTCTTCAATGTAACCCTGCCTGGAACTCTAACAACCTTTTCAATGTGCAAACTCATGCCCTCTTCTGATCAGGGAAAATTTCTACTATTATTTATTGATCATATTTGCCATGTCCAGACCTGCTTCCTCTTCTCCTTCCACAG
The DNA here is from genome assembly GCF_000001405.40 of Homo sapiens. Taxonomy (NCBI): domain Eukaryota; kingdom Metazoa; phylum Chordata; class Mammalia; order Primates; family Hominidae; genus Homo; species Homo sapiens. Next base: position 59,269,662 of record NC_000011.10, on the reverse strand, counting down.
CCCCTAACATTCACAGGTAGATGAAAAGACATCCACCAAACCTATATTTTCTTTCGTGACTTCCACCTGTGTTTCTGGTTTTCTGGGAGGCCTTTGTTTCCCAGAAACAGGAAAACCATCCTCTTTTCCACTTGATGTTTTGAATTTTCTAAATTTGAAAATCCTAGTTCTAGAACCTGTTTTCTTGGGCAGTATCTGGATTTCCCTGGGTTTTTGAAACCTAACACTTGTCCAGTATGTGCCGCTTGGCTTTCCTTTTCCCTCCAGCTGGGGGTCCCTCAAGGCTACTCCATGTCCCCAGCAGCCAGGTCCAGCTGTGGGGTCCCCTTCCAGTGGGTGCACGGTTATGCCTCTGGCCCCTGACCTGCCCTGGGGCAGCAATAGCTTTCAGCAACCTCTGGGACAGAGGGCAAGGGAAGAATAGAGCAGAAAGACTCTAACCTCATCTAAGCCCACTCAGGACTCCAAGGACAGGAATCGATTCACACTTTCTCTTCTGACTTGTTTTTGTAGAGATAAGGTTTTGTCACGTTGCCCAGGCTGGGTCTTGAACTCCCAGACTCAAGTGATCCTCCAGCCTTGGCCTCCCAAAGTGCTAGGATTACAGGTGTGAGCCACTGCACCCAGCCAGGTGCCTTTGTAAGAGACCTTAGCCCCCTTGCCTCTTCTGCCATGTGAGGACACAGGGAATCAGAAAGTGGGTCCCTTACCAGACACAAAATCTGCTGGCACCTTGATCTTGGACTTTGTCTCCAGAATTGTGAGAATAAATTTCTGTTTATAAGCCACCCAGTTCATGTTTTTATTTTGTCACAACAGCCAGAATGGACTAAGACATCCTCCCTGGGGAAAGCCCCCACCTCAGCCCCACTGTTTCTCTGCCTTCATCACCCAGCACCCACTGGAATGTCAGCTCCACCAGGGCAGGGCCTTCTTTGTCCCATCCACTGGACAGGACCTGGCTGTGAGTATGGTGGGATCTGCGCATGGGCCTGCTGGCTGACAGCCTGCCCTTCTCCGTGCTGGTGAAAAAGAGGGTTTGTTTGTTATTTCCAGTTTTCTAAAACATATTTTTAGAATTACAAACATCAGAAACACAGTTCCTAGTAGGGCTGCAATGGACCAGAGTAAGATGGAGCCAGGGAGATAGGAGAACACAGCCTGGTTCTCCTCCGGGTGTAGCGTACAGAGCCAGGCCCTGCTGCACCAGCTTTGCCTCCTCCCAACCCAAGCAAGCAGGCAGCCTTGGAGCCCAGCCTCAGTGAGGGGACCCAGGCTCTGGTCTGTCTTGCTGTGTGGCCTTGGCCACAGGTTCCCCTCTCTAGACCTCTGAGGCTGGAGTCGACCGGTGGGTCCCTGTGGGCCTGACTCACTGCCTTGGAAAACAGCCAGGAAGGCAGATTTCCAGGCCCCACCCAAGACCTAAGGAATCAGCCCCAGGGAGCAGGTGAAGATGAAACCTGCATTTAAACTAGCCTGTTTAGTGGTTCTCAGGTGGCTGTGGGGACTGTGGGTTGAGACCGTCTCCAAGGATAGATTCAGGAAGATCCAACTCAAACAGTTTTGCTTTTAAGTCTCAGCTCAGACCCCTCCTGGCTGCATTGACCTATGAGCCTTCTTGCCTCAGGTTTGTCATCTGTGAACCGGGCTGGGGAGGATTCTAGGGGCCGGTCCATGCACATAGATGACCTCACACGAAGCCAGCAGGAAGCAGGGATAGTGCCTGCCCTTCTGTTATAGGGCAAGATGCTCTGGCTCTCCACCCATAGCTGTCCACACCTTTGCAGGAAGTGGATCATACATGTTAATTTACTTAATCAGCTGAAATCCTGAAGGCTTCCTAAGGGCATCCTTTTTTTTTTTGAAACAGAGTCTTGCTCTGTCACCCAGGCTGGAATGCAGTGGCGTGATCTCAGCTCACTGCAAGCTCTGCCTCCTGGGTTCACACCATTCTCCTGTCTCAGCCTCCCGAGTAGCTGGGACTACAGGCGCCTGCCACCACGCCCAGCTAATTTTTTTGTATTTTTTAGTAGAGACGGGGTTTCACCAGGTCATCTTTTCAACTGTCTGGATGGGTTGGGGGAAATCATGGCCCCACAGCGGGGCTCCTGGCCCCAGCTGGCAAAGGTTCCAAATAGCTGCTGAAGACCTAGGAACAGGTCAGGTGGCTTTATGGCCAGGGGCTGGGGCCTGAGCTGTCGGTTTGAGGTTTGGCACTGACAAGTCAAAGTTCTGCCCGACTGGTCTCTTTCTTGCTATGAATAAACACTTGCTGTCGTCTGGATTAATCTCCAGCCTCTCAGCCACTCAGTGGGAGTGAATCCTCCTTGCCAGGGGGTGCCCTCTGGGCCTCAGAGAGTGAAGGACCTGGGACCTCTTGTGGACAATGCATTCAATCCCACAGTTGCCACTATGGTGTGTGAGTTTCTTGCATTGCCATTAGTTGGGAGCATTTAGCTTCCCAGGGCTACCATTCGGGTGAGCTGTGGGCTCCTGGCAGGCTGGGTGCCATGCAGAATCCGCTTGGCCTTCGAGGGGGCCATGAAGACTGAGGAGGCTTGGCCTAGATTATGAGAGGACCAGAAACTCAATGGGGAGTGATCTAAATAGACACAGGGCGAGTGCTTCTTGGATAAAAATAGAGCTGATGGGGGCCTGGGGGTGGGGGCAGGGTGCTCCAGAGCCAGAAGGTCAAAGGGGTGGTGCCGGCCACCTGGTCAGGACATAGAGGGGCCAGCAGGAGGGGCTCAACCTGGCATTTATGGACACGGCGGGGGTTGAGGCCTTTGGTCCTTCCTACATTGCCCAGGGCTAACAAAATTCAGCCTCTGGGCCCCTGTGGGGGCCTAGCCATGAGCTGGCCTGGCTGTGCCCTCTCTCAGGTTCTCTTTATCATAGTGGGGGATGGCTGAGTGAGCAGGCACTCCCAGGCCTCCAGTCAGTGCAACTGAGTTGGAGTGGTAAGGTGAGCTGGAGGTGGCATTCCAGAGTCAGGAGTGGGTGGGAGAGGGTGGGTGGTGGCTGGCCGAAAGGATGACTGAGCCAAAGCACGTTGGGACAGGTTACCTGCCCAGCACTCACCAGCATTAGGCAGGGCCATGTCTTCTTGGGGCAGCTGTGTGGGGCTCTGCCACCTGCCCCTGCTTCGGGCTCTGCCCTCTGGAGTCCGGACAGCGACCTCCTCTGCTGCCTGACCCTCCAGTGTCTGTGCCACATGGTGGGAGGATGAAGGGCCAGCGGGAGCTGGGTTCACCTCCAAGGCCCCTCACAGGGCCTTGCTGTCCAAATGGAGGGTGGCAGGCAGCTCCTGTTCACTCTGTCCATGTGTGTTCTTTCCTCTTTTCTTTTCCTTTTTTTTTTTTTCCAGAGACATGGTCTCTGTCACCCAGGCTGGAGTGCTGTGACATGATCATGGCTCACTTCAGCCTTGACTTCCTGGGTTCAAGGATCCTCCTACCTCAGCCTTCTAAGTAGCTGGGACTACAGGCATGCACCACCATGCCTGGCTATTTATTATTATTATTATTGCAGAGACAGGGATCTTGCTAAGTTGCCCAGGCTGGTCTTGAACTCCTGGCCTCAAAGCAATCCACCTACCTTGGCTTCCCAAAGTGCTAGGATTACAGGTATGAGACACTGCACCTGGCCTATGTGTTTACTGAGCCTCTTTGTGTGCCAGGCCCAGCTGGCAGGGGATCCTGGTGAGCCTGCCTTGAGGAGGCTTCTCTTCAAAGCTGCCTGTCTTTTCCCCTTTAAGCTGGCTCAAGCGCCTCCTGCCTGGAATTTTGACCTCCTATGGGGTCAAATTTTGTCCAGGTGAGAACCCTGAGGCCCAGGACAAGTGGCCTTCTCAGCCCTTGCAGCCAGTGGACTCCAGGGTTGAAGATGCCTCCCAGGCAGGGCAGGAAGGGCTAGAAAGTGGGGAGGAATGTGGTTAGCAGGAGGTGCTGCAAAAAGCAGCCCCAAAAGGGCTTGGGGTCCAGGGGACTCTGAAGGGACAAGGCTGGGTTGTGGCGGGGGCTCAGGAACACCAGCAGCAGGGTCTGGCCTGGCCTGGTATGGTCAGCTCTCTGACTTCACCTCTGTCTCTTCTGACTAATAACTCGTTAACCCTGCCACAGGTAGCTGTTGTCCTTGTTTGCAGATAGGGAAACAGAGGCACGGGGCTTGAGTCTATTTGCCACGGTGCCATCTGTGGCAGAGCTGGGCCTCAAATTCCAGGTCTTTCCCCGAACTCTCATCAGCTGTTTCTGCCTGAGTCGTGGTGTACTTATCGGTTGTTGCCCACAAATACTGCCAGTGGGCTGGGAGGTGGGGTTTGATGCATGCCATGAGCTCGGTGGGAAAAGTAGAGCGGGAGCTGGAGCTGGGGAGCAGCCCTGCCTTTGTGCCCTGTTTTCAGGGAGGAGAGGCAGCACAGAATGCCCTGTGATAGGCTTTGTAGCTTGGAGGTCTATCCCAGGGGCTACACAGGCTCAGAGACTCCAGACCCAGAGCCCTAACCTCTTGGGATTTCAGAGGGAGGCCAGGATGTCTGGGAGGACTGACTGGGGGCTCATCCCGCTCCACACACCAATCTCACCCCAGAGACACATCTACCGCCTCTCAAAGTGGCTGAGACTGTACCCACCCACTGCCTGGGGCTGTGTGGTCAGCATCAACCAGCCGGACATTGCACACATGCAAGCAGGCGAAGCTTAAAGCATAGAGGTTCCCGTGTCCTGGGTACAGGGCTGTCTTGTCTCATTTTATTTATTTATTTATTTTTGGAGACAAAATATTGTCTGTCTCTCAGACTGGAGTACAGTGGCGTGATCATGGCACACTGCATCCTCGACCTCCTAGGCTGAAGCGTTCCTTCCACCTCAGCTTCCTGAATAGCTGGCACTACAGGCATGTGCTACCATGCCTGGCTAGTTTTTGTATTTTTCATAGAGACAAGGGTTTTGCTATGTTGCCCTGGCTGGTCTCAAACTCCTGGGCTCAAGTGATTCTCCTGCCTCAGCCTCCCAAAGTGCTGGCATTATAGGCATGAGCTAGCATGCCTGACCCATGCCCCATTTTAAAGATGAAGAAACAGGCTCAGGTGGGCCAGCGGCTTCCTCCTGGGCACTGAGTGAGCCAGATGAGAATGTGGGGACTTCTGACTTTGCTCAGACTTGCCAAGAAGCCCCATTTTCTGGAAATGCCAGGGCTGCTGATTTTCTCTGGAACTGGGCCAGTACCCCAAAGTCCACTCTGGGCTCCTGAGTCAGGATCCATTCTTTGGAAGTCTCACTGTCCCTCTTTGGCCCCTCCAAATCCCACCAAAATGGCAAAATCTATTACAATACAAAATAGCTCAGGTATGTTTCACCCGGAAATTTCCCTCTAGAAATATGCCCCAGTTAAACATTAAAGACCCCAAATGGTGTTCACTAGGGCACTCTGCAATAAGCTGAACACAAGCCCCCAGCACATTGGCAGCAGAGCTGAGTCCTGCTGGTTGTATTCACAGAGTCTACTGCCTGCCAGGCAGGGCTGCAGAGCTTTGTATCTGCTGACTCCGCTGTCCTCCCAATGGCCGTGTCGTGTTAGGTCATAGAATTTCCATTTTACAGATGAGGAAACTGAGGCCCACACAGATGAAGGGATCCATCCGGGTCATGTAGTTAGAAGTGGATTAGTGGAGACCTGGGTAGCCTGACTCAGAGCCTCTGGCCACCCGCGGCTGCCTGACCAGCATGGGGTGCCGTGGATATCCACGAAGGGCAACGGATCCCTCCATGCCAGGTGGCATGGCATTCAAGACACATGGGTAGGGAGAGGGAAAGGAAGCAAATGGCAAACCTGCAGCATCTCAGGGCTCAGGCTCCCCAAGGTCACCATGGGTAACACGAGGCCTGTGGGAGGCCAGGCGCAGGCTGTGGGCAGAGCTGTAGGTGCCATCTTATCCCTGCCTTCTCCTCCTCTGCAGGTGTTCCTGGCCTCGCCCACTGAGGTGGCTAAGGTCTGCCTGCAGACACAGATGCAGCAGTTGCGGCCCTTGGCCTCGGGGCCTTTGTCTGTGCCCCTCGTGTGTCCTGTGTCTCCTGTATGTTCAGTGTCCAAGTACCATGGGCTGCTGCACTGCCTGGCCATGGTGGCCCATGAGGAGGGGCTGCACAGCCTCTACAAGAGCAGCTCAGCCCTGCTTTTCTGGGACAGCCACTCCTTTGCCACCTACTTCTTCTCCTATGCTGCCCTCTGTGGGTGGCTCGGCCCCACTGGCCATAGCCAGCCAGGTGAGCAGGGGCTGGGACTTGGAAGGGTGGGGACCCCAGTGGGATGAGGAGGCCCAGGTGAGGTCATGCCACATGGCAGTACCTGAGTAGGAACTTGAACCCGGCCTCCTGCCTCCCAGGGTGTGATCTTTGTTTCCCTCAACACTAAGAGACAGCAGGGAGGGGCGAGCAGACTCATGCCAGTGCGTCTGAAGCTCCAGCCCTCCCTTTCCTGGTGCCACATGGCATCCAGTGATGGGGGCCATCATGGGCCAGGGCTGGCAGGTCCAGTGTGAAGCCACCAGGTCTCCACCACAGCAGCCCCCTGGCAGGGCTGGGAGCCACCTGCCTTCACTACATTCCCTCACGGACACTGATCTTGAGGTATCTGTGGGCTGTATGCTGTCCCATGTTCTGCTGAACAAAACTGATTCCGGAACAAGAGGTGGACCCCCTCCTGAGCCTGCCCCTGTCACACTGGTCTCTGTATGTGTGGTGCTGTGGGCACCAGACCTTATGTCCTGTGCCCTGTGCCAGGAACACCCTCTTCCTGCTCGGCCTGGCTGGTTCTACATCCCAGGCGTCACCTCCTCCAGGAAGCTCTCCCTGCCTGACCACCAGGCTTCTCCCAGGTGTCTCCTGCTCTGCTCTCTTGAGGCCCTGTCTGGGTGTGTGGTCACTTGTCTACCTGCCCTCCTCCCACAAGAGCCTGTGAGCAGTGTAAGGACTTCATCTGGCTCCAGGGCTGGTGCACAGTATGTGCTCAGAGGGTGTGGAATGAATGAATGAGTGAATGAATGAATGAAGTCCTGCAGTGGATTCCTGGGAGTGTGTCCAGCTTAGGAGATGCAGAGGCTGAGATGCTCTGGCCAAATGCTGGGAAAGGGAGGCAGCTAAGAGAGAGTTTCCACTGTTCATCAAATGCTGACCCCAGGACCACTTTGTCAAGAAGACCACACCTGCTCGGGCTTGGAAGGAGGGTTCCTGGTAGCACTCCTGGCCCAGCTCCAGCAGCAGCTGCACCCTGGGAGGTGGGGGCCTTTGGCTTCCCTGAGCCTGTGTCACTGAGCAGCTGGCTCCATGTGTGTCCGGAGCGCTGTCACTGGGGAGGGGGTGCAGGTTGTACAGGAGCGGCCCCTGTACTCATTGTCTCTACAACCTCTACCGTAATGATCAGAGATTACTGGGCCTGCGGCAAGGCCCAGCCAGCGTGGCCCTGGGGAGAACACATCACATCTGCTGGTGCTGCAGGCGGGGGCTGGGGGCCAGAGGCAGACCTGTTTCTCCCCGAGCACTATCCTGGAGCGGCAAGCTGTTCTGCAGCTGTCCCTGTGTGCTCAGCCACCCTCTACCTTGGATCCCCGCTCCCCTACCCATTGCTCTTCATACACCGTACCCTTTCAGACAAAGTTGGCTGGTCTCCCTTCCAGGCTGGGGACCACAGGGCAGCAAGGCCAAGCTTGGTCAGTACCACATCTGTCTGACAAGAGGACATTACCAGCTGGAGTAGGAGTGCTCTTCCGGCAGAGCCTACGGCACCATGGTGGTGCTGGCAGCCGGCCTCACACCTCATCTCCAAATACCTGCGGGGCCACTGCTCCTGTCCGTCCTAATCCAGATGTGCCCTTGTCTCTCAGGGAAAAATTCTCTCGGAAACCCCTGGACTTTAGCAAAATGGGGGAGGTATGGGAGGTGTGCAGCCCTCCTCTGCCCTGACCAGCGGTGGCCTTGGGCAAGTCACCTGACTATTGGACCCAGGGCACCCCTCCTAATACCCTAAATAGGAGGCATCACTGCTTTTTACAGGGGAGAAGATGGAGGTCCCAGGAAGTTAAGTGACCTGTCCAAAGTCACACAGCTGATGAGGGAAGAAGCTGGTCTGTGTTGGCTCACTCCCTTCTGGGCCCACAGCCCTGCCCAGGCCCTGCCAATAGACACTCTGGCTGGGTGGACCATGACAGCAGCAGCTGTCATTGACTTCACTTGTTGTCCCTCATTGCACCTGCCCCACAGGTACAATGGAGCTACAATAAGTTGTATTAGTTGCCCAGGGCAACATGGCTGGTGAGATGCTATCTTCTGTAAGTGGTTCACTCCCACTGGCCACAGCCAGCCAGGTGAGCAGAGGCTGGGCCTGGGAAGGCAGGGAGAAGGGCTCAGCCCAGCAGGAATCAAGGCTGGGAAAGGAGGCCTACGTGAGGTCATGCTGCACACCAGTACCCAAGTGGGACTTGAACCCAGGCGTCCAGCCTCCCAGGACTGGAACCTTAATTCCCTTATTTGTAAAATGGTGCTCCTGTGTATCTGTGTGGAGACAGAAGCACCAAGAGCCAGGACAGGCTCACTGTGTCAGAGTCACCCTGTGGCCTTGGACAAGCCATGTTCCCCTCTCCTAAGCCTCAGTTTCCCCACCTGCAAAATGAGGATAGTCCGGTATAGTGAGCCCAAGTCTCCCTTGCAGCTTGGACTCTGCCCTGGGCCTCATGTGAATGGGGCCTGGCCTGGCTCCCAGCCTGTGCTCCCCATCACTACACAGCCCCACCAAGCACCCCATGGCTGGCCCCTCCTCTGAGAAACAAGGACAACCTCTACTTGTGTTCTCCACCAGCTGTTGGGAATGTGAAATGAGGTGTGAGAGGGAGCCCGCACCAAGACACTGCTAACGGCTGTCCCAGCACAAGCCCATTCCTGGGAGCCTACGACTCGGCACGGTGGGGTTCCCGGGATTGTGCGTTTTCCCCAGATTTTGACCCCAGCAGACTCAAGGCCATCCATGAAGAGGGGAAGGGAGGGGACTTTGTTCCCTCCTCAGACCTCCCAGACAGAGCACAGCACCTCGTGCGGGAGCCAAAGAAGTTTATTTACTCCAAGGGGCGGCAGGAAGGCAGAGCGCTCAAGAGGAGAGACCCAGATATATCGACCAGGGGCTCCCCTGAAATTTGGAATTTCTCTTCCAAGCCTGAACATGGCATGTGATTAAATGCAGCCTGTCCAGACACCAGTGAGGGCCTCTAGGGCTGCTTGTGTGACTTTCTTCCTAGCTACGTCCACCCATCCCGGACACAGCCAGTGCATTGCTCTGTACTGACTTCCATTGCGGTCAATTGTCAAAATGAAACATTTGCAGAGGTAATGACTGCTCAGCATCTGACACAGTCAGGGGAAAAGACACCGCTGACTCTGCAGGATGGAGGGTCTAGGATCCATTGGCGGGAAAACACTAGTCAAGGGAAATGAGCATGATTTCCGGAGTAGAATACATGCATGGTCTGGAGTTAAGTAAACCGGAAAGTTTCACCCCCAAGACTCAATTTAATAAAAACTGCCCAACTCTGTTCACTCTTTATGATTAAAAGCAGCTTTAAAGCTGGCTGATTTCTTAGTCAAATGTGTAGCAAAGCTTTTACCTATCAATTTTTTTCGTGGTGAGTCATGGGCTGAAATACATCTTGCGCTCAATAAACTTCCCCACATCAACATTTCAAAGCACTTTTTAGGTTACAATAATGATATTTCACTTCCATATATGCATACATAGAATATATATTTTAAAATAGAGTGGGTTTTAAGAGTATACTGGGAGCCCTAGGAGTCTTCTATGGACAGAACAGGTTGGCCCATGGACTTCCAGCCAAAGGCTCCATGCCTTGGGGCTGCTTTGGGGGAGAGATTCACAGCTGGACTTCTCTATCTGACCATGCAATGTCAGCACCAATCACCCACAATGTTTTGCCCTCAAGAGACAGAAATAATGAAACTCAGAGGAATAAACAGTATTGATAACATACACAGGCTTAGAGAAACCAAGCCCAGTAATGATCATGTGACGGAAGACTACAGGTAGCGGTACTTTGATTGGGCTGGGATTATTGATAAATCACGTCTCTTTATAAGCATATATAAAATGAGCACGACTGAACTCATTCGTTAGTGAACTCTTTCACTAACTCGTCCATGACCTCCTTGCACTGGGCTTGGTGCTCTGTAATCACGGGCTGGAGAACCTCTATGAGCATCTTCTTGAGGTCACCAGTGAGCATGTCTCTGCTGGTGTCATCCTGCCCTCAAAAAGACAGCCATGGTGAGAGATGGCTCCACATGCCCTAAGTGGCTTCTTCCTGCCTCAGACACCAGGTCAGCCCACACCACCCTTGCAGAGCCAGGCGTGCAAGTGGCACTTAGAAGTGAAATCTGTTGTTACCATGACAAACAGCTGTACCTTCAGCTACACTTTTCTTAAAACAACTAGAAACCTGGCTGTGGCAGTAGCCATAACTTGGTCTCTCATAGTGAAAGGGCCAATGAGGAGGGCAGTCCCCACCTCCACCGACGCTAGGGACTGCTCCCCCAAGCATAAACAACAATAATTCCTGGCAGCCTTATGGCCTCTGTAAAATCTTGCTGATGTTTTTCTTTTTCTGATTGTAGTACATGCTCATTAAACAAATTTAATAAGGTACCCAAACCACAAAACAGCAGCAAACTGAAGAAAAAAATCACCTACAATTCCAGTGCCCAGAGGTGGGGCCCACTGCTAACATTTGGCACATTTTCTTTACATTTCGTTCCCTGTGCATTTCATTTAAACAATTAACCTCTCACTGCATTTTTCATTTGGTGTTCTTTTTTCATTATCCTAGGCATATTCTCCTGTGTCACTAAAGTCTTTTTTTTGTTTGTTTTTTGTTTTGTTAAAGAAATGAGTGTCTCATTATGTTGCCCAGGCTGGATTTGAACTCCTGAGCTCAAGGGATCCTCCCGTCTCAGCCTTCCAAGTAGCTGGGACTACAGATGTGTGCCACCATACCCTGCATATGAAAACTCTTTTAAAATAGTTCATGTCCCCATAATAACCTATCCTGTAACAATTCTAATTTAACATTTCCTCTGTTATACAGTTTCTTTTGAACTTTTTGCTATTATCATTTTAATGTCTTGGTGTGGAAAGCTTTTACATATTCAGGATTATTTCCTTGGAAAAAATTCCAAGATTTGGAAAACTGAGGCAAAGCTCTGAACATTTTTGGGCTCTTTGTACCTGGTACCAAACTGCTCACTGAGGCTGTGTGGATGAACACTCACATGGGTGTGCCTTGAAGCATCTGGTTTACAATCATTGAAAACACAGTCAAGGGCAACACAAAAACTCTGGTAATTCTATAGTGAATTGTCTCAGCTTTGATCATGTTAACTTATGTTTCTCTGGTGACTAGTAAGATGAGACTGTTTTGTGTGGCTACTAAATAAATAGTAATTTATATCTGCCCTTTTGCGATTTGTTCACGAGGTTTCTGAGCACATGTTTAAAAAACGTGAATGCCTCTACTCAGTTTTCATCTTGTTTCAGTTGAGCACCTGTTCCTAAGGCCCAGGCACCAGTTCCCAAGGCTCCTACAAACCCTTAATGCCCAGCTGTTGGAGCTTCCAGGACCCATATGCAGGAGTGGGTGGTTGGAAATGGGATGACTGGGTCCTTGGGGCTCCCTGCTCACCTTCCTCATCTGCTCGAGCTTGTCTTCATCCTTGAGGAAGGTCAAGTACATGAAAGACACGTCCACAACACAGTTGCCCCCAAAGTGCCTGTGCTCCTCGATGGTGTCTCTCTCTCCAGAAAATGCATGCTTACTGATCTGCACCAGAAGAGAACACAGAACCACTCATGAGTCCTGCTCATCCTGTGCCTGGAAACTGGCTAGGGGCCCAAGTGTGGAAGTCAAAGGTGTGAGTGCTGTCACATTCTGGACCATAGAAAGGCCAAGGTGCACAGCCGGCAGCCCCACCATTGTTCCTTCCTGCAAAGCCTGAGCTACCATGGGGCTCACTGCAGGAGAGGCGGGGGGCAGATTAGCTTTGTGCTCCCCCATCGTCAGAGATACAGGAGACTAGAGTTGGGAAAGCCAAAGCACTAATTGAACTGAAACTTGGGAGAGGAGTTTGGGAGATCCTCCTGCCTCGGCACTTTGGGAGGCAGAGGTGGGAGGATTGATTGAGGCCAGGAGGTCAAGACCAGCCTGGGCAACTTAGTGAGACATAGTGAGCCCCTGTCTCTACAAAAACAATTAAGGAATTAGCTGGTGTGGTGACATGCACCCAAAGTCCTAGGAGAGTGAGGTGGAAGGATCACTTGAGCCCAGGAGTTCGAGGTTACAGTGTACTATGACTGTACCACTGCACTCCAGCCTGGGTTACAGGGCAAGATCCTGTTTCTAAAAAAATAAATAAATAAAAGAAAAAGGATGAGTAAGCCATCCTCAGAGGAAAGGAGATGGCAGGGAGGGCAGCTGGCTCTTTGGGACAGGTAGTGGGGTGTTAACAGGGGACAGAAAAGCAGCACCCAACCCAACTGGCTTCTGCCTTCTCCACCATGGAAAGCAGAACAAGAAGGCACGAGAATAAGGCAATAAGGGAAAGCAAAACCCACCAAAAGTGAACAGGTAGAAAGGGCCTGCAGGCAGGTCTCCGCTTAAAAACAGGCAAAGTTTAGGAGCTGAAAAATTCTAAAACTAACGAAATGACTTTTAGGAATCATTGAAGATAATCATGGCGTAATTAGGGCTAAGAGGTGGGAAAAATAAAAGTCAGCAAAGATTGGCACAATTCCTTCAACATTCTTTCAATGAGCATTTGAGAAAGCTCTAATATACAAAGATCATACAAATTTTCTTTTTTTTTTTTTTTTGAGGCAGGGTCTCTTCTCTGTCACCCAAGCTGGAGTACAGTGGTACGATCACCGCTCACTGCAGCCTTGACCTCTGGGGCTCAGGTGACTCTCCTGCCTCAGCCTCCCAAGGAGAATTCCAGAGCAGATTCTTAACTGGATAACTTGGGATCGTGTAGAAGGAGCAGACGAATGTTGGGGCAAAGGCACAGGTCTCTATCTTGGCAGGGCACTGCCCAGAAGCTAGGCAGAGAAAGCAGCAGTCATGGGAGAGGCTCAGGCAAGGCCCTGCAGGAGGGGCTGGCACCATGTAGGCTGGCTGGTGGGTGGGCCTGCGGGGCTGAAAAAAAAATAGCAAATGGATGTTTATCTTCCCTTTCCTTAAGAAAAAAATAAAAAGGAAAAGAAAAAGAAAAGAAAAAAAAAAAGAGAAGGCCTTCTCTCATCTTTAAAAGGATTAGCCCTGCTACCTCCCAGTGAGAATTAAAAATGAGATAACATAAATAAGGCACCCGGTCCAGCCCCTGGAACACAGCTGATGATCAGAAATATACAAAACTCATTTTCATTGTTTAATAATATCCACATTAATTATAACTTTAAGAACATCGTCGTGACTTTGCTTCTAGTACAGCGTTGGTAAGAAAAGCAGAAAAGGAAAAAAAAATTGTCTGGGCGTGGTGGCTCATGCCTGTAATACAAGCATTTTGAGAGGCTGAGGCGGGCGGATCACCTGAGGTCAGGAGTTCGAGATCAACCTGGTCAACATGGAGAAACCCCGTCTCTACTAAAAAATACAAAAATTAACTGGGTGCAGGGCCTGGGGGGGCATGCCTGTAATCCCAGCTACTCAGGAGGCTGAGGCAGGAGATTCACTTAAACCCAGAAGGCAGAGGTTGCAGTAAGCCAAGATCATGCCACTGCACTCCAGCCTAGATGACAGAGTGAGACTCCATCTCAAAAAAAAAAAAGAAAGAAAGAAAGAAAGAAATTCAAAATGTTAGCTAAATGAAAGGACACAAAACAAATTCATGTGATACCTGGGAATAGGGACAAGGCTGCCTTGAGTTCTGCAGGGAGCATAGTTGGGAATCCTGGACTCCTGGAATTCAGCATCGCTATGGTGGCTGGGGCCCAAAGGACTGTGCAATGGTGTGTGTTTGTGTGTGTCCCCCCGGGGCATGTTTCTACTCCCACTGGCTGTCCTGTGCCCTGGGCACTGCTCACCTTGGTCTTGATCTGCATGGCCATGTTGGTGAGGAAGATAAAAGAGCTGGGGTCACTGGCACTCATTTTGTTCTGGATGCCCTGCAGGTCAGAGAAGAAGGAAGAATGCAGCAGGACGGGTTTAGGATATCCGATCCTGGGGGCGATGTCCCTTGTCATTCTAAAGTAAAGATCCTACGGGGAGAGTAAGGATCTTCGAATTTGTAACTGCAAGACCTAATGGAGGTTTGTGGTCTTAATTCACGCTACCTGTGCAGTTCAAGGAATCTTTAGCTGATAACTTATTTTAAAGTCCCAGGTTGTAAGTTCCCTCAAATGCTAGTCAAAGCAAATGCAAATTATCTCCAAATTCTTAAAAAAGAATCTTAAACCCAGACTCAAACAATTCTCCCAAATAACCTTCTAAGGAAAGTTGGGTTATACAAATGTCCAAGTATACAAGGAAACAAGATCTTATAAATGAAAACCAAGAAGGCATGGCAATATCGGACCCATAAAGACATCAAGAAAAGCAATTGTCTTAAATCATGAAATAGATGCTACTGACATGTCAAAGAAAGAAGATGGGAGCCTGTAATCCCAACACTTTGGGAGGCTGAGGCGGGCGGATCACAAGGTCAGGAGATCAAGACCATCCTGGCTAACATGGTGATACCCCGTCTCTACTAAAAATACAAAAAAAGAAAATTAGCGAGGAGTGGTGGCATGCACCTGTGGTCCCAGCTACTCGGGAGGCTGAGGCAGGAGAATCACTTGAACCCAGGAGGCGGAGGCTGCAGTGAGCCGAGATTGTGCCACTGCACACCAGCCTGGGTGACAGAGCGAGACTCTGTTTCAAAAAAAAAAAAAAGGGAAATAAAATATGTGGTTAAAAGAACAAGAAAATAAGGTTTACTAAGGATTTCTGCATCATGCAGAATGGTGAATTATATATATCTAAATGACTCTCCTGTCTGAAACAACTGACATGCTGGATTTGAAACAAAATCATCTTAAATATGTATTTCCACTTAGTGAAAATGAGGAATAAGCTGAGCCACCAATGATGTGAAACCAGGAAACCAGGGAAGTAAACAAGGGCCAAAAAAGGCTTTCATTTTTGGGAGTCTTGCTGAAGCTGGTGACCTGGAGATCCTGCTGTGTAGACTATGTGTGTGGTGAAGGGTCAGAAGATCAAGTTCAGGGAACACTCCAGGTAATCTTGAAGACAACCTGCAGAGAAAACCCAGAGGGCTATATCTTCATTGTAAATAAGCAAGAATTCCCGTAGATTATGTTCAAGAAAATAAACAAACAAGAAAAATGTTATAGCTAAGAGAAAAAGCAAACATATAGAGTCAAGCCCCTGTAACTGAGAATCAGCAGGGAAAAAAACAGGCCATATAAACAGACGTGCAAACCCTTCAGATACTAGAATTATGAAAAGCAATAAGGCAGTTGGGGCTAGTTATGGCAAAACACAGATTGAATCTCCCCTAGAAAGAGATATGGCCTCCCCAGAGAGGGAAATACTGAGAATAGGTAAGAGATCTGGTGGCTCAGAGCATTGAAAGCTGATTAATCAAAAGAAAGAGGATGGCATATCTGTTAAATGGTATATTATTTGGCCATAAAAAAGGAATAGAGTACTGGCACATACTACATACAACATGAATGAACCTTGAAAACATCATGCTAAGTGGAAAAGCCATTCACAAAGGACCATAGGTTGTAAGATTCCATTTCAATGAAGCCTTTAGAATAGACAGATATTTCAAGACAGAAAGAGGATTAGTGGTTGCCTTGGGATACGGTTGGGGAGAGAGTATGTGATTTCTTTCAATAGAAGTTTCTAAAATTAGATTTTGGTGATGATTTTAAAACTGTGAATAGACTAGAAACCATTGAATTGCACATTTTAAGTGGGTGTCTTTTATAATATATGAAGTATGCCTCAGTACAGAAGCTTAAAAAGAAAGAAAGAAAGAAACTTGAAAGTACACAGGACCAAAGGTGACATTCTTGGGAAGGCACCATTTCTGCGGTAGATGTTCCTTAGAGATTTTTAAATGGAAGGGAAAAAGGAAGCGAGCCGTGGAAATTAAACATCCTTAGAAAAATTTTAAAATCTAGTAAAATACTACTTCATTCTCTGTTCCTGAGTAAGTCACCATAAACAACAACAACAACAAAACCACCCTCTTTTTCTGATAGCAATGAAAGTGGGCACCCTTAAACTAAGAAACCTAGTACACTATTGTGTGGTCCCTGCGTAACCCTGCACAGTCTCAGACCTCAAGCTCCGGTAGAGCCATGATGAACCAAGACTGCCAGGATTCCAGCCATTCCCCACCTGTTACTATGGCATGGTCCAAATATATCATTCATCAACAAGACATGTATTGGGTAACTCCATGTTCTTGGGACAGAACTGAGTCAAATGATGAAGGAAAGAAAGGCAACACCTTAGAAGTAGAATGAATAAATTCACCACATTTCTTTGAAATAGCCATTTCTCTTTATGCATTCAAAGTATGGCTTGACTTGTAAGGATTTGAGTTCTATGGATTGTTAGGAATGTACTACATGGCTGTGAAGAAGACAATGTATGTATGTATGTATGTATGTATGTATGTATTTATTTATTTATTTATTTATTTTTGAGATGGAGTCTTGCTCTGTCCTTCAGGCTGGAGTGCAGTGGTGCGGTCTCGGCTCACTGCAACATTTGCCTCCCAGGTTCAAGCAATTCTCAGGCCTCAGACTCCCAAATAGGTGAGACCACAGATGCATGCCACCTTGCCTGGCTAATTTTTGTATTGTTTAGTGGAAACAGGGTTTTGCCATGTTAACCAGGTTGGCCTTGAACTCCAGATCTCAGGTGATCCACCTACCTCAGTTTCCCAAAGTGCTGGGATTTCAGGCGTGAGCCACAGCACCCACCCAAGAAGACCAAATTAACCAGTGAATATGAGGTGGCCTGTAAAATTGAACAAAGTATTATGTGTCTGGGTGTCTCCTAAAATGAGATACCACAATGTAAAACTTGTCAGTTTTTCAATAACCAGTAGCGGGAGGTCCATCCCAAGATGCTCCAGTAACAGAAAAGTTAACACAAAGGTGGTGGTGTGGCTAGAGGTAATGATAAAACTGCCTTTCATGGGCATAACTCTTTTAAAGTTTATATCCATGAACACTCGGTCTTCATGACAGCCTGGCTATGAGACCACATCTGATGGGCGAGGGAGTACAAGTTAGCTTGCATTTGCTGAAGATGACCTAGCTAATGATCAGCAGAGGAGGGGCCAGGCATGCCTGAGCACCAGGGTCACTCAAGGGGACAGAATGTTAACACCTTTCCACAATGGCCCTAACAAGATATTCTTTGTCTTAAATAGTTGACACTCCAGCTGGGATTATCTCTACAAATATCTTTTTTTTTTTTTTTTTTTTTTTGAGACGGAGTCTTGCTCTGTCGCCCAGGCCAGACTGCGGACTGCAGTGGCGCAATCTCGGCTCACTGCAAGCTCTCCGCTTCCCGGGTTCACGCCATTCTCCTGCCTCAGCCTCCCGAGTAGCTGGGACTACAGGCGCCCGCCACCGCGCCCGGCTAATTTTTTGTATTTTTAGTAGAGATGGGGTTTCACCTTGTTAGCCAGGATGGTCTCGATCTCCTGACCTCATGATCCACCCGCCTCGGCCTCCCAAAGTGCTGGGATTACAGGCGTGAGCCACCGCGCCCGGCCTATCTCTACAAATATCTTGGCATGAATGTCTGAAAGAGGCTGAATAAATCCACCTCTGCTCTGTTTCCAGAATTCTCTTTATCCAAAGGGTTTGCAACCTCTCAAGTCAGCCCCTTTTATCTTTGGATAAATATAAAAAAAATTTTGACTTTAAGAAAAATTCCTCCTTGAAATAAGCAGGAAGTTATTTCCAAGTAACTTCAACCTATGACTTCTCATCTGCAAAAGGAACGTTAAAATGTCCTCTCTTTCTACTTGACAAGTTGCAGAAAGAGGTGACATTCTGCTTGAAAAGGTGGGTAGAGACAAACAGCCTCAATGTCCTCACTTACCCTGTTCAGGAGGGAGACTATAGGCAGAGAGCCTATCAAAGCTGTGTTGAGCTTATGACCTACAGAACTATGACATAATACAAGTCTGTTGTTTTAAGCTGATAAATTTGTGTTAATCCATTATGCAGCAATAGAAAACTAATAATTCTCAGTGTGCATTTTATTATGCTTCTCTGTAAAGCTACTCCCTCCAAACTTTGCAGCTGATATCCTGATGAAGCTATTATTTTTTAAAAGTTCCTTTTTGGAAAAGTCATCCTATTCAATTCAGAAAACAGTCAGTGGGCATCTTTTTGATGTCAGGCACTGTGCTAAGCTCTGAAATATAAAGATGAATAAGAACTTTAACCCTAAAAGACCTCGAAGAGAAACTACACAAATAGACACGACTATTATCTGAATCAGAAAGTGCTGAGAACCATGAGGGCATAACAAGTACAAGGTATGAGAGTTCAGAAAAGGGAGAAATCATATCCTGTTAAGGGTGTCAAGAAAGGTTGTCTTGAGGTGGCTGTGGGGAAGAGGATAGGAAATCAAAAAGAGGCTCAGAAAAAATTCGAGGAAGCAGTGAATGTCCTTGTGGGAAAAGAGGGCTCATTTGAATAGCTAAGCCCACCAGCAGCCTGACTAAGCTTATGGATATCATGGGAAAAAAACAACATGGTGAGGGATGGTAGTGGGAATCACTGAGGGCTGGGATAATGAGCTTAGGAATTTGGGAGAGCCTGAGAAGCATGAAATCATGAAAACCAAGAATAGATTGGCTGGGAGTTGCAGAGTAGAACAGGCAGTTTTAGTAAAGGGAAATTTTAGAGTTTGAGATTTTGGAATTAAGCAATTTTCTATTATGGTGAGGGCTGGAATGGGGCTGCCAAGTCATATGACTGGGGTGGCATAGAATTTGAAGTTGGTGAGGCATCCCTTCAAGACAATGTACAGCCGGAGCACTAGAGGGACATCAACCTTAACATTGTCTGATGCATCTTTCTCATTGCCACCATACTTAGCACAGCACCATTAAACATAGAGGGCTAAACAAATGTCGACCTGAGAGGCATACAGAAAAATGAAACAATCACAGTGAGATAGTCAATCTAGATTTTTTTCTGCACTATGGAGCTTGAAATTTGGTCTTGAGGAGAGGCAATAAATGGGTAAGAAGGCATTCTTTGACATTACCAGCCAGGTGTAGTTGCTTTTAAATTTATTGAACTCATTGGTGAGCAACTTGAGAAGAGTGATGTCTTGAGACCTCAATCAAAGACATGATGTAGGCAGTGCACAGAAAGAACCTGGTTTTTGTTATTTTTTCTGTCATCCTGCCTCATCTGGCAGAGAAAATTTCAAGACTAATTTTAGATTTTCAGGAATAATTAATGATTCAGTAAAATAAACGGATACATCATGACCTATATCTTTGCCCCTCTTCCCTTCCCCAAACCATCAACATCCACGTAGACTGAGATGTCCTCACTTGTATGGCTTTTTATGGCATCCCATAGAATAGGTCTTTCTCACCATCTGGGAAGCAACTGGGCAGCCCTCTCCAGTGAACATTCACCAACCTAACTGACCGCCTCCAGCCACAACTGCCTCTCTTCCTTGAGATCGAGCCCTGCCAACAAAATGCCACTTTCAAGATCAAGCAAGTTCAGGGTAATTATACTTTTCCCAAGTCACATCAGCTCTGGATAATTTTCAGAGCTATTTCCAGGTCTATTTTAAGGGATAACTCGATGTCGCAATGCGTGAGAGTCAATTGGATACATGATTCCCAATGACTCCATGCTTGCCGTGTTCCTGGTCTCAGAAAGCTTTTCAAAGAAAAGCTCAGGGTGGGCTCTCTCAGCAGGGGATACCATATTATTATGGCTTCCCAGAAGAGGGCCTACCCCCGCCATCACTCCAAGCAGGATCAAAGAATCAGAGTCTCTTCAAAGAACAGACAGCAAGCACTATGGGTGGAAGGCCACAGATGCCCTACAGATGTGGTTGGGCAACTATTTTCTAGGTTTTACCAGGTTGGTTTATAAGTCTATCTGAAGACTGAGAACAGATTTCGGAGAACATCTTCTCCTATTTATTCTGGTTACAGCAAAATAAATAAATGAATGTTTATGTTACTTTCAATGAGCTAAAATAGTTATTTACAAAGACAGACAAGACCTGCTTTAAGCAAAAGTATAAAATTCTACAACTTTGTCCTCTGTGCCACCACCTCCCTCTTTAAGCCTCTCTCATCCTGATTCTGGGTTCTTTGTTCTTTCCATTACCACTTGCCTGCATTCTCATGCAGCTATCTTTTCCTGTGACTGTAGGCACTAGTTAAATTCTGGCCCTACCAATGACTGGCTGTGATCCAGTGAGCAGCCAAGGCAGAAAACCACTGCCTCAGAGTATCCCTCTCTGAAAAGCACTGAAGCCTTTGCAGCAGTCTTGAAACCTGTTCGAGTTTCCTCAATCTTGAGGATTCCTTCGTTTGACATTGCCAGCTGTTGTACCTACTCTTCCATTTTCTTCTCTCCTTCCACTGCTAAACTGGCATAACTTCCGTCAGTACCTGGCCTTGTTCAAATCCCCTCTGAGCTCCATTCCGGATATCCCTATCTGAGACCAATGAGTTCCACCCCTACCATTCTGTTGAAATTGCTCTGGGAAGACCACACCTCCCTTCCTTCTTGCCAAATCAATGGCCTTCTGTTTATATTTTCTCTCTTTGAGTTCCATGCCATGTTCATTAAGCATCACTGAGCAGTGACAGATTTGAGGATCAGGATAAGGAATTTGGATGTCATCAGGCCATCAGTGAACAAAAAAACTAATGAACGCTCTTGAGCAAAAAATGACATGATTGGATCTGTGCTTTAAGGAGGTCCATTTGCAGGTTAAGGAGGAAGAATTGAATTTGAGAGAGTCTGAAGGCGAATTATGAACAATCAGTTTAAAATTGCCTGAGTCCCCCCACAAAAAAATTCTTGGAGTTGGAGATGACATGAAAAGAGGGTTCTATTGATTCTACCGATAATGTTTCAAGTAGTATTAAAGAACAATCCATTCTGAAGGTGGGAGCAAGGGAGGCAGGAATTGTAAAGCACCATAGTCTTCTAGTTTACTATCCTCACACCCTTCAGTATGCAATAAGATATATAAAAAAAAAAAAGAGGATTCTTTAGGTTTAGGGTTTTTTTTTCCCTAAAAAAAGATTTAATTACAAACTACTGAATTGGCCATAGTAATCATTTCTCCAATATCTAGCCTCAGAGAGAGACCCCAAGAATGTAGGCATGATGCCCAGAGCTGGGAACTCGAGGAGGGAGTATAATTTGTTTAGCTTCACAGTAGGAGACTCTGGCCCTGGCAGAGGAGAAGCTGATGGGGTTTTGGGTGGAGAAGGGAAATTGTAACATTTTTCTCATCTGGATGCAAGTTGAAGAGCTGCCAACATCAACAGGGTGTGGCCACCATCTTTCACAAATCCTTGAAAGAAGCTGTGGTGTGCTGTGGGTTTACACAATGCCCACTTCCTTCTGTTTCTTGTATGTCCTCCCCAAGACACACAAATAGACTTCAAGTATTTTCAAGATGGATATTTGATAAATCAAAAACAAAACACGTACATGAGGGAAATCTGGCCTTAGTCAAACAGCAAGAGGTTATTTTTCTTTTAAACTCCCTGCCCACTGATCTTTTGAAAGATAAGTGTTATCAGGTGATTTTTTAAAAAAATTGCCATCCATTTCTCAGGTCCTTATAGGGGCAGTGGTGTATGGAGGAATGAGGATATTATGAAATAAAGTGTTACAAGAGGCCCTATGCACACAATAAAAAATGTTAGTACATGTCAATCTCCTTTCTTCTTTCTTTTTGTTTCACAGAATCAGAATCTCAGGATTTTAAGGAACCCATAAGGTTAACTAATTCAGATTGTCTTTTAAATCTTAAATCCTGTCACTGTCAAGTGTACCATCTTCTGCTTACACACGTCCAGTGATGAGAAATTTAAAGCTTTCTGGGCTATCCATTCTACTTTTGAACTATACTATTGTTTTCCTAAAATTCTCTCTCTCTCTCTCTCTGTCTATCTTTGTCAGAAGGGTTCTGTAAAATATCTAGTGCTTTACAAAGGTAACTGCTATTGTCTGAAATTGTCACATATTTTGGAGCCAAAAACCAGTCTCAGATTGCATTGACTCCAGGGATATATTATTGGAACCACACCAGGAACTAGGAATAACATGGAAGCTGAGCCAATGGAAATCAACTGTACCCAAACAAAGCTGGCATTTTCTTTATCCCTGAGCACAGGTAGCTACCCAAGATGCCCAGAGGTGCTCTCTGGGACATGCTGTACCCCACAACCTAAACAGAACCAGTGGTAACTGGGAGAGAACTGGCGTCTCTTTCAACCCCCACCAAGTCCTTCTCTTGGAGTTGGTAGCCAATTTAACATAGCTGCATCCAAATACTTTTTATCTCTTTGTCCAAAACATGTACTATGGGTGCTGGCAGAGATGGGTTTCATTCTTTTTCCAAGCATCTGATCTTAGCCATCTAACTGAAATGTAGAGCGTAAGGAGCTGTAAATGAGTCTGCCCCTTTTCTTTCCTTGGAATCATTACTGCTGAATCATAGAGTCACAGAATGGGAGAGTGAGAAACACTCATGAAGGTGGGGAAGTTGGAGCAGGCAAGATGCTGGGACCTTCTCTCCTACTCCTCTGACTTTGACCAGAAAGCTGGACTTTATCTATTTAATATTCTGAAATTCTGCAGAAAAAAATTTGTTTTTGCATTTCTTCTATTTACAAACGGAAGTAAGGAATAAAGGAATGTGGACTAGAAAATACTGATCTAACCTAATACTTTTATTGTCCATACAAGAGATGAGGAGATTAAGATTCAGAGAAGGAAATAATTTTTCCAACAGTCACATTACAAAGAAGCAGGAGAAATAGAACTTGAACAAGCATTTTTTTTTTCATTTAACTTTCAGGCTAGTTTTTTTTTTTTATTCTAGAGTCATGGGTATATGCAAGTGTGTATCTGCAATTTTTGAAAAACCATCTAGTTTACTTGGGGTCTTCTTTAGCTACCTTTGAGACTCTAGGTTTTAGAATAAGGTAAAGCAGAAAGAGCTTCTCTTGAAGATATAAAATATAGATGCTACTTTTTATATCTGGTACCAATAAATGGTACAGATCTTTACTTCATGTCTTTTTGCTTTAGTTTTATTACCTATGATGGGAAAGGCTAGGCTTGCTGGTTTCTAGCTCTGATATTACATTATTTTAGTGTTTTAGATCTATCCCAGAATTTTCTGGACGTCTATGCAATATTTAAAATAAGGAAGGCCCAGTGGTTTTAGGATTAGGACAAGTTTACAGTATCTACATAGTAATGATTTGATAACCCTTTATTTAAGCAGTGAACAAACTATTCATTGGACACACGTAATGTGCTAGGCACTGTAACAGAGGAGGGGACAGAAATGATCAAGGTAGACAGCACATTTCTTTTCCTCATGTCAGTCTTTCTATATTTTCTTCATCATACCCTAGAAAATCATCTGAACCATAAATGCCCACCACACTTCAAATATAGTGTTCATCTGGGAATTACCGCATTAGAACTTCATTCCTCTTTATCTTGCTATGCGGCTCAACCCTGCTAAAATGTAAATAGCCCTGCTGAGGTTGAGGACAAGAGAACTCTCCACAATCATTTTTGGAATTCAGATTCCACAGAACCAGCCTTGTCTAGTCACTTGGAATGGGAGAAAGATCATATATATTGCAGGTATATCTTTTCTTTTCTTTTTTTTTGAGATGAAGTCTCACTGTGTCTCCCAGGCTGGAGTGCAGTGGCACAATCTCGGCTCACTGCAACCTCCCCCTCCTGAGTTCAAGAGATTCTCCTGCCTCAGCCTCCTGAGTAGCTGGGATTACAGTGCCCAACACCACACCTGATTAATTTTTACATATTCTTTTAGTAGAGATGGGGTTTCACCATGTTGGCCAGGCTGGTCTCAAATTCCTGACCTCAAGCGATCTGCACTCCTCAGCCTCCCAAAATGCTGGGATTACAGGCATCAGCCACCATGCTCGGCCATTGCAGTTATATCAATAACATAGTCCTATTGTAACCAGTGGAGGGTGTCCAGGTTCTTAGCATTTTGAACAAAGAATTAGACAAAATGCATAAACAAAGCAATAAAAGAAAATTACAGATTGTTGAAATGAAAGTACACTCCACAGAGTGGGAGCTGGTTAAAGTAAGTGGCTCAAGAGCGATGGTTACAGAATTTTCTGGGATTTAAATACCCTCTAGAGGTTTCCCATTGGTTACTTGGTTTATACCCTATGTAAGTGAAGAGGATGAAGTGAAATTACAAAGTTATTGATTTGGTGTATACCCTATGCAAAAGAAGAGGATGTTTCCTGACATAGCTGAAGTCAAGTTACAAAGTTATTGACTTGGATATAGAAAGTTGGGGTTTCTATTTGATTTAGTTCTAGGAAGTCCTTAGATTCCCTGACTCCAGACCCTATTCTCCTGCCTCATTTCCCCCCTGAGAGACATGATCCCCATAAACCTTTATGGGAGGCAGAGGAACCAAGGGTCTTTCTTCTGTAACTGCTTCATGCTGACTTCGGGAGCAGTCCCTACATATTGGGGATCACAGTACTCTCATCCTGCTCTGTCTGGTGGGGACAGGGTAGCTTCTTGATGGCTGGTGGTGTCTTCACCTGGAACTGTGTGGAAACCTTCTCACATGATCATCTAAAGCTTAATGGTCTCTAGGCGAGAGGAAAAGAATTTGCTTAAAATATTTAACAAACGGCCGGGCGCGATGGCTTATGTCTGTAATCCCAGCACTTTGGGAGGCCGAGGCGGGCAGATCACGAGGTCAGGAGATCAAGACCATCCTGGCTAACATGGTGAAACCCCGTCTCTACTAAAAATACAATAAATTGGCCAGGCGTGGTGGCAGGTGCCTGTAGTCCCAGCTACTCGGGAGGCTGAGGCAGGAGAATGGCATGAACCCAGGAGGCAGTTAGAAGATCTAGTCTCCTTCTATTTTGCAAAGCAATCACTGCCAAGGGGTTTATTTGTTTTCATAATGTTACAATACTCTGGGCAATGTCATTCAAGCTTTCCATAAAACCCTTGGACAACCATTGGTAGTAGGATAGGGAAGTTGCAATCCCGCTAACTTCCAATCCTACTCCTGCTGTTATTAGTAGCCCTACAAAAAGGGGTATGAGTTGGATGGCTCATTTGTATCTGGTGGTTGCAGTTAAAGGTATAATAAGGAGTTGGTTGTTGGGAGCTATATTAATTTTGAGACATATAATAGTTCTGTCTCCAGTCCACCAGTTCCACCAAAGACAAATCACAGCAGAACCAATCTACCTGCAAAATAAGCTTCAGTCCCATATACTTGTCCTGATTACCCAGACAAAGTGCAACAAGAATCGTTGTGCATATAGTCTCTTCTAAACTGGCTTTCTTGGAACATCTCACAAGACCATGTCAGTCAAAGCCCTGAGAAAATAACCAGTTCCTTCAACTGTGTTACATTACAAAAGAAAACATGTGGTTATTTACTCTATGCAAACAAACCCATTGCCATGAATTAATGATATTCACAAATAGTTTACAAATTCTGGAGAAATTAGTCAGAGAGAGGGAAATGACTCAAATTCTGTTTAAAAAAGCATACTCAATACACTTAAAGTATATTTCAAGGCTATAAATAACTCAAAAGAAAAAGATTCTCCAGACTTTAGACACAAAACAAAAAGAATTGCAATATTTGGAACAACAAAAGCCATAAAAATAATTTCTGTCTTTCATTAGTTCAGTCCATGCAATCAACTCCTACTCTACTTCATGTTAGGTTAGCAATCTTTATGAACACACAGCCTTTCAATTGGTACCCTGGAAGTTTTCTCTCTAATTCAACGACACAATCTCCAAAGTTATCAGAAACTTGTATTCAAGAGTCCTTTCATGATTTCCTCCAGAGAAGCAAGCATTGGACTGCTTATTATAAGTCACATTTATTGAGAAGGATCAAAGCAAAACATCAATGATGGATGACAAAAGTCTTAAGACAGCCACAGATAAAAGACATAGTTGACAAGGAAATGTGGTATACAACAATATATGATTATTTTTTATTGTTACTGACAACCTATATTAAGACATATCAGAATTTTAGGAATCTCATATAATCCTGGAACACATATTAATAATACATCTATATAAATATAACTCAAAGGAAATGAAATACATCTCAGATTTGATAATGCTTCCTGTATAATTCTAACATTACAAATAAGTCTAATAAGCCCAACATGTCTCTCTTGAACTTCAGGAAACTTAAGATCCAAAAAATTTGAGGTCAAAAGACTGAATTTAAAACTCGAAAATTTGCTGTTGGAAAGTCTGTCAGATTTCAAAGGTCTCACTGACACTCAATATCACAAAACAAGATCACAAGTTACTATAAAATTGCCATTCAGATAGCCAAAATTATAATACAAAAACATTTACTCTTCCATAGAAAGGAAACACAGTTTCCCAAACAGTAAGACCTAATACTTAAGACAGCATGAGGCCAACTAAATCTGTCTCTTTCCCCTCCATTTTCTCCCTGCAGTTCACTCAAGAGGTAAACAAAATCTTTTATCTCTTAATATTTGAACAAACACTTTGTTCAAAAGTGAAAACCAAGATTTTACCTTTGTGTGGTGCATTACTAATGTTAAAACTAATTTTAATAAAACCTTATAAACAAATCTAATTTTAATCAGTTTGACCATAAGGCAAGATTTCCATAATTTTTTATCACCTTTTTCAATTTTCTATTAAACATCAGATCAATGCTCCAAGAAAGCCCTGTTATTGTAACACATGGGCCCAGATTCTGGTCTTTCATTAGTGTCCTTTTTATATTAATGTTTAATTATAGAAAATCTTTGAACTAATCTAGTCCATCAGATGGGCCCTTACAATCTCACAGGCCCACCTCTTCCATGATAGTCCTGGGGCCTAGAGGGATTGAATAGTTTAATTTCTAGTCTTGTGTTTCACAAAAGCAGTTCATTTTGATGGCGCTCTTCTCCTGAGTCTGATGATGATGCTTCAACTGGTGTTAATGTTCATAATTTAGCAGGGGTTATTGCCTTTTTCCAACCCAGGAGTCAAAGCCCTGTAACTTACCAGCACAAGCAGTAGTTAATAAGATATTTGTACTACAGAAAGTCTGATTATTCTCTTTAACATGTTACAAATTAAAACACTGTGATTTGGTGTTTAGGAGTTACTGCCTGTGGTACTTCAAACCATTGTATTAAAGTAGGTTACTCATTGCATATATCTAATTGCTAGCATTCTAGTGACAGAACTGTGACCAAAAACATCAAAAGTGTCATAGGTCCTATGCCAAACATATCAAAGTAAGACAACTAACTTTTCTCTCCATCATTAAAAGATGGTAAATGCAAATACTAGTATAAGGATAAAAAATCTCCTTTCACTTAAATGCTATACAACCAAACAAGAATGAAGTGAAAACAAACACAAAATAATTTCTTTTCAGCTATTTTAAAAGGGCATTATCACATATTTCCAAGATTGGCTTCTAGATAGAGCACTGACATCTAATTAGCTAACTTTCACCACCCAAATCTTCAAACCAGTCTAACACTTGCATATGTTTTGTTTTCAAGCACACACATCAAGGCCCATCAGTAGTAAATGGCTTGGGATAAAAAAAAATCACTAGGAAGTCTCATATTTTTATTGCTACTTAGTCCAATTGAGTGTCACTTAATTTTAATAATGGTGAATACAACTAGATTAGTTTGAGAGAAATCCCAATCAATATAATTTCTCTAATGACAAGGCCAATCTTTTTTGAATATTAAAACTTTGTAGCCATATCATAGTATTTCTTCATTACCTAAAGGGAAAGATGTGAAACCTACTCAAATTATTAATTGAATTGAATTACCTTGGAAATAAACATCATTTAAACATTTTTATTCTCACCTACTTTTTCAAATAATAAATAATGTACAATTTCTGTTCAGAACTTATTTAAAAATCTTTTATGTAATTTTCTTTTGCCAGGAGCATTAAAGCTCTCATAGCTCTCTAGATCATCAGAGGCCAGTAAAACCAAGTAAATTCTAAATGGCTGTTGTGCTCTGTCAATTCCTACAGGCCCAACAAATATAGCCTAGGAATTCCAGATAAAGAGAACAATTGATGACTTGCGAGAAATGCACAGGAAACAAAATAACTGTTCACAGAACAAAATAAAAACCTTCCCCCAGAAACTAAAAAAAAGCCACAATGGTTTTATATATATGAATACACAAGCCAACCCAAAGGAGAAAAAAACAGCAAACAAATGAAAATTTAGAAGCAAAAACAAATAAACAGAAAACCAACCCTAAATTTTTCCTACTCAGTTTATGTTGGAGGTTAACATGTTGCCTAGAGCCTAAAAAGCCTATAGAATGAATATTTTATTCCTGATACACAATTTAATATCTTTAAGTCTACCAATATCACAATAAATCCTGTGAAATCAAGATATTCACTCTAGGTACATGATCAGTAAATACTCCAGTGCCAGCAATATCCATGCAAAACAGTAAACATCATATGAAGCAATGCAAGCAGATATGTGAAATTTGGCTCTACACTAAATCTGGCTTCATGCTTATCTGCACTGAAAAAGAATCACCAAACTGCCAATGCATTTCTTTACAATATTTCTTATTTTACTTTAATCAAGACTAAGAGTTTTAAATATGAGAATGTTAATTAGCCAAATTTCTACAAATCCTTATCATGTTTTAAATAATATTTTATTATCTAAACTTTTTCAGCTTTCTAGTTTCACTCTATCTGCATGAAGATAGACACACAGAGAAACAAAAAAATTATATATGACTTACACAGACCATCCATGACATGCCTGGGCTTTCTGTTCAGTCCCAGATTTTCTTCTTCTTCTTTAGATAACCAGTCATTTTACTCTAGGCCAAAAAAATTTACCATACAAGATCCTTTCTCATAAAAATTATTACATTTTCTTTATAACCTTCCTTACCAAAAATACATCTTTGTAAGCATAACTGTCTTCCTATCTCTTTGACCTACTTACAGATTTCTTACTACCTTGTGTCATAAGTAACTTTTTCAAATATGTAAATTGAACTAACTTTTAATTTTTATTATTTTTCCCATTAATAGCACATCTTTTGGCACATTTTATGTATAGAATTATATATTAACTATAATTCTTGTCCTTAGTAGCCTTAACTTTTAGTGAAACCCTTAAAAGCAAGAAATCTTGAACTGTCAGATATGAGCATTTTATAGATAAAAACAATTCCACAATTTTTAGAAACATATTTCCCCATATCACAACCCTTTCATAATTGGAAGTGATCCAGATATTCAATGAGCATCAAAAATAATTTTCAGATTTTAAATTACACAAAAAGTTTACCTAAAACATTTATCCTATTTATAGGTACTCAATTATTTCATTTTTAACAGTTTATTTAGGTTACTTCTGAAAACTGAGGTGTTAGACACCATCATTTAAACTCAGACATTTCCTTGTTAACCATTTTATAATCTATGGATATCAAGTGTTCACTGAAATAAGAACCTTAAAGTGAATTACACAGACATTTTCACCAATAACAGAGAAGACTCAGCTGTTTTATTTTGTATTATGTTATTGTTTTAAGTTCTGGTGTACATGTGCAGGTTTGTTACATAGGTAAATATGTGCCACGGTGGTTTGCTGCCACCTATCAACCCATCACCTATGTATTAAGCCCAGTATGTATTAGCTATTTTCCCTAATGCTATCATCATCTGTGTCCTCCCCTGACAGGCCCCAGTGTGTGTTGTTCCCCTCCCCATGTTCGTGTGTTCTTATTGTTCAGCTTCCACTTATAAGTGAGAATATGCAGTGTTTGAGTTTTTGTTCCTGCATTAGTTTACTGAGGATAATGGCTTCTAGCTTTATCCATGTACCTGCAATGGACACGATCTCCTTTTGTTTATGGCTGCATAGTATTCCATGGTGTATATGTACCACATTTTCTTTATTCAGTCTATCATTGATGGGCATTTGGGTTGACTCCATGTTTTTGCTATTGTGAATAGTGCTGCATAAACATACACATGCATGTGTCTTTATAGTAGAAGTATTTATATTTCTTTGGACATATACCCACTAATAGGATTGCTGGGTCAAATGATATTTCTGGTTCTAAATCTTTGAGGAATCACCACATTGTCTTCCACAAAGGTTGAACATTACATTAAATTCCCACCAAATGTGTGTAAAAGCATTCCCACTTCTCCACAATTTAACTGGCATCTGTTG
This sequence comes from Homo sapiens, assembly GCF_000001405.40. Taxonomy (NCBI): domain Eukaryota; kingdom Metazoa; phylum Chordata; class Mammalia; order Primates; family Hominidae; genus Homo; species Homo sapiens. Next base: position 59,239,052 of record NC_000011.10, on the reverse strand, counting down.
TTTCTTGACTTTTTAATAATCGCCATTCTGACTGATGTGAGAAGGGTGGTTTTGATTTGCATTTGATAATCAATGATAAGCTTTTTTCATATATTTGTTGGCCACATATATGTCTTCTTTTGAGAAGTGTCTGTTCATGTCCTTTGTCAACTTTTTAATGGGGTTGTTTGTTTTCTTGTAAATTTGCTTAAGTTCCTTGTAGACTCCGGATATTAGACCTTTGTCAGATGTATAGATTGCACAATTTTTCTCTCATTCTGTAGGTTTTCTGTTCACTCTGATGGTAGTTTCTTTTGCTGTGCAGAAGTTCTTTAGTTTAATTAGATCCCATTTGTCACTTTTTGCTTTTGTTGCTATTGCTTTTGGCAATTTCATCATAAAATCTTTCCCCATGCCTATGTCTTGAATTGCATTGCCTAGATTTTCTTCTAGAGTTTTTATAGTTTTGGGTTTTACTTTTAAGTCTTTAATCCAACTCGAGTCAATTTTTGTATAATGTGTAAAGAAGGAGTCCAGTTTCAATTTTCTGCATATGGCTAGCCAGTTTTCTCAGCAACATTTGCTAAATAGGGAATCATTTCCCCATTGCTTGTTTTTGTCAGGTTTATCAAAGATCAGATGGTTGTAGATGTGTGGGTTTATTTCTGAGTTCTCTATTTTGTTCCATTGGTCTATGTGCCTGTTTTTGTACCATTATCCTGTTGTTTTGTTTACTGTAGCCTTGTAGTATAGTTTAAAGTCAGGTAGCATGATGCCTCCAGATTTGTTCTTTTTGCTAAGGATTGTCCTGGCTATACGAGATGTTTTTTGGTTCCATATGAATTTTAAAATAGTTTTATTTTCTAATTCCATGAAGAATGTCAATGACAGTTAAATGGGAATAGCATTGTATCTGTAAATTTCTTTGGGCAGTATGGCCATTTACATGATATTGATTCCTTCTATCCATGAACATGGAATGTTTTTCCATCTGCTTGTGCCCTCTCTGGTTTCCTTGAGAAGTGGTTTGTAGTTCTCCTTGAAGAGGTCCTTTACTTCCTTTGTTAGCTGTATTCCTAGGTATTTTATTCTCTTTGTGGCAATTGTGAGTGGGAGTTCATTCATGATTTGGCTCTCTGCTTGTCTGTTGTTGGTGTATAGGAATGCTTGTGATTTTTGTACATTGATTTTGTATCCTGAGACTTTGCTGAAGTTGCTTATCAGTTTAAGAAGCTTTTGGGCTGAGTCAATTCAGTTTTCTAGATATAGGATCATGTCATCTGCAAACAGAGACAATTTGACTTCCTCTCTTCCTATTTTAATAACCTTTATTTCTTTCTATTGCCTGGTTGCCCTGGCCAGAACTTCTAATACTATGTTGAATAAGAGTGGTGAGAGAGGGCATCCTTGTCTTATGCAGTTTTCAAGGGGAATGCTTCTAGCTTTTGCCCATTCAGTATGATACTGGGTGTGGATTTGTCATAAATGGCTCTTATTATTTTGAGGTATGTTCTTTCAATACCTAGTTTATTGAAAGTTTTTAACATGAAGGGATGTTGAATTTTATAGAAGGCCTTCACTGCATCTATTGATATAATCATGTGATTTTTGTCTTTAGTTTTATTTATGTGATTAATTACATTTATTGATTTGTGTATGTTGAACCAGCCTTGCATCCTGGTGATCAAGCTGACTTGATTGTGGTGGATAAGCTTTTTGATGTGCTGCTGGATTCGGTTTGCCAGTATTTTATTGAGGATTTTTGTGTCAATGTTCATCAGGGATATTGGCCTGAAGTTTTCTTTTTTTGTTGCATCTCTGGTAGGTTTTAGTATCAGGATGATGCTGGCCTTATAAAATGAGTTATTGAGGAGTCCCTTCTTTTCAATTGTTTGGAATAGTTTCAGAAGAAATGGTACCACCTCCTCTTTGTACCTCTTATATAATTCAGCTATAAATCTATCTGGACCTGTGCTTTTTTCTTTTTTTTCGATTGGTAGGCTATTCATTACTGCTTCCATTTCAGAACTTGTGATTGGTTTATTCAGGGGTTCAACTTCTTACTGGTTCAGTCTTGGGAAGGTGTACATGTTTGGGAATTTATCCATTTCTTCTATTTTTTTAGTTTATTTTGCATAGAGGTTTTCATAGTATTCTCTGATGATGGTTTGTATTTCTGTGGGTCATTGGTGGTATCCCCCTTATCATTTCTGATTGTTTGTTTGAGTCTTCTCTCTTCTTTATTAGTCTAGCTAGAAGTCTATCTATTTCATTGATTTTTTTCAAAAAACCAGCTCCTGGATTTGTTAATTTTTTGAAGGGTTTTTCATGTCTCTGTCTCCTTCAGTTTGCTCTGAGGTGGTTATTTCTTGTCTTCTTCTAGCTCTGGAGTTTATTTGCTCTTGGTTCTCTAGTTCTTTTAGTTATGATGTTAGGGTGTTGATCTGAAATCTTTCTAGCTTTTTGATGTGGGCATTTAGTGATCTAAATTTGCCTCTTAACACTGCTTTAGCTGCATCCCAGAGATTCTGGTACATTGTCTCTTTGTTCTCATTAGTTTCAAAGTACTTCTTGATTTCTGCCTTAATTTCATTATTTATCCAGAAGTCATTCAAGAGCAGATTCAATTTCTATATAGTTGTTTGGTTTTGAGAGGGTTTCTTAATCTTGAGTTCTAATTTGATTGTACTGTGGTCTGAGAGACTGTTTCTTATGATTTCAGCTCTCTTGCCTTTGCTGAGGAGTATTTTACTTCCAATCATGTGATCACTTTTAGATTAAGTGCCATGTGGCACCAAGAAAAATGTATATTCTGTTGTTTTGGTGTGGAGAGTTCTGTAGCAATCTATCAGGTCCACTTGTCCAGAGCTGAATTTAAATCCTGAATATCTTTGCTAATTTTCTGTCTTGATAATCTGTCTAATACTGACAATGGAGTATTAAAGTCTCCACTATTATTGTGTGGGGGTCTAAGTCTCTTTTCAGTTCTTTAAGAACTTGTTTTATGGATCTGGGTGCTCCTGTATTGAGTGCATATATATTTAGGATAGTTAGCTTTTCTTGTTGAATTGAACACTTTACCATTATGTAATGCCCTTCTGTGTCTTTTTTGACCTTTGTTGGTTTAAAGCCTATTTTGTCAGGAACTAGGATTGCAACTCCTGCTTTTTTCTGCTTTCCATTTGCTTGGTAAATTTTCCTCCATTCCTTTATTTTTAGCCTATGTGTGTCTTTGTACAAGATATGTGTCTCTTGAATACAGCACACCAATGGGTTTTGCCTTTTTATCCATCTTGCCATTCTGTGTCTTTTAATTGGGGCATTTAGCCCATTTACATTTAAAATTAGTGCTTTTATGTGCAAAGTTGATGTTGTCCTCATGATGCTTGCTGGTAAATTTTGTAGACTTGTTAATGCAGTTGCTTCATAGTTTCATTGGTCTGTGTACTTCAGTATCTTTTTGTAGTGGCTGGTATTTTTCCCCCTGCCAACCATGTTTAGTGCTTCATCCAGGAGCTCTTGCAAGGCAAGCCTGGTGGTGATGAAATCCCTCAGCATTTACTTGTCTAAAAATGATTTTATTTCTTTTTCACTTTTGAAGCTTAGTTTGGTCAAATGTGAAATTCCAGGTTGAAAATTATTTTCTTTAAGAATGTTGAATGGCCCACAATTTCTTCTGGCTTGTGGGTTTCTGCTGAGAGGTCTGCTGTTAGTCTGATGGGCTTCCCTTTCTAAGTGAAGCCTTTCTGTCTGGCTGCCCTTAACATTTTTTTCTTCATTTTGACCTTGGATAATCTGAAGATTATGTGTCTTGGGGTTGATCTTCTTGTGGAGTATCTTATTGGGGTTCTCTGGATTTCCTGAATTTGAATGTTGGTCTGTCTTGCTAGGTTGGGGAAGTGCATTTTCCAATTTGGTTCCATTCTCCCCATTTCTTTTAGGTATTCAGGTATTCCAATCAGTCACAGGTTTGGTCTTTTTATGTAGTCTTATAGTTCTCACATGTTTTGTTATATCCTGTTTATTTTTTTTTCTCTAATCTTGTCTGACTGCCTTATTTCAGCAAGATAGTCCTCAAGATCTGTTATTCTTTCTTCCACTTGGTTGATTTGGTTGTTGATACTTGTGTTTGCATCATGAAGTTCTCTTGCTGTGTTTTTTTTTTTTTTTAGCTCCATCAGGTTGTTTACGTTCCTCTGTAAACTGATCATTCTAGATAACAGCTCCTGTAATGTTTTATCATGGCTGTTCTTTGCATTGGGTTAGAACATAATCCTTTATCTCAGCAAAGTTTGTTATTACCCACTTTCTGGCACCTGCTTCTGTCAGTTCATCCATCTCAGCTTCAGCCTCATTCACTTGCTCCAAATTCAGGAATCATTTGGAGGAGAAGAGGCATTCTGCCTTTTGGAATTTTCAGGAATTTTGCATAGGTTTTTCCTCACCTTCATGGATTTATCTACCTTTGATCTTTGAGGCTGTTGATCTTTGTATGGGGTTTTGTGGGGTCTTTTTTGTTGATGTTGTTGTTGTTGCTTTATGTTAGTTTGTTTTTCTTGTAACAGTCAGGCCCCTTTTCTGCAGGTCTGCTGCAGTGTGCTGGGGGTGCACTGCAGACTGTGTTCACCTGAGTATCACCAGTGGAAGCTGCAAAACAGTAAAAATTCCTGCCTTTTCCTTTTTCTGGAAGCTTTATCCCAGTGGGGCACCAACCTGATGCCAGCCAGAACCCTCCTGGATGACGTTTCTGGTGACCCCTGTTGGGAGGTCTCACCCAGTCAGGAGGCACGGGATCAGAGCCCTGCTTATGGAAGCAGACTGGCTGTACCTTAGCAGAGTTGGTGCATGGTGCTGGGGGAATCCCCCTTGTCCAAATTACCCAGACTCTTCAGAGCCAGCAGGCAGGAAAGATTAAGTCTGCTGAACCTGAGACTGTGGCTGTCCCTTCCCCCAGGTTCTCTGTCCCAGGGAGATGTGAGCTCTGTCTGTAAACCCCTGGATGGAGTTGCTGGAATTCCTGTAGGGAGGCCCTGCTTGGTAAGGAAGGATGGATCCAGGTCCCACCTAAAGAAGCAGCCAGGCCACGATCTGTCACAGCCACTGTGCTGTGCTGTGGGGTGTACCACCCAGTCCAGACCACCCAGTGTTCCTAGCACTGATAGGGGAAAACTGCCTGTCATGGCAGTCACCCTTCACCCCAGGAACTCAGTCATCTTAGGCAGACTCCAGGCTGCTGTGCTGGCCAGCAAAAATTCCAAACCAATGGGTCTTAGCTTGCAGGGTTCCATGGGAGTGGGACCTGCTGAGTGAGGCCATTTGGCTCCCTGTCTTCAGCCTCCTTTCCACTGGAGTGGACAGTTCCCTGGCCTCACTGGAGTTCTGGGAACCACCAGAACATGTAAAAACTCCTGGAGCTCTGTGCCTGCCTGAACAGCCACCGACTGGAGCAGCTGCCATGGGTCTGCCCACTTTTGTGCTTGAGACCCAAGGTCATGGTGGTGTAGGCTCATGAGGGAATTTCCTGATCTGCAGCTTGCAAAAATCCATAGAAAAAGTGTAGTACCCCAGGCAGGTAGCACAGTCCCTCACTGCCTCCCTTGGCTTGGGGTGGGAGGTCCCTTTGCCCTGGGCAGCTTTCGGGTGAACCATCACCCCACCCTGCTTTTCCTTGCTCTCCATGGGTCGCACCAACTGCCTAATCAGTCACAATGAGAAGATCTAAGTACCTCAGTTGGAAATGCAGAAATAACTTGTCCTTTGCGTTTGTTTCAGTGGGAGCTGCAGACTGAAGCTGTTTCTACTCAGCCATCTTGGTCCCTCTCCCCTCAGGTGTTTTCATTAAACCAATAACATAATTAGTATTACTTATTAAAAAATCTGCACAAAGATCTTTTTGTTTCGGCTAGGTTTATAGTTTTATAACCTTCTATGCCAAACCCTGACACTTCAAAATATCTACAAAAGACAAATATAAAATCCAGACAAAAATGTATGCTGACAATTTTGAAGACATTTCTATTTTTAATTTACCAATAATTTTAAAGCCAGCTTGTTTAGTAAAGTTATACTTGTTATGTGAACTTGAAAACTGCGTGGACTTATTTACTTAATTTATGAGTGCTCTTTTACTTATAAGCCAATTTGGTAGACACAATGTATAACAGTAAGTACATACAAATAAACACATCTAGACATGTATACACACACACAAACGAAGATACAATAGCTTTTGCCTAGGTACTTTAGCCATGAGATAGTAATACAAGCTCACTGGTTTTACTTTCTTTGCCCAGTAGGTAATCCAATGAAGGCTGTGAACCAAAATCTTGGGTAAAGCAGTTTCCATGGCAGTTAGATTTTTAAAGGCCAAACCTCCTCAGACTTCAAAGAACATTGGGGACAAACAGCACCAAAGGAGAATATCACATACTAGCCAGGCCCGACCCTGCTTAGAACTGCAGCACAAAAGCCTGGGTACACGCAAGTCCAACCCACTTTCCCATTCAATAGCAAACTCCAGAATTCCCAACAATATTAGCGTCAAACCGTATTGCAAAAGAATATCAAGTTTACAAAATCCTAATTTCCCATGGCTATATCAAAGACATACAAACAATCACCAGAACACAATCCAACTGCTGCAGCAACAAATAAGCCCCATGAATGCCCAAACTGTCCCATTGTCATCTGCGAGAGAAAATTCTAAGGATGGCTTAATACTAGACCTCTGAACCTCTACCAAGGGCATCCCCTTTGGAGAGGATAAGGTCTGGAATAGGATCCCCTGGGAAGTCCCCCTTTGGGGTCCAATCTTAGAGTGTCAGATGTCTCTGACCTTAGGTGGGCCCTGGTGTCACTTTTTATGTTTTCCCTCCAGATGCAATGGCCTACTATGAGCTTTCCCTTTGTCCCTGGATGAAGGCCTTGACTTCTAGCATCCTTGTAATTTGATAAGGCCACACTTTCCCAGGCTTCCTATTCCACTTGAGTGCTGGCCATGAACTTTAATGATAGGAACTGGAGGCTGGAGAAAGGAGGTCAAAACACCTAAAAGACATTATCTTTTGCAGTTAAGGATTAACCTTATAGGAAATTTTAGCATAAGAAAAGAAGGTTTAAATCACTTGAAGTGTGTGTATTTGCCATGGAAGAGCTCCCAAGCTGCATTGCAGCTGCCGCTTGTGTCACACATAGCATTCAGGACTATAACCAGAAAGATAGAAGAGTCTTCCTTTTTCCAGGCAGGGCAGCTATAAAAAAAAGTGTTCCCATATATGGAGGAGAGAGGAAAAGGTAAAAAGAGAAGAAAAATAAATCCCAAACTTTGGGATTACCTCCTGGCTGGCTCCCCAAAATATGTTACCAGTGGAGGGTTCTTGGATATTTGAACAAATAATTGAACAAAACACACAAACAAAGCAATGAAAGAAAAGCACAGATTTATTGAAATGAAAGTACACTCCACAGAGCAGGAGCTGGCTCAGGCAAGTGGCTCAAGAGCACTGGTTAACAGAATTTTCAGGTTTTTTTTTCTTTTTTCTTTTTTTTTTTTTGACAGAGTCTCACTCTGTCGCCCAGGCTGGAGTGCATGGCATGATCTGGCTCACTGCAACCTCTGCCTCCCAGATTCAAGTGATTCTCCTGCCCCAGCTTCCCGAGTAGCTGGGACTACAGGTGCACGCCAATGTCTTTGAGCCCATTTTACATGATGGTTCTTGGGCAAAAGAGAAACATTTCTGAAGACCTGCATCTTTAATGGTTGTGTGTATAAACCATGTGAATAATCACAACCAACCCTAAATCACATCTGTTTTGGCCATAACTATTCTTCCTTAATTCCCTTGCAATTCATACTGTTCTCATTTGATCTCTTCTCTGACCCCTGGAATTACTGGCAGTTTGTGTAGGGGAGGGCTTAAGGCTTAGACCGAAGATTCTTTTGTAAGGCCCTTATTGATCTTTGACTCCTCCAGACTAGACTAAGTGTTACTGCAGTGTTTCTACATCCTCGAATTCATCTATCAGCATTTGTGAGATTTTGTTATTTTTCTTATTTTACTGTCTTCTTCCAGAGTTGTTAATATTGTTGTCTAAACTTCTCTGTATTCTTTCCCCAAAGCATAGAACATGGGTAGGTCAAACTATATGCTTAATAAATATTTTTTGGACAATGAATAAATACATCCAAATTCATTTGGTAGGAAATTTAGAGATTTTATTCCACAGTAAGGGAACTAACACTTATTAGATGCTTATATTATGTCAAGCATTGTGCCCAGCAGTTTTTTAAAGTTGGATTTCAATTCTATAACATATACACAGATTCCTTGTTTGAAAAAATTCATACACTAGCCGAGAAAATGCTTATTTGACCTTATTCTCAATTTCAATCTCTTTCTGTGCTCCCCAGTAGGTAATGACTGTTAAGAGTTGGTATGTAAATTTAGACTTTTTCTGCATATTCACATTCATATATATGTACCAATTGAAAATAAATAACACTATTTTATGCGGCTCTGTGTGTATTTACATAAATGTTATCATGCTGAGTGATCATTCCACACCTTGCTTTTTTTTCATTGAATGTTATTTCTTGGAGCTCCTTCTGTGTTAATAGATCTACCTCGGTCTTTTTAAATTGTTTCATAGAATTGATACACAAAATCTATGTACCTATTCCCCCATTGATGGATATTTAGGTAGTTTCCAGATTTTACCAATCTATTACAAACAGTAATTGAACATGCTGCTTTATGCTAATATGCAATTTTTTTCTTTCTTTCTTTTTTTTTTTTTAGACGGAGTCTAGCTCTTTTGCCCAGGCTGGAGTGCAGTGGCACAATCTCGGCTCATTGCAACCTCCGCCTCCCAGGTTCAAGTGATTCTTCTGCCTCAGCCTCCCGAGTAGCTGGGACTACAGGCATGCGCCACCGTGCCCGGCTAATTTCACCATATTGGCCAGGCTGGTCCCAAACTGCTGACCTTGTGATCCGCCTGCCTCGGCCTCTCAAAGTGCTGGAATTGCAGGCTTGAGCCATCGCGCCTAGCCCTAATATGCAATTTTTATGGTAGAAACTGAGAGGTTGAATTGCTGTTTCCAGGGAATGTCTAGCCATCTATATAACAGGGCACCTATCACGTTACACTTTTTGGAAGAATGATATTAATGTTATTCCCTTTGATGGGCTCTTTATATGTATCCCTTTAATCCTTGAAACAACACTGTTAGATTGGGTTATTTTCCTCTTTTACCTACAAAATACTACAGATGACAGAAAGGGTCCTTACATACACTATTTCTCTTTCAGTTCTCACAACCACACTATGAGATAGAAATTTTCATCATTTTTATGTGAGATAAGATATATAAGGCTGGAAAGGATGTGAAGTAAAATATACTCTGGCATACACTAATAAATTAAGAACATCTCAAGTGCATATTTACATGACACCAAGGTCATTCATTGAAAATACACATTTTCACTTGCATGCTTGGTACCACTCAGAGACAAAGAAGAAAATATTAAAGCAAATTCTTTCAAAAACTGCCTAAATATTTTCTCTAGTCAGGCAAGATGTAAGTTCAGAAAGAGAAAGGAGAACTGGCTTGCTTCTGCTAAATAGAATCAGTTTTAATAAGATCGCCACCTAAGTTATTTACCAAGAGTGATGAGCTGTATATAACATAGCATTATTCAAAAAGTAATGAATTTCTTTCTTTTTTTTTTTTTGAGGCGGAGTCTCGCTCTGTCGCCTAGGCTGGAGCGCAATGGCGCTATCTCAGCTCACTGCAAGCTCCACCTCCTGGGTTCACACCATTCTCCTGCCTTAGCCTCCCAAGCAGTTGGGACTACAGGCGCCCGCCACCACGCTCAGCTAATTTTTTTTGTGTGTTTTTAGTAGAGACGGGGTTTCACCATGTTAGCCAGGATGGTCTCGATCTCCTGACCTCGTGATCCGCCCGCCTCGGCCTCCCAAAGTGCTGGGATTACAGGCGTGAGCCACTGCGCCCCCGCCATGAATTTCTTAATGGAGAAATTTTGTAAATTTTTTTTCATAAATGACCGTAAAACAAGGGAGAAACCAAAATGTTAAAACATAAACAGAATTGAATTAATAATGAGTAAGTAATGCTTTCCAAAGTTAATGACAGCAAGGAGGCTCTATCCAGCTTACAGCCCCTGTCTACACTCAGCTAAAGGACTGACCAGCTGTGCTATAGGCTCTAGCAAAGGAAAACAGTCTTGAGTGTCCATGTACCAAGTATCAGGGGTTGGGGGAGCAGTTAATAAAGAGAGGGATGGATGTTTTAAAGTCTACCCCTGGATTAAGCCACGTAAGAAAAGACTGCCACACAACATTGCATCAGAATCCACAAAGAATGATTTATACTGAAAGACTCTAGAAGAAATAGACCCTCTGACAACTGTCTTCTTCACTACAATTTTCCTGTATTCATCCTATTAACAATCTGTACTGTATCATTGAACATGGAAACATAAACTCTTTCCACGTTGGCCACTAACAAGTTTTGAGTGAAATTTGTGGGACATCTGTAGCAAGAAGTTTAGTCACTCTGGGAGCACTTTTTTTTTTTTTTTTTGAGACGGAGTCTCGCACAGTTGCCTGGGCTGAAGTGCGGTGGCGCGATCTCGGCTCACTGCAAACTCCGCCTCCCAGGTTCAACCTATTCTCCTGCCTCAGCCTCCTAAGTAGCTGGAATTACAGTCGCCTGCCACCACACCCGGCTAATTTTTTGTATTTTTTAGTAGAGATGGGGTTTCACTACGTTGGCCAGGCTGGTCTCAAACCCCTGACCTCATGATCCATCCGCCTCGGCCTCCCAAAGTGCTGGGATTACAGGAGTGAGCCACCGCGTCCGGCCTTTTATTCTTATTCCTGGCTCTTCTCTGCATCTCTGTTTTTGCTTTTATCATTCTTTAATTTTTTTTTTTTGTTTTGAGATGGAGTCTCGCTCTGTCGCCCAGGCTGGAGTGCAGTGACGCCATTTCGGCTCACTGCAAGCTCCGCCTCCCAGGTTCATGCCATTCTCCTGCCTCAGCCTCCCGAGTAGCTGAGACTACAGGTGCCTGCCACCATACCTGGCTAATTTTTTTGTATTTTTAGTAGAGACGGGGTTTCACCGTGTTAGCCAGGATGTTCTGGATCTTCTGACCTCGTGATCCGCCCGCCTCGGCCTCCCAAAGTGCTGGGATTACAGGCCTGAGCCACTGAGCCTGGCCTAAATTTTTTATTTTGTATATTTTATATATCTTTGCAGGATGCTTGCTTAAATATTTTGGAGCAAAGTAGAATATAATAAAGTCCAAGATTTTGCTTTACACAGAAAGATGATGCATTAGAAAGAGAATGTGTCATGGTTCTTTTGGTAACAAATATCAGAAATGTCAATCCACTGCCACCAGAAGAAAAGAAATCATAAATGCCCACTTTAGAAAGTCCATTAGGATAGGAATTCGAAGAATTGTGCTTGGTTTCTTACTCAAATTGTGTGTCTTTTTAGATAAAGTAGACATCCCACTGTCTTCATGTATATAATGGAAATATTAATAGCTGTTCTTCCATCATATAAATTACCTGTACAAGTTTGAGTGAGGGTCAAACTAAATAATGTAAGTAAAATAAATTTTGTGAACTATGAAATCAGTGAAACTTCTAACACATGTAAAGTCAACCCTCAAGTGTGTTTTGAATCTCTCTACATTTTGTGGTTTCTTGGATCCAATTAAAATAAGAAGGAAAATCATTTTTTAAAAGAAACCACAGAACAGCATCATAACCTAATTTTTGGTAACTCATCCATGTAATGTGGAACTGCTCCCTTTCTATCAGGATTATGACTTTAGTACTTTTATTTATGATCATTTTAACAGAACCACAACTCCCTTTTTGTGACAAAGACTGCTAAAACTGCAGGGAAAGATAGACTGCTAAAAATCTGAAAACCTATGGGGATAACTCCTAATGAAGATGGTCTCTAATATCTGCTCAAAAATATTAAGTCCTTTAATCCATCCCTAAATCAAAGCATAAAATCAAATTGTAAGGGAGCAAATGAAGACCCTCTTCCCTTTATCAATTGCTCAATGGCAGTTTAAGAGATTTTGACAAACACTTTGACAAATACTTTTACCTTCAATGAAACCAACACATTCTCCTGCCTATAGAGATGTGGAGTAGAGTCAGGAATAAAACAATAAAACAATAGTAAAACACACATGTTGTTTTACTACTTTTCCATGTGCTGAGATATAAATATCATATCATACTATTGTTCTCACTGACAGTTTGCTGAGGAGGAGAATATACCAGGTGAGGGTGATTATTATTTGAAATGGAAAACTACATACAGTGATAGTCAAGAATACAGTATGGGCTCAATAAACAATGTGGAATGAGTTGGCAGGTCTTAGAGGACATTCCAGGCAGCTTTTCATATTTATTTTCACTGCCAAGTATTATCACTGTTATTTGTAAAGAATCACAGGAAATCCTACCATCCACCCTGCTGAGGGCACTAAAGGGCATACGTGTTTGAAGCTTTGACCATCGCCTTTCAATAATGATTGTGGTCAGCTGAAAAATAAGCCCTTCTCTCCCAAAGATGTCTACATTCTAACCCTCAGAACTTGTGAATGTGTTACCTTATGTTCTATAAAGGAGTTGGTCATGGGGGCGTGACGACAGAAGCAGAAGTTTGGAATGATACGGAGAAGGGGCCGTGAGCTAAGAATACAAAAGCTGAAAGAGGCAAGAAAACAGATTTTCCTCTGAAGCCTCCAGAGGGAATGCAGCTCTGAAGACACCTTAATTTTAGACTTCTGACCTCAAGCACACTGTTGTGTGTCAGACTTTTCTTACCTGGCTTAATCCAGTGGTAGACTTTAAAACATCCATCCCTCTCCTTATTAACTGCTCCCGCAATCCCTGATAGGTGGAAAATAAATTTGTGATAATTTGTTGAGACAGCCATAGGAACTTACTGCAATGATACACAAAATGACTCCAACCCACCCCCATGGAACATCCTGAGGGATCTTATAAAAGAGAAATTGTATCATTTTACTCTCCTGAATAAAACCTTTTATTAACTGATGAAGTCCCCAATTCTTATCATATACAATGCATGATAAAATCCACTCCTATACCTGTCTCTCCAGCCTCTGCTCAAACCACAGCCACCTCTGTAATCTGTAGTCACCCTAGACTTCCCAACATTATCTCCATTCTCTTTCAGTATGTCTCAGTCTCTGTCTCTCTATCTGTGATATGGTTTGGATATGTGTCTTTTCCAAATCTCCCTTCGAAATGGGATTCCCAATGTTGGAGGTAGGGCCTGGTGGGAGGTGACTGGATCATGGGGGCGAATCCCTCATGAATGGAAGAGCACCATCCCCTTGGTGATAAGTGAGTTCTTGCCCAGTTAGTTCACCTGAGAGCTGGTTGTTTGAAAGAGTTTGGGACATCCACCTTCTCTGTCTCTCTTGCTCCCACTCTCGCCATGCGATGTGTGATGCACCTGCTCCCCCTTTGCATTCTGCCATGATTCAAAGCTTCCTGAGTCCTCTCCAGGAGCAGATGCTGGTGCCGTGCTTTATATAAAGCCTGCAGAACTGTGAGCCAATTAAACCTATTTTCTTTACAAATTACCCAGCCTCAAGTGTTCCTTTATAGCAATTTAAAATGGATGAAAACAATCTGTTTCTGTCTCTGTCTCTGCCTTTCTATCTGTCTCTATGACTCACTCTGTCTCTCTATCTCTGTCTCCCTGTCTCTGTATCTCTATCCGTGGTCTATCTCTCTGTTTCTTTTCTCTCTCTCTGTTTCTGTTCTCTGTCTCTATGTCTATCTCTTTGTCTTTCTGTTTCTGTATATATCTCTGTCTCTATCTCTATATATCTGTCTATTTCTATCTCTGTCTCTGTCATTCCTCTCTGTTCTTCTATGTCTATCTTTGTCTCTGACTCTGTTTTTGTCTCTTCTTTCTCTGTCTCTCTCTCTTTGTGTCTGTTTCTGTTTCTCTCCATATCTCTGTCTGTCTCTCTCTCTCTCTGTTTCTCTGTCTCTGTCTCCACGTGTGGCTCTTTGTCTCTGAATCTCCATCTCCCTCTCCGTCTGTCTTGGAGGGCCATGCTGATCCCCAGGGCCACATTCACTTCCCTGCTACGTTCTCTCAGCATCTTGAACTTCCCTTTCACATAGTGCATCGTGTTCAATGTCTGTCCTTGAATGACTCTATAATCTTCATGACAAAGCAACTGGTGCCTGACTCAGTATTTGCTCAACAAATTTGGGGAGGAGTACATTATTAATTTGACTGTACCTCACAACATTTTTAGAGCTATCCATGATCTCTTAGTGACTGCTCTACCCACTCTCCTCTGTTTACAAGCAAATAACTGGAGCTCCCAGTGGGGAAAAAATTTGCTAATGTCTCACAGCTGGTTAATGAAAGCACTCTTTTCTGGCCCAGCAATCTTTCCACTTATCACACAACAGCTGGGTGTTGCTTGTTGACAACTTACCCAAGAGGAGGTGAAAGGTTCTAGAAGGAAGAATGCAGTACGGTCTGAAAACCCTTGCTCCACTGTTTGGCGACTCTGATTTCCTGTTTTCAAGGAAATCATGCTACTTCAGCTATCCCATGAATCCTGTGGCTTGGAAAACTTCTTCTCATCATAATTATCATGCCTCAAATGGAAGAAACCATAAGAGAATATACGGACTGGCAGTTTTCAAATTGTGTTCCAGGGATCCCAGGCCTGCTCTGAGAGGTGAGGAGGAAGTGAACTTCTGGGCTTTGGCGCCCTGCTTCCTGCTCAACCGAGGGAGCTCTTCTTTCATATGTTTTATATTTTTGGTTTCCATGTAAGCTTACATGGGAAAAGAAAGGCTCTACAGCTGAATAATGCTTATAATCCACAAATTTAATATAATCCTCTAATTTTGTAAGTGAGAAAATGAAAGCCCAGAGAAAGGAAGCAATTTGCAAGATGGTGGCAGAGCTAGGATTCACACCGACTGCTCCTGAATCCTCATGTCCTGACCATAATCTTTCCTCTCTATGAAGAATTCCTTCATATTATCTCACCCACCATGAAAGTAAAGGAGAAGAACATTGCAGAGATCTGGCTCTTGTTAACATCCCACTGCCAGTGAAGTTAGTCTCCAGACCTTTCTCCACCCTCAGACCTCAATTCTCTCTGTCTTTTTCTCTCCCCACTTCACTGATGCAATCACTAGCTGCTCTTTTGCCCTCTCCCGACTCTCAGGAAAAGTTGTGTTGTCATCACTTGGTGAAATAGCAGTTCTTCATCTTTATTCTAGCGGTTCAGGGAGAGGGAAGGCAGATTAATTACATTTGCAGCCTGAGCTCTCCCTATGGAAAGAAAGTTGTTACTTTCAGAAAAAAAGGGTTTTAGACTTCTGTGAAAGTATTATTTTATTCAGGGCAGGGGTGTGACAGCAGGAAAGTTTGTTTCCCACAGCCCTGAAACCACAATACATGCATGGCAACCTGTTACATCTAAGAAAAAGTTAACAATTACAAAATAATTATAACAAAAGAGAACTTGGCTGGGTGAGCTGATGCATGGAAACCCTGCCCTGCATATACTCAGGTATAGACACATTTCTTCAAACACAAAGATTCAAGCTCAAAACCAAGAAAGGGAAATACCTGAAGGCCAAAAAGAGAGAACTCAAAATCAGAGCAGTAAGTGGGAGTTGAAGCCCTGCAGCTAAGGAGCTTGTTGGGCCTTACGTAGACTTAATGGCAGAGTCTTGGGGCTTTAAGGGCTGTGGGTGGGGATCCAGGCTGCTGGTCCTGTGTACAATGTTCAAGGGGGTGATGGAACTGTCTTGGGAGTCAAGAAGGCTTATGACCACATAGGTGTGACGTTTTTGTTCACATTGTTCCCAAACCAAGAAATTACCATAAACACTGGTTCAGCATAAGGCCTCATATACTCAGCATATTCAGTATAAGTTTATTCAGTATATTGAATCTAAGTCCTCATATACTGATAGAGTAGGCCTCAGCAGAGGCAAAGCTAAAACTATCTTGGAGGGACAGTTCCATAAACCGGAGCAAACCAGCCTCCCACAGCAAACAACCCCAGTGGAAATGCAGCTCAAGACTCATAAGTTACAAACCACACAAGGAAGCAAGTCACAAAGGGGAAGTATCAGCAGAAACAAAACACGGAAAAATTTCCACACCATGACCTGGATTCAACAAGATATTCTTTTTTTTTTTCAAGTAAAACATCATGGTCATAATTTTGAAGAAGTTTGTTATCACTGGATTGCAGAATCACAGACTGTGTGTCATTCAGATGCTGGAGAGAATCTCAACAAGCTTTTTTATTTTACAGATGGGGAAACAGAGACTCAGAGAGGGGAAGTGACTTGTCTAAAGTCACCCTTAGGTTAGTGGGAGAATGAGGAATAGAATCAAAGTTACCAGGTTTCTAGCCCTGTGCTACTTTTTCTGTCCCATGAGGCCCTAATTTCTCAAGGTAAAAATTAAAAATCTAACTTGAAGAGAGGACCAGTAGAAAAGAGAGAAAGACCTATCAAGGATCTAGGAAAAGCTGGAGTGAGGACCCTAGTTCTAATTAGCAAAGCTCCTATTTGGCTCTCTAATAACTAGAAATTTTAAATAAATGCCTCCTGTCTTGTATTTGCATTATGCTGACCTGGTTCTCTTTCCTAGTTTTCCCCTACTTAGTCCTTCTCCTGCTGTTGGCATAATGAAAGTGTTATTACAATTGGGGCAAGTCAGGTTCTGTGAGAGTTTCTTCTTCCTTCCCAACCTTTGCCCCACCCAGCTTCTATATCTATGTAGGAGGGTTAGGAACAGGGAGAGGGGTAAGACCAGGTACCTTTAGGACAGACTCATTAGCTGCAGATATCAGGCAAAGATGGGAAGCAAGGTGGGTACGGAACTGGCTATGGGTTCAGCCTTGCAGGGCCAGAGCCTTGAAGACCAGATCAGATGTAAATAAGGCCAAAGCTTTTGGCATAGAGGAGCACTGTCTTTAGGCTTTGTAATTGATTCATTATGTAAGACATCAAGTTTACACCATCCCACGTTTGCCAAGGATATAACTTCAGACCAGAAAACCAATTCTTTTATAGTAAGAAACACAAATAGCACAAACTAGACCCAGGGTAACTGTTCAAAAATATTGTAGTAAATTCAAATAAAAATTTCATAATAACGTTACTTAAGCTTGAGTATTCCATCTCAATGAGTCATGGCCTGCTTTTCCAGGGAAATGTTTGAGAAATGCTGTCAGATTTGTCTGTTTTATTCACGTCTTTATTCATTCAATATAAGCAAACTATGTACCAAACATTGCTACATTCCAATAAGAGAATGATAAACCAATGACACAGTCCTCTGTCATTAAAGAGCTTACATTCACTGGAGGAGAGAGTCAAACAAAAAGTCAATTGAAATACAGAGTAATAACGCAAGGGGTGCTATTGGAGCATGTAAGAGGAAGATTCTGGTATTATTTAATGCCCTATCATTTAATAACGGTTTATTGGGAGGTGCAATCCAAGGGCAGCAAATGTGAGGGAGCAAGGGAGATAAGGTAGAGAAGGAGAGGAAGCAAATCTAGAGGGGTGTATTACTGAGCTGATCGCAACTCAGTGAAAAACACAGGTGGTTAATATCTTTAACCAGACCATACGTAACCACCAGGGCTCAGGACAGTCCGTTGGAGGAAGAAAGGAGAGGAAATTGTCTGCTAGATCTCTCCTGTATCTCAGCTCTAATTCATCAATGTTCACTGCCCTGTGGAATTAAGTCCTCTTAACTTCTGGGCTGTGCAGCACCTCTGGCCAGACACTGGAGAAGCCAGATGCCACACACAATGACTTGGTGCTTCAGTGGAGTCCAGATATGATGAGAGGAACCAGAATCTCTTTAAGGTCCTTCATGTTTAGGGTCTTCAGATAAAGTACAGGATGCTCAGTTAAAATTGAATTTTCGATAAACAATGAATAATTTTTTTATTCCCCAAGTATTGCATGAGACATATTTATACTAAAAAACATATTCACTGTTTATGTGAAATTCAAATTTAACTGGGTGCCCTGAATTTGTATTTGTTAAATCTAGCAACCCTACTCTTGCTGGACTTGCATAGGAACCACTGGGGAGGGGGAGACCATGCCAGAGCCCAGGCCTCTTCCTGGGAGAGAGGCAAGTGGTTTTGGAGGTGAGGGGATGGAGGACAACCTGGGAATCTACACAGAGGGAGTAGCCAAGGCTTGGGAAGCTGGTGCTGCTGATGGAATCTAGGGAGGCACATAAATTGTTATCTTACAACATAGGCCTATGGATTCAACAGTGGCTTCTAGGAAGAAATCATGTTTAAACTGAAATATGAGGACAAGCAGAAATTAGCTTGGAGAATTTAGGAAGTAGCCCAACCTAGATAAACAGCAGGCACTGCCCAGGTGCTACAGAGAGCACTTCAGGTTTGAGTCACTGCCCCCACCCCTCTTTTTACCTGCCCCTCAAAAGATAGCTCTTCAATTGAGGTTGCCTCTACAACCCTTCCTAATGCTCACTGCAAAATTTTCTTACATATTAAATTGTCCCTAAGTTTGTAAATATTTCCCACTTATGTTAGGTTGAAATTGAGGAAAGCCTCATAGCTCTCCCAGGAAATTGGGTGTCTCCTGCCTCACAGTTATCATGTAGGGCAGGACTCTTCTGGGTCATGTAGGACTTTTTCAGAAGAAAATCCACACTTTGAGGGATTGTGGAAGTATTGAAATATTTTCTTCTTGAAAGTTAACTGGTGCTTCTTCAAGCACATTAATTGCCCTATTCATCTTGATCTCTGACCTGAAAACCACTGAAATTCTCCAGTAACGAAAAAAAACTGACCCAACAGGAGGCCTCTGGGACCCTTGCATTGTGGTCCTCGTTCATTCCAATTAGTCAGTAAACAAGATAGATACAGTCACATCCTCACAGGACCTCTAGGCTCATGGCCATCTAAGGCTACCATCTTATTATGCTTGGATACAATATACAGCATCACTGCCAAGACAGTCGCAGCATAGAAGAAGAATGCGGTCAGCCACCAGAAGATCAAACAGATCATTTGGGATCAGTTGAAGCAGGAGTGTTTTAAGATCAGAACTGTCTTCACAGGAGCTAGGGAGCCCCCATGATCTGGATGCATCCAAGCAGAGGTTGGATGACCACTTTGTCAGACTTTATTGGAGGATGTTAAATCATTGGCTGGGAAGACAGGTCCTTTTTAAATATGAGATTCTATAATTCTATCATTCTAAATTGAGGGTCAGTAAACTACAGACTATAGGCCAAATCCAGCCTCAACTTATTTTTAAAAAGATTGATTGGAACACACTCATGCTCACTGATTTTCCTATCACCTACTTTTGTACTACAGTGGCAGAGCTAGGTAGTTACCACAGAGACCATTTGATTGCAAAGCCCAGAATATTTACTAGCTTCTCATTTATAGAAAAAAGTTTGGCAACCCCTTTGTAAAACACTCCTAAAATGAATTTTTTGATAAAGCAACCAACCAATCACTTCTCATTTACCTGTGTCATTAATCCAGATGCCATTGCAACCAGATTGTTTTTCTGAAAGATATTCATACCTTTGTTTAGGATATTAGTAAACAATAGTCAGGTGGTCTCTCTGAGTCAATATGACTTCTCATACTGTCAAATCCATAACTGGGGAGGAAAGTCAAGCTTCTGAGATGCTCTAACATGCCTTTCCCCCCACTCCCATCCTGAAGACTGTACAGCAAGCAAAGCTGAGAGCTGATATACATTGAGCTCCTGCCTGCACCACGTTGAGATTTACATGGATGATTGCAGTCAATCCTCTTAGCAACTTCATCTACTGTATAGAGGAAGCTCCTATTGTTTGTGTTTCACAGTTGGTAAGATGAGGGCTTAGGGAAACTCCAGGACTTGCACAAAGTCATCTATTGAGCCAGAATGTTGCCTGTATTTCAATTCTGAAACCTCTATTTTCCATCTATATTTGTCAGTCTAGCAGTTGAGATATTTGAGTGACTAGCAAAGCAAGAACAAAGTTGAGGGACTGAATAGACTCACAGTCCAGGCTTTGCTCTTAATCTCGTATTAAGATTATCAATAAATAGAAGAGGCAATGTGAACATTTCAATAGAGGACCCAAAGCTCCAAATTCTATATAATTCTGTGATAGAAGAATCACTTCACTTAAATTGCTTGTTTTCACCTTAACTTATTCATGGTGATTTCAGGCAGAAAGAAAAATGGTGGCAATTTTACTTTGCTTCTTCTCAAAGTTTATCTGAATATCCCATCGTAAAAGAAGAAAAGATTGAACGTGAGACTGGTTTTATGTTACCTAATAATGAAACAAACTTAGAAATATGAAGTCTGACAGCAGTTAATCCAGAGAGACCAAATGCAACTCCATCACTGCTTTTATTCATATCTTCCTTAAGAAGGAAGTTACATGAGAGGGAAGAAGTGGAGACTGGAGAAATGAGGACCTAAGAGAAATTCCACTGTGTTTCCAGTCCTGTGTGTGCAAAGCTCTTCATACTAAACTGTTTTCGGCTGAAGGATAATGCAAGAGGTACTTTTTATATTAGGCTAATGTTATTTGGGAGCCTGAAGGCAGATGGGCAGTGGAAGTAAGTTGGTCCTAATGCTCAATCTTTGTAGAGCGTAGCTTGGAGGATAGACGGAGAGGAAACAATGGCTCTCAGGGCTTACTCTGTCTCCTAGACTCTTCAAATGACCAATAACAGATGCTCAAGGAGTATTTATTTAATGGATTGATGAATTAGGCTTTCACTAGAATGTCCTAGAGAACTGTGTTGAGAATGATGTTGAGGCAACTTCAGGGCTCAGTGGAAATCAAGGGTATTACTGCTCAGTGATGTCTGCCATGACATGGAAGAGGAGTGTGGAAGCCTACAGGCCAAAAGGGCTAAGCTTTTGCCACATCAGGGTGTCCTTCTTCTTTTTCTTTTCTTTTGTTTTTCTTTTTCTTTTCTTGTCTCTTCTTTTCTTTTCCTTCCTTCCTTCCTTCCTTCCTTCCTTCCTTCCTTCCTTCCTTCCCTCCTTCCTTCCCTCCTTCCTTCCTTCCTTCCTGCTTTCTTGCTTTTTTTTTTCAGTGTCTCACTATGTTAGCCAGGCTGGCCTTGAACTCCTGGGCTCAAGGGATCCTCCTGCTTCAGCTTCTTGAATAGCTGAGACTACAGGCTCACACCCTCAAACCAGCTCCTCTTTAGTCCAGTGGAAGTACCACCTCAAATCACTGACATGTGTCCTCCAAATCTAAATTTGCAAACGCCAAAGAGAAAAAAAAGAGCAGAAGGGGAATAATTGATGATGAGAAAATGGATCAAGGAAAGTGGAAGAGAGAGGAAGAAAAAGAGTGCTAATAGAGAACAGAAATGAAATGGCTTAGGCCATCAAATTCTGGCCTAGCTTTTAATGGGAATATGCAACACTTCACATGGGCCTCCTGTTTTCACCCTCCAGATTAAAAGGAGTCATGAAATCACTATGTTCTTAGTTTTGTGGTCAGATCACCAAATGATCCTGGTGGAAAGAAGAGCCTCTGAGGGGAAGAAGCTGACAACGCAACTCTTAAAACGTCAGGCTAGGAATCAACTGTTCAGAAAGGAAAATACTGCCACTTTGTTCACTGATACTTTCCAGATTTTCCATAACAAAGTTTACTGCAAAGTCTTTAAAAGCCATAGTTCTCTGATCTACTTAGTAATTATTTAACCATCAGTTTTCACACTGGTTTCCTAGATTCCTGCTGAAAGGGAATTGTCCCAGCAAATGCAACTAGACTTTCCTCCCCATTTTAGACCACAGGTGAAATGCAGAAGTAGGAAACACCTGGATTAGTTCCAAGCCCACACAGAAGCGAACCTCAGATATGAATCACGGTTTGGCGCTGAATGAGATGGTGTCAGAAGGTTGCACGGGATCAAACAGAGAAAGAAAGCAGATGTGGGACTTCCTTCTTGCCTCTTTTTGGAGGAAGTGAAATCGCCGTTCAGCAACGCAGATGCAAAGTTTTTGTAGACAAGATGCCTCTTTCTTTTAGAGATCAGTGTTAGCCACAGGCCATTACTCCTCAAGTGTGGCCATCTGGGGAGGTTATGTGACTGCATATGCATTCCAGTACAAGAAAAAGCAAAGGAAATTTCTGGTGAACAGAATAAAACAGAAAAGTTGTGGGTAAAATGCACTGGTCACCACTTCCTCATATGTGACTGTTATGAGCAGTTCTTCTGCTCCTGGTATGTAAAATTAAGTTAAGCCAAATTTCCCATCATTTGCACTTCTCCTTTCACTGTTTCCCAGAGAACTGGAAAGAGAACTTCCTTGAGCACAGCAGTCACATAATCCATAGGCTTTGGGTCATTTCAGGAATATAAAAATTCCAGAACTAAGTTTTTTTGTTTGTTTGTTTGTTTGTGTTTTTGACAGTCTCACTCTGTCTCGCAGGCTGGAGTGCAGTGGCACGATCTCGGCTCACTGCAGCCTCGAACTCTTGGGTTCAAGCAATTCTCCTGCCTCAGCCTCCCAAGTAGCTGGGATTACAGTTGTGTGTCACCACTACATCTGGCTAATTTTTTTGTATTTTTAGTAGAGATGTGGTTTCTCCATGTTGGCCAGGCTGGTCTTGAACTCCCGGCCTCAAGTGATCCATCCACCTCGGATTCCCAAAGTGCTGGGATTACAGGCATGAGCCACCCTGCCTGGCCTGTTTCTTTTGTTTTTTTTTTACATGGTTGTGCATTGGTTATTTTCCTGAGCACAAAAGTGATGATTACCCAATACCCATCAGTGTTTGGTACTTAATAGGCTCTGAATACAAATTTCTCGAGTTAATAAATACATGCTCATTGTTGAAAACTCAAAAAACACAGAAAAGAGGAAAAAATTAAAATAATTTAGAAAAACCTCTCAACCAGATGTAATTACTGTCTATGCATTGGCGTACATCCCTCTAGTTATGTACATAGTTGGGGTCATGCTGAATGTTTATCATTCTTTTTTTTCATAACATTATTGTCAGAGATATTTGAACCAGAATAACTCCATCTCGAATAGGGGCTGGGTAAAAGAAGGCTGGGCTGCATTCCCAGAGGGTTAAGTATTCTAAGTCATGGGATGAGATAGAAGATTGGCATAAGATACAGATACAGATCACAAAGATCTTTCTGATAAAAGAGCATGCAGTAAAGAAGGCAGCCAAAACCCACCAAAACTAAGATGGCGACAAGAGTGAACTCTGGTCATCCTCATTGTTCATTATACACTAATTGTAGTGCATTCGCATGCTAAAAGATGTTTCCACCAGTGCCATGACTGCCAATTTCCAGAAGTTACCCTGTATAGTCTAAAAAGGAGAGGAACCCTTAGTTCTGGGAATTGCCCACCTCTTTCCCAGAAAACTCATGATTAATCCACCCCTTGTTTAGCATATAATTAAGAAATAATGATAAGTATCCTTAATCAAGCAGCACATACTTCTGCTCTGCCTATGGAGTAGCCATTCTTTTGTTTCTTTACTTCTCTAATAAACTTACTTTCACCTTACTCTGTGGACTTGCCCTGGTCCTTCTTGCACAAAGTCCAAGAACTCTCTCTTGAGGTCTGCATTGGGAACCCTTTCCAGTAACATTATGGCATAAGAATTTCTCATGTTATTAAAATAGTTTTAAATAATTGTGATGGCTATACAATATTTTGTCTTATGGGTACAATGTAATTTTACCGTTGTTGGCTCTTTCTGCTATTTTCAATTTTTTTTTCCTATGATAAAATGAAGACAAAGTCTATAGAATAAAAAATACAGTGACTAGACGTCTGGAGACATAGGAACACCTGAATATAGAATTGTCTGTATTAACCTTGCTTGTATTCTCATTTCAGGAGAGTGAGCTCTCAACAGGGTCTACTAAAGAGAAAGCAGAGGGTAACAAATTGTCAGCTTGTCTCCAAAGCAGTGTGAGAGTATTCTAATTTTGATGAACCATCCCAGAAATAGTTTGAAGAGAAGTATGTAGGTATTTCAACAGACTTATTGGAAGTACTCAAGGGCATTCAACTCTCATTTTTCTAATTCTGGGATCATGCTGCTGAGGTATAAATTTATGGCTAACTGATTTATAAATTAACTAGAACATCCTGTGCAAAGATTTGGTTCTTTAGCCAAATACAGACTAGGCACTGGTTCATAAATTAATCCCTCTTAGGTGGCTGGTGTCACTTCCCAGAAGCATGATAACTGTGGCACAAATAGAACCAGAATGGCCAGGTGTGGTGGTGCATGACTGCAGTCCCAGATTCCTGGGAAGCTGATGTGGGAGGATTGCTTGAATCCATGAGTTCTGGGCTGTAGTGTGCTATGCCAGTTGGGTGTCTGCACTAAGCTCAGCATCAATATGGTGGCCTCCTTGGAGCAAATCACCAGGTTGCCTAAGGAGGGCTAAACGGGTCCAGGTTGGAAATGGAGCAGGTCAAAACTCCTATGCTGATTAGTAGTGGGACCATGCCTGTGAATAGCTACTGCACTCAAGCCTGGGCAATAAGCAAGACCCTGTCTTGGAAAAAAAAATATACCCGGAATGCAGTATTTCTAGATTTATAGAACACCATCATGGTTTTGATAATAACTGGTGAAGCCCAGCCTGGGAAGCAAGATAACTAGCCTCATTCTTTCTAAAAACACTTCTTTGCTGCATTAATAACCAACAGAGGAATTCAACTCCTTGGAACCTTCCTTCCAGGATGCATACAGGTGATGGTGTAGTGATACCTGTGAATTGCAACATGACTTTTTCAGTCTCAGTACTGTATCTAGTTCATGGTATAATCTTGGGAATGTTAAGGATGCAACTGGGAGCTTCACTAAGTCCTCTGGATTCCCTGGCTACCACTAAGCATACTAAGACATAGCCTAATTGTCCCAAAGAATTAACAGAGTTGGGTTTCAATCAAACCTGTCACCATTGTTTTAAATTATGGGCTCTAATAGAGCTGGCATTGGAACTTGAAAAGAAACTCATGTAATTATATTCTTCTAATGATATAGCAAATGAATTTTTGCTTTTAGAAAAAATATTGGGTAGTGAAGAGCCACATTCTTTTTTATCCACCTAAACTGATTACACACACTTAGCAATGGAACAAAAAATTAAAGGTATAACAGGTACCAACTTCATACAAAATGCACACACACAGAGGATATATAAATGTGTGTACACATACACATATGTTCCTTGGCCCCTGTCTGCTGTTGATAAATCAAAATCTAGATAATAGTGTGGTTTTGTCTTGAACATTTCTATCTGAATGAAAACAACACAGTGTAGGAGTTCCTTGCCCTCGCTTTGAATGCTTAGGACAATGCAAATTGGGGTTTCCCAGCATATTGCAACCGAATCCTCTTCAGGCCCTGTCAGCTGTGCTCCAGACAATGCCATCCCCAAAGACAGAATTGCTATGGTTCATAACAGTGAAACCCACAGGACAAGTGTCCAAGAGTTTCACTCCTTTCTTTTGTGGAAACAGCCTCCACCCTCAGGCAAAGAGGAAACCCAGGGTTGGCCTTGACTAACAGCTTGCATAGGTATGGTGGAGCCAGGGTGTTTCAGTAAGGGTGGTGTGGTCATTTGCCTCTGCATTTATAGTAAAAGAAAACTGATAATGGAGTCCCAAGAGACAGCAGTCAGGGAAAATATGAAACATCAAGTCCAAGAGAATGAGCAAAAAGCAAAGCCAAACTTTCTGGTGGAGGAAGCAGTAGGGTGTGGGGTCGGGATTTTTTTCTAAGTGCACACCCCTGCAGCAGAGTAACCAGCCAGAGCTGGGGGAAAAATTAGGATAGCTACCTGTTAGGCATGTAGGGGTGTGTTTGCATGTTTAGTACGGCATAAATTCTTCAAAGACCTGATGGTCTTTAATATTCCAACCAACTCTCGTTTCCCCATTTTGTCATTAAATTAGCTTAAAGAGGAACTTGTAGCTTTTAGAGAACTCATGAGTTTTCCGCTTCATCATCTGCTTCTGTTTTCTCCATCTTAGTTTGCCCAAAGCTTGCTGGCCGCTGTGTAGGGCTGGTGAGTGGCTGGGGCTGTCTGAGCCATGAACAACTTCAGGGCCACCATCCTCTTCTGGGCAGCGGCAGCATGGGCTAAATCAGGCAAGCCTTCGGGAGAGATGGACGAAGTTGGAGTTCAAAAATGCAAGAATGCCTTGAAACTACCTGTCCTGGAAGTCCTACCTGGAGGGGGCTGGGACAATCTGCGGAATGTGGACATGGGACGAGTTATGGAATTGACTTACTCCAACTGCAGGACAACAGAGGATGGACAGTATATCATCCCTGATGAAATCTTCACCATTCCCCAGAAACAGAGCAACCTGGAGATGAACTCAGAAATCCTGGAATCCTGGGCAAATTACCAGAGTAGCACCTCCTACTCCATCAACACAGAACTCTCTCTTTTTTCCAAAGTCAATGGCAAGTTTTCCACTGAGTTCCAGAGGATGAAGACCCTCCAAGTGAAGGACCAAGCTATAACTACCCGAGTTCAGGTAAGAAACCTCGTCTACACAGTCAAAATCAACCCAACTTTAGAGCTAAGCTCAGGTTTTAGGAAGGAACTCCTTGACATCTCTGACCGTCTAGAGAACAACCAGACGAGGATGGCCACCTACCTGGCAGAACTCCTGGTGCTCAACTATGGCACCCACGTCACCACCAGTGTCGACGCTGGGGCTGCTCTTATTCAGGAGGACCACCTCAGGGCCTCCTTCCTCCAAGACAGCCAGAGCAGTCGTAGTGCCGTGACCGCCTCTGCTGGACTTGCCTTTCAAAACACCGTGAACTTCAAATTTGAGGAAAACTATACCTCGCAGAATGTCCTCACCAAGAGCTACCTCTCAAACCGAACCAACTCCAGGGTGCAGAGCATTGGAGGGGTTCCTTTTTACCCAGGCATCACCCTCCAGGCCTGGCAGCAGGGTATCACCAACCACCTGGTGGCCATCGACCGCTCTGGCCTGCCGCTGCATTTCTTCATCAACCCCAACATGCTACCTGACTTGCCAGGCCCCCTGGTGAAGAAGGTGTCAAAGACAGTGGAAACTGCTGTGAAGCGCTATTATACATTCAACACCTACCCTGGCTGCACAGATCTCAATTCTCCCAACTTCAATTTTCAGGCCAACACGGATGATGGCTCCTGCGAGGGGAAAATGACCAACTTCTCTTTCGGTGGGGTTTATCAGGAATGCACTCAGCTCTCAGGGAATAGGGATGTCCTCCTCTGCCAAAAGTTGGAGCAGAAGAATCCACTCACTGGTGATTTCTCCTGCCCCTCTGGCTACTCCCCGGTGCACCTGTTATCCCAGATCCACGAGGAGGGTTACAACCACCTGGAGTGTCATCGAAAGTGCACTCTCCTCGTCTTCTGCAAGACCGTGTGTGAAGATGTGTTCCAGGTGGCAAAAGCTGAATTTAGGGCTTTTTGGTGTGTGGCCAGCAGCCAAGTACCTGAAAACTCAGGACTGCTTTTTGGGGGCCTCTTCAGCAGCAAGAGCATAAACCCCATGACAAATGCACAGTCATGCCCAGCCGGCTACTTTCCACTGAGACTCTTTGAAAACCTCAAGGTATGTGTTTCTCAGGACTATGAGTTGGGAAGCAGGTTTGCGGTCCCCTTTGGCGGGTTCTTTAGCTGCACAGTTGGGAACCCCCTGGTAGATCCTGCTATATCCAGAGATTTAGGGGCACCGTCTCTGAAAAAGTGCCCCGGGGGCTTCAGCCAGCACCCAGCCCTCATCAGCGATGGATGCCAAGTGTCCTATTGCGTCAAATCCGGGCTCTTCACAGGAGGGTCCCTGCCCCCTGCCAGGCTCCCACCTTTCACCCGGCCACCCCTCATGAGTCAGGCTGCCACCAATACTGTCATAGTGACCAATTCTGAGAATGCGAGATCCTGGATTAAAGACTCCCAGACCCACCAGTGGAGGCTGGGAGAACCGATAGAGCTGCGGAGGGCCATGAATGTCATCCATGGGGATGGTGGTGGTCTGTCAGGAGGGGCTGCAGCTGGGGTCACAGTGGGGGTCACCACCATTCTGGCTGTTGTTATCACCTTGGCCATCTACGGCACCCGGAAGTTCAAGAAGAAAGCATATCAGGCAATTGAGGAAAGGCAGAGTTTGGTTCCAGGCACTGCAGCAACTGGAGACACCACTTACCAAGAGCAGGGGCAGAGTCCAGCTTAAATCTCTCCCCGAAAATGGTTTCTCTCATCTCCAGTGTGGTCATTGCTGACCACTCTGTTTTCCTAAGCATTGAAATGGCAAGTGCAACCAAAAGTAGGTATATTCGTGACTTCTTGTTTAGGTCTCTGGGCCAGGAAATTCATACTGTTACATGGATAAGGTTGGGATTGGGGAGAGGGAACAGTTGGGACTAGAAGCAAAAGTGATTCTGGGACTAAAATAGGAAGCAGATGTCCTTTCCCAATGTGTGTTGCTGTCTTCACCTGAATGCATTTGTGTAAAAATAGCGGAGGGACAATGTGAACATTTGTATTTGGAAGCTATGAATTTACTCTGAAGTTTGCAGTTGTTTCCAATTTGTGAGCTCTAAGAGTTTCTGCCTGTAAGAACTACTCTCCTTTTATTTTGATTTTTAAAAACCTGTCTGAATTTCACACTCTTAGAGCCTGGAAGAGCCCTGAAAAGACACAAGTCTTGCCTGGCTACTGCTTTTTAACTTTGAGGGCTCTATGTTGACAGACTGTTATCTCCTCTGGGTGACCTCAAACATCTGAAAAGAAAGATGTTGCCTGTGCCAATTCCACTTTTTCCAGCTGCCCCTTGATGAACACTCCCTTATACCAGACCACTCTTGGACTTCTGACTGGTGTCATCAAGTCCTCAGAAAATATTTTAAGTTATTTTAAGTTATTAAGGAAGGGATGATTTGGAGACAAGGAGTAATGAAAGATGGGTAAAAACTGGAAAAGATTCTGGTGCTAAGTACTACCCCTTCATCTTCCATGGATGGTCATTACCTTTCCTGTCCTCCTGTTATATGAACACACACACACACACACACACACACACACACACACACGCACACACATACCACATTTCAATAAGTCTTCATTGTTCTGGGTCCTTACCTTTCCTGTCCTCCTGTTATATGAACACACACACACACACACACACACACACACACGCACACCACATTTCAATGTCTGCATGGTTCTGGGGGTAACAAAGGCAAGAAGTTAAAGTAAGACCACATTTGAGTATTACTTACTCTGTAGAATCAAAACAGAGTAGTTAACACCAATTATGCAAACTACTTTTTTTTCCAGCAGAAAGGGAGCTGACATGATCAAATCCATGTTTTCAAATGAACTGAAAAAGGCATCCAGCACCACTTATAACACATTTATTTCAGTTCCAGGCTGACAGCCCTGGGGCATCTAGCAGGATGCATAATTGTCATCTGGTGAGAGTTGGGACTTTGCTCAATTTTAATACCAATCTCTCCTGATTGTAATTACCTCCACTACTTTCATGATCCCCCTACAATATTTTTTTAAATGATATATTTATTCACTGAATCAAATGTCATTAATGAGTTATCTTCTGTGGAGGATGACTGTTCTCTTTGTTAATGTTCACAATCAAGATCTTGGGCTGAGAAGAGGCCCTTCACCCAAGGAGTTTGAAGTATCACAGTGTGTGGGAAGGTGGGAACCAGGATACCCATTCATTTCCAACCGAGACACAGAGAAGTGAGTCACAGAATTTGAGCCCGCTCTCTTGACTGCCCAGCCAGAGACACTGATTTCTGTAACCTCTTCACTTGATCCTGCCTCTTAAGCATTAAAACATTCTCCTAAACCTCTGAGTGTTTTGTGGGTTCTGGGTGTTTTGTACATTTTAGCCAAGCTAACCACTTGTCTGCAAGTACTGACTTTCCTATGAATTCTTTGAAGATTATTGAGTCAGAAAGGAAAAATATAGCCCCAAATTCCCAGGCTTTTAATGCATTACATTAACTGCCTATTGAAATGAGAAGTTCTTCACAAACTTGTATACCCACTAACAAGATTGCACATAAACATGCATTAAAGTATATACTAAGAAACCCTCTGTCCAACGGCTCATGCATATGAAGTCCGAACATGGGAGTTTGCCAATTGCATTCATCAAGTCGTTTTGCGGAGTCAGATCCCTGATGGAAGAGCTCACAGGCTCTGCCTTCCAAGTCCTGGGTTCCTAACTGGTGACCTTAGCCTGGGGTCTGTGGGGAGACCAACCCTGGCTTCCAAGAAAACCACATTCCATGGACTATCAGAAATAGACACAGATTTGGGTGACAAAGCTGGCTCTGTATTTGCATTTTATTTTTGTGTTCTTGTCAGTTTGGGAATGATTAATATTAAACATTTATTTGAGAAACAACAGCCTGTAAATAATTTAAACACACACTATATTGCAGCCAGGCAAAGAGACCTTTAAAAGTGAATATTCGTGATTCTAAAAGTGTTTTTCTCCCACACGTTCACTTACTCATTTTCCCAGCAATGTGGTCTGTTCCTTTAGGCAAACAAAGTCTAGCCAGGTCAAATGTGTGGGTGGGTAATATGTGGAAAATTTGTTTTTAAGTGGTTGGGGAGGGACTTCCCCCACCCAGTGGCAGGGCTTGTGGTTGCTTACAGACTCAGGGAGGTAACCCAAATCCCTCACAGATAGGTGCACTAATCTACAAACAGCAGAAGGCCAACAAGAGTAACAATTTTGTGGTTGTTCATTTGCCATTTATTGTTCTGCAAAGACACCTCATGAGCACCAGGTGGCGATGTCCTTTCACGGAGCAACACCAAAGACTTCAAAAACATTCCAGTTACAAACAGAACAATTCACTTAGGACATTCACCTGCCTCTCCCAGAACCCCCAATCTAATGCCGGGGACCACAGAGAAGGAAAGGGGTCAGGGGTCCTTTCTTGTACCAGTGAGCCTTCCCCCAGTTTTCTCATGCACACAACAGTGCAATACCAAGACGAGTACTTTTGACCAAGTATAAAACCACAGAGAAGACCAAAATGTACAAAAATGGGAAGAGAATGAAAACACAAAGGCACACGCAGCCACAAATACACAATTAACCTTTTAGGGGATGAGCATCTGACGAGGTTTGTCTCCAATCCAATTTGTCATCCCTGGAGACTCTGGAAGGGAGAAACTAGGCTGCTGGTGCTAAGACCATGAAAGGGAAGGCATGGAATCCCCTACTTGGGCCAGGAGAGCAGAGCAGAGCTTCTAGTGGGAAAACACTCTGTGTCAAGGTAGTAGATGCACAGGGCTCAGCTGGCAGGGTTCTCACTGAAATCTAGACTGCACCTTTCCAGGTTGGCACAAGACAAAGGGCAGAGGAATGCTCCCCGCCTTGCCGGGCACAGTGTTAGAAAGGAAATTCAAGATCCCTACTGCCCAGAAAGCCACACAAGAACAGCACGAGGATGAGGTAGCCCCTACTGGGCATCTGCAGAGAGGACAAGAAAGGGGGCACAGACACAATCAAAAGCCCAGGGGAAAAGGCTTGAAGGTATGAAGTCGACCTCTCCAAGTGGTATTGCCACAGGCACAGCGGCTCCCTTTCCATCTTGAGTCTTCTTCCTTCTGCTCCTGGCCACCCCCTTCCCCACCTATACCTTCTTCTCCCTGATGTGGGGAAACTGATCTCTCCCCAGTGCCTAATTCCATTTTGAAAGTCTGTCTTCTTTTCTTCCCCACCTCCTACTGCCTCATTGTGTCTTTCTTCCCATGGACCCTCAGCCTATTTCTGCATCCTTGCGGCCAAGAAGCTCAGCAGATACTTGACCAGTGTGCGAAGGTAGAGACGGCATGAGGCTCTCCAAGTAATCTCTGTACATGGTAACCTGACAAAGGGCATGGGTGTGATATTAAACACCGCAGGGATGTCTCTTCCATTTAGTTCAGGTGTTTCCTTCCTAACTATGGCAGGAAATTGCCCTGTGGTGCAGTAACCTTGGGACCAGTCTCCTGGTCTGCTGGTGAGATACAATGGCTGCCTGCCGACAGGAGACACAGGGACAAGGATGGCAGAGCAATTCCTCCCATCAGAGCTCCCTCTGGTGGAGCTGATCAACATCCCTGTAACCATTTGGAAAGAGAGCAAAGGCTCAGCACCAGCACATCCACAGAACTGGGTGACAGGCAGGTGAATCGACTGACAGGCAGGTGAATCGACTATCCACCCCAATGTCAAAATGGCTGGAGGCCTAACAGCAAGCAGCTATGGGGCTGGCTTTATGAAAGATTGGCCTCCAGTTCCCATCTAAGTACCATTTTTGAAGGTTCTCTTGTTTCCATTTTTCTAGCATCAAAAACCTTCCAAATATTATGAAATATATATGCATATATATATATATATATATACGTCAAACCCCCAAAACATGAGGTATATAAATTCAAATTAGTATCCAGAGGAACTTCCCCCAAACACATAGTTCAAAGAACCCACTTTCAAAGGGGGAATTGGGTTTCCCTTCTTGATCCCCCCTGTTCTCCTCCCTGGCCCCCAATTCGTTCCTTACTGGGAGCCAAAGGCAATAAGAATGTTGGGGAGGAGATAGGGTCTTGGGACACAACAAGATGCAGATTGGACCAGACCATATTGTGATCCCAACTCCATTAGGAATGAGCTAAAGAGATTCTCTCCCTGCTGTAAGTCAATCTATAATAGATGAGGGAGATGAGGGACCCAGCAGCTCTGGGCTCTGATTAGCAAATTTGCATGGAAACAGATTGAAGCCTTCATAGAAACAAGACTGGATGGAGATGAGCTCTGATCCAATCTTGAAAAGAAATATAAAAGGATGAGTTCAGCCCTCACCTCATTGCATCTCCCCAGGCACAGTTCTGTCTTCATTGGGGTTTCAGTTCACTACGGGATAGGTTGGCAACAGGTGAGGAACGTCAAAGGACCACAGCCTGGCTGTTGGAGCCCCATCAGAACTGGGGTTTGGCATCTTGCAAAACAGAGTGCAGGGACATGACGGGCCTTCCCTTCAAGCTGGCCCAGCAATGCACACACGCCCACACACACACGCGCATGCACAGACACAGAGGGCACAGAGCCCAGCATGGGCTCCACTCACAGTGACTCGATGAAACTCATGGAATCTTTGAGCTGGTCTAGAATGAGTTGGGAAGAAGGCTGTGGGCTCCTCTCCCTGAGGACAGTTCAGATGCTCAGTGGGATGCAGGCTCTGGTTTGATCAGAGAGGGTCTAGAAACAGCATCATGGGATGCCACTCCAAAGAGGAACCCCAGAGTCCATCCATCCACATGAGAGAACCAGATGCCTCTTTGGACAGGTGAGAGCTGTGAGGAGGAGAGGAGGGCCCAGAGAAGCCAAGGACTGTGATGACAGCAGAATGTGCTCCCAGAGGCTTTTCCTTCTCCGACCCTCTTGGGAAGAAGTGCTTCCTTGCTCTACACCAAGGCATCAGTTTCTGATGTCACAGCAGTTTAGTGATTCACCCCTTTGCCCACCCCCCAACCTTGCACAGTGAGAGCTCCCTGCCTCCAGCAGAGGGAGAATAGCAGAAACTCCAGTCTCAAAGCAGAGTGGAAGTAGCAAGAAGCCGGCTGAGGCAAGAAACCCCGGCTTCCCAAAGCCAGGATATGGAGTGCCTAAGCACTGCCCATACCCTAGGTGTGCTGACCATGCCCCTACTTGGGAGGTGGGGTAGGGAGGGGATTCCTGCCTACCCAGCACCAAAAACTCCATGGGAACAGACCCAGGATGGCCCTCATCCCATCTCCCTTTGTGTTGGATGAGATTTATGAATGATGTCGCTATATTCAGTCTGGCTCCCACTGTGGTTGGGAGGGATGAGGGATGGACACAGGGCAGGAGGGGAGGATAGAAAGTTGGGAGGGCAGGACACCAACTTCTTCTACATTGACTCACTCTCCTCACTTCCTGTCCTGCAGTCTCCATGGCCCCTCCCACCTCAAAGCTTTTCTGGCCTCAGTCCTTCTCCTGGGCAGTGCTGTCCTCAGAGATGCCCTGGGCAGCCAGTTCAGCCAGCACATTATCCAGGTAATTGGCATCTGGGTAGCCATGGCCAGTGAGATTAGAGCCAAACTCTGTCTTGTGGTGGACCTCATTCCAGATGACGGTGTCTGACTCGCCTGTGGTGCTGGAGGTGCCAATGGCAAAAATGAGGCGGCGATCCCAGGCCACGAGCAGCAGCTTCAGAACCTAGAGGGATAAAAGTGGGACATGAAAGGCAGACATTAATTGGCAGTCAAAGACTATCCCTTGGACGGTAGAGAATCCTCCCAAGGGCCCCATCCCTTCCTGCATCATGATACCCTAAGCAGCCCAGGGGAAAGAAAGAGATTTGGACTTGGAGTTTGGGAGCTACAGGCTGAGTCCTGGCTCTGTCACTGAATAACTGTGTGACCTTGGAGAAGTTATAGCACCTCTCTGAACATTAATTTTTTTATGAAATGGCAATGGTACAATCTGCCTCTAAACGTTGTGAACATCTTACTGGACACTCCATGAAAAGTATTTTCACACCAGTGCCTACAACGCACTAATTGATAAATGTTATCTGCCAACATAACGGCTGCATTTTGAAAGACAGGATCTAGGAGTTGAAGGCGCTTATGATCTGAGAACTTCTGAAGTTCTGCCCTTCATTACTGCCACCACTACCTCAATGTAGTATTAATTTATCCAAAGCTGAAGCTGTGCACTATTTTTCTAGTGACATCTTGGAGCACTCTGACTTTCTCGAGGTGAGAAAACTGAGGCTCAAAGAAAGTTTTGGGGCTTGCAGAATGTTCTAAATCAGTTAAATTAAAAAAAAAATGTTTGTTGAGCAAGACTAGTGGCTAATGCCCTGTTCCAGGCCTTGGTCAGAGTAGTGTCCAGCATGAAGAAAAAGCATCCAGTGAAAATGTCTTGGGTTGAAAACTGAACTACTGTAAACATGGTATGGGCTGGAGGAGAGGAAACCATAATAGTATTAGTAATGAAAGCAGACATTAGAAATATGAGCTGCTATTTCCTGAGTGTTTACTTTCTCAGTGTTGGGCATTGGGACATATAATCGTTACAGTAATCAGATGATATAGGTATGCCCATGTGCCACACATAGTGACATTTTGGTCAATGACTGAACACATATGCAATGGTGATCTCACAAGATTACAATAGAGCTGAGAAATTCCTATTGCCCTGTACTTACTATACTGTACTTTTAATCATTATTGTAGAGTGCACTCCTACTTATTTACGAAAAGAAAAGTTAACTGTAAAACAGCCTCAGGCAGTTTCTTCAGAAGGTATTCCAGAAGAAGGCATTGTTATCATAAGAGATGACAGTTCCACTCCTGTTATTGTCCCCAGGGCCTTCCAGCAGGATAAGATATGGATGTGGAAGACAGTGATGCTGATGATTCTGCCCTTAGTAGGTCAAGGCTAAGGTATATGTTCGTGTGTTCATTTTAAACAAAAAGTTTCAGAAGTAAAAAAAAAAAAAGTTTTTAAAAATAAACAAGCTTATAGAATAAGGATTAAAGAAAATATTTTTCTACAGCTGTACAATGTGTTTGTGTTTTAAGCTGTGTTGTTACAAACAGGTGAAAAGTGAAAAAAGTTAAAAGGTTTTTAAATGGAGAAGTCACAATAAGCTAAGGTTAGTTTATGATTGAAGAAAGAAAAGTAGTTTTAATAAATTTAGTGTAGTTTAAGTGTACAGTGTTTATAAAGTCTTTAGTAGTGCACAGCAATGTCCTAGGCCTTCACATTCACTCACAGATTCACCCAAAACTACTTCCAGTCCTGCAAGTACCATTCGTGGTAAGTGCCTTATACAGATATACCACTTTTATCTTTTATACTGTATTTTTACTGTACCTCTTCAATGTTTAGATTCACAAATACTTACCATTATACAACTACTTATAGTATTCAATAAAATAACATGGTGTACAGGTTTGTAGCCTAGAAGCAATAGGCTATACCATATTGCCTAGCTGTGTAATAGGCTATTCCATCTAGTTTTGTGTAAGTACACTCTGCGATGTTTGTATGATGATGAAGCTGTCTAATAATAATGATATCCCTGTCATTAAATGACAGAAAACTGGACTCTCATCATCCCTCTCAAGGAAACAGAGGCTCAAAAGGTAAAAGACTTGCCTTGGTCTTATAGCTAGTAAGTGGCTAGGGGCGGTGGGGTTAAGGGATTGATTTCAGGACTGCCTGACTCCATAGCCCATGGTCTGAATCACCACTCTGTTGACTCTCAGATGGGAATCAGTCTAGAATTCATGGAGGTTGCTTCTGAGCTGAGTAGTAAAGGAAGGGAAGGATTTGGGGGCATATCAATAGAGAAGGATGTATAGACATAGTAAACAAATATAAACCCAAGGCATGGATAAATTACAATTGCTGTCACTATGCTGTGCATTTTACAAATGATATTTTCATTTAATTTTTCCAACATCCTGTCCATACAGATGCAAATCATCACCACTATTTTACAGATTAGGAAACTGAGACTTCAAGACATGAAGCCAACCAGTTCCCACAGCTAGTAAATGGCAGAAATGGGACTTGAACCCAGGCTGGTCTGGCTTCAAAGCCCATCCTCTAATTATACTTCAATCTACAAGGAAGCCCAAGGTTAGGGTCCTGGAACAGCAAATGTGAAGGATAAGGATGAGAAATTGGTGTGAGGAGAAGGTTTAACTCACACTGTAGTAGGTCTTATATGTCAAGCTGAGAAGAGTGCACTTTGTTGTTTCTTCATTTTATTTCTTTTACACACAAAAAGCTTGATTCTAGAAACTGTTTGAAACTAACCTGGTAGCAGGTAAAAGATGAAGTCTTATCTATGTTGGCAGTGGCAGGGTTAGAAGAGGAGTCTAGTGGTTTGGAAGGCAGTGAGTGCAGGGAGGAATGAGCTAAATGGATGCAGTGGATAAGAACAGGAGTCCAAGAAGGTTAATGTGCCCATCTGGGTACCAGGGACTCTGAATATGTCATTAACATAAAGAGGGAGGCCTGGAAGAAAAGCAGCTCTTGGCAACAGGATTCTAGTTTTAACCGCAGGACTTTACAGTGGAGGCATTTCGCCAACAGTTGGGATGTAGCTCCAGGGCTCAAGCACAGAAATCTGGCTCTTCAAGGTAAACAGTATCAGGGATGGTCCTGACCCCTAATCTGGGGACACTGCACTCGCACATCTTCTCAGTGTGGTTGATTTTCTATTTCTTCCAAAATACCTGCCTGCCACCTGTAGGGGGAGACCATATCCATACCCTTTGACATGAAACCCAAAGTGCCTCCCTGTAGAAAGGTCACTGTCCCACCCCTTA
Source organism: Homo sapiens (assembly GCF_000001405.40). Lineage (NCBI taxonomy): Eukaryota > Metazoa > Chordata > Mammalia > Primates > Hominidae > Homo > Homo sapiens. The sequence goes on along the minus strand of NC_000011.10, from coordinate 59,201,541 downwards.
TCTGGCTTGCCCAGGACTTGTTGGGGCCTGTGAAGGGTGAGTGGAAGTAACAAGCATCCAGGGGCTCTAAATGGGATTACACACTTCCGCTTGGGTTCTCTGTTTGTCCTCTGCCCCCTTCCATGGGAAGGGCATGGGCCACAGGAGGGCTGCTCCTTCCACCTGGCCTGCAGAACAGGAAGACACGTGGAGCCGACTGAAGCTGCTGCTATGGTCTGAATATGTGTCCTCACGAAATTGCTATGTTGAAATCCTCACCCCCAAGGTGACAGTATTAGAAGGTGGGTCCTTGGAGAGGTGATTAGGTAATGACAGCAGAACCCTAATGGATGACATTAGTGCCCTTATAAAAGAGGCCCCAGAGAAACCCCTTGCCCCTTCTACCATGTGGGGACACAGTGAGAAGGCACCATTTACAAACCAGGATGGGTTCATATGAACAAGTCCTAGCCAGACACTAAACCCGCCTGTGCCTTGATCTTGGACTTCTCAGGTTCCAGAATTGTGAGACATAAGTGTCTATTGTTTATAAGGCACCCCGTCTATGGCACTGTGTTACAGCAGCCAGAACAGACTAAGACACTGACCCACAGCAACAGCATAGCCATAGCTGCTGACAAGCAAAGTGCATGACGAATAAATACTTGTTGAAGTAAGCAGCGGAAATTTGGAGAGAAAGCTCACTAAAATATATCTTGTCTAATATTCCCCCCAATACTCCCTTTAGATCAATGGTTCCTACTCCTTTTGAGATCGGGAAAGATTTTGAAAATCCAATGATTTTCTGGCCTCATCCATAGAAATACAAACATAAATTTTTTATTCTAATTTTAGAGTTCATAGAACCACTGAAGCCTAATCATGAATCACTAGGAATCCAGAAACCCAATGATTGTTTTCTCTGCCCTTTTGGGAAAAAGTCAAATAATATGAAAGTACATACAAAGAAAATAATCTACATATTAAGATCCCTATCCCAGACCAGTGTTTCTCCAGCTTCAATGTGTTGTCAGATCAGCTACGCATCTCGTTAAGATGAAGTGGCTTCTGGTTCTGCATTTCTATCAAGCTCCTATGTGGTGCCACTGGCGCTGGTCCCAGGACCAGCGTTTAAGCAGCAGGGCTCTAGACACAGGATCTTAAAATAGATGAATTATTGCCACTAATACCCGAGAGAGGAAACAAACTGACATGGTTTGGCTGTGTCCCCACCCAAACCTCATCTTGAATTGTAGTTCCCATAATTCCCACATGCTGTGGGAGGGACCCAGTGGGAGATAACTGAATCATGGGGGCAGTTTCCCCTATACTGTTCTCATGGTAGTGAATAAGTGTCACAAGATCTGATGGTTTTATAAGGGGTTTCCCCTTTCACTTGGCTCTCATTCTTTCTTGACTGCCACCATATAAGAGTTGCCTTTCATCTTCTGCCATGATTGTGGGGACTTCCCAGCCACGTGGAACTGAGAGTCAATTAAACCTCTTTCCTTCATAAATTACCCAGTTTCATTTATGTCTTTATTAGCAGCGTGAGAACAGGCTAATACACAAACTAAATGTCCACTCCCACCCACCTAATTCTAATCGTAGCCACCCCACCTATGGTTGACTCAAATTTGACCTTGTTACTGTGTGCATCTAGACTTAAAAGAGACACAGTTCTCTTTGGTCTGTGCATTGTAAGAAGCAAAACTTTAGGCCTTGACATAGAAGTAAACTGCCCGATCTATTCTAAAACCTAGTTCTATGTGGAAACTTCCGGTCTTACTTTTCTCCCTTTCTCGCTGTCCGGAAGGTAACAGTGTCGTGGGAAGCCTCGGGCGCTGAAACTCTTCCCAGGATTCGGGTGTTCCGGTCCCTGAAAGCAGAAAGCAAGCAAGCAAATGGCATTTTTCAAAATATTTCTGATAAGAGCGGGGTTAGGCTGTGACTAATTTCAATAATAATGACAATAATAATTCCCATAAAGCTTCAACAGAGAACAGACCCAAAAAGCACTGTGAGTGGTCATTTAGCACGTGTTTCTGTGTCCTTAGACCTGGGTTTGGATGCAGAGCTGCTACCTCCCACTGCATTAGCTGGAACCCTCTCTTGGGGCTTTTGTTCCCCATCTCTCTAACAGGAATGACGCAGAGTCCTTCCCTTATGGGGCTGTTATAAATGTTAAGTGAGTGGTGCCTGATGAGTAGTAAGAGCTCAGTAAATGTTTAACATCATTGTCCATCATCTTCATCATCTATTGTCTTACAAAAGAAGAAATCTGCAGTGCAGAGAAGATATGTGGCTTCTGTAATATTAGTGGCTCTGCTAAAATTGAAGCCCAGGTTTCCTGAGGCACACTCTGGATTTTTAACTACTCAGAATAAAGAAAGTGCCTCCAAGCTATGAGCCATGCCAACAGAATTTTCTGAATGATTCTTGTGGATTTTCTCCTTTGTCCTCATGGGTTTTTGTTTGTTTTCTTCTTTAACAATAGGAATTGGGATAGTCAGGACTAAAAATCTTCTAACAGCATTTCAACTATTGCCACCCAATACCCTATTAAGTAGGCAGTCTCAGGCCACTTGGTGAGAAAAAAACTGAAGCACAATTGAGTGAGAACAGGTTTCCTAATCAGTGCCCAGAATGAGTCCACAGGCCTCTTTGAGAAGCTCATGAAAAGCGGCAAATTTTCTCCCGGTAACAATGACCAAATCCCCTCCTCCCCATACAAAGGTTTGTCTATAATTTCTGAGGATCCCTGACCCCCTGAGGGATGGAACCCTCTTTAAAAACCCCTTCTAGATTCAACCAGTATAAAACTGATACTTCCATGCAGCTCTTGGCACAAGTTCTCACGTAGATGATCAGCAAATACATCCTGCCTGAATAAATGAACGAGTGTGGAAGAACAAATGAATGAAAAAACTGCAAGAAAAAAACCCAGATTTTTCTTTTTCTCTTATTATGGACCATGGTTCCAAAATGATAAGAAATTCTGTGGCTTTCCATTTTCTTAAATAGTTAACATGATTCAAGATCACCTATGGTTTGACATGGTAAATGCAATGGGGTCTCAGAGAAGGGAGCAGTCACCGTGAGCTGAAAGAAGCAACAACGCCTTCTCGGAGATGCAGAATCCAACATTTATGAATTTGACATTTACAGGAAATCACTACAAATTTACAACCTTCCCATGGCCCCAGCTGTTTCTAAATCAAGTTGCCTGACTGAAAGGCCAGTTCTAACCACGGCTCTGACTGCTCCTGATCTGCCTTCGACTGCCGCTTGTGTGGCCAACTCAGACGCCTGCCTGGCACTGACCCAACACGGCTGTGCCCTCCCAGCTCGTTGCTAAGTGGAGCAGTCACGACTCTGCCTCAGCCCAACCCAGAGTTTCTCCCCAAGGGAATAGTTCTCTGCAGTGAATGCAGAGCTTGAAGGTCTCGACTCCTCACAGAAGCGCATGCCTGTGTGGTCCCTGGAAACTTGAATGACATGGCACTGAGTGTCCTGCTACTTACACTCAGGGATGAATGTAGATCCTAACAGTGGAGAGCTGCATTTCCCTTGATACGAGCTTGGGTTTTTCAGGAGGAGCCACCGTGGTACCCGTCAAGGCAGCATGCACCACCTGTATCCCCTAGTGTGGGCTCTCTGCTCTTTAATCCTGGAGGAAATGGTAGCCCCACGTTTGTCTTTGCAAGCTTCAGTCTGTTCTACTGCTCACCAGAACATCGTCTGTTTCTCCCAAGTCCTGTTTTTTCATTCATGTCTGTATCACCTTGACTCATTGCCTCTGAGACACTCCAGAAGTCTCACCTGACCCCATATCCAACCATATCTCTCTCTTCCTTATCCCGGCCTTCCCTTGTTCGAGCCCCATTCCTAAGGCCTGGACTGTGGCAGTGGCCTTTTAATTGGTCTTCTTTCCTCTGGCCATCCCCGACTCTTTTGCCTGACTAGCCTTCCTAGAGCATAATTCCATTCACACAATGGTCCATATTCCTAACTGCACATCCAATAACTGATGATTAAAATCCACGACCCCCGCCCTGGTACTCAATGCCTTCTATGATCTGGCTGCAACCTCCCTCACGGCCTAGTCTTCTCCCTCCATCTCCTTCATGCTTCCTCCCTCTACTTCCTTGCGAGTCTTGAGCCCCAAATTAAACCCTTCCTTCTTGCCCTTTGATACTCAAATTTTTCCTCTACAACCCTCTTACCTCCTCCCACTAAAAATGTTCTCCTCCATTTTTTTATGTCTTTCTAGACTCAACTAGACAATTCCCTGCACTAGAAAGTCTCCTCTAACCCTTCCAGACAGACAGACAGATATAAGCCCTCCTCTTTACCATGACAAGCAGGACCTAAAATGATGTTGACGACCAGGTATTGAGCACCTTGGTACTGTGCTCATTCTTCAATATGCATAGGCAAACGTTATTTCCCATTCTCACCAAACCTCTGCCAATTGGGCTCCTGGCTGGGCAGGTGAAGAAATCAGGCTCCAAAAGGTCAAGGGCCTGTTGTCTAAAACAGCTGTCCCCAACCATTTTGGCCCCAGGGACTGGTTTTGTGCAAGACAACTTTTCAATGGACCGGGGTGGTGGGGGATGGTTTTGGGATGATGCAAGAGCATTACATTTATTGCACACTTTCTTTCTATTGTTATTACATTGCAATATATAACAAAATAATTACACAACTCACCATAATGAAGAATCAGTGAGATACCTGAACTTGTTTCCCTGCAACTAGATGGCCTCATCTGGGCATGATGGGAGACAGTGACAGATCATCAGGCATTAGATTCTCATAAGGAGTGCACGACCTAGATCCGTCACATGCACAGTTCACAATAGAGTTTGTGTTCCTATGAGAATCTAAGGCTGCCACTTATCTGGCAGGAGGCAGAGCACAGGTGGTATTACTGGCTCACCCATCACTCACCTCCTACTGTGCGGCCCCTTCTGTGGCCTGAGGGTTGGGAACCCCTGGGCTGAAGGCACCAGCTAATAAAGACTCAGCTAGGAAGGGGAACCCAGGTCCATTGGACTTTGAAGGCCTGTGTTCTCACTTTGTCTACGTTGCATCTCAGAGGTTTTATTAGTGATGTACATTTATCTTCCCCTGACTGGCTGGTAAGCCCCTCCAGGAAGAACTATGAATTATTCACTTCTTTTACAGGCTATCACAACTTCCTGTTTTATTTCCTCCACATCGATGATCACTATCTGGAGGTACCTTGTTTATTCATTTGTTTCCTTTATGGCCTTCCTGGCCCCACTAGAATAGGGGCTTCAAGGAGCAAGGATTGCGTCTACTTTGCTCATTGCTTCTCCAATGTCTAGAACATGTCTGGACCATAATCCACACTCCATGTTTGTTAAATAAAAGACAAAATGGAAGAAGAAAACTAGGAGGGAGGAAAAGAGGATAGAAGAATTAATATTTGCTAAAGAAATGCATACAGTCAACGGCCCAGAACACTCAGAAAAAGCTTCATTGTGTGAAGGAAGGTGCCACATTTGTATTTACTGGCAGGAATAGTGTTCAGATTTGTTCTTCAGGACTGTCTTTCAGAGAATCAAAAGAGGAAAGAAATGCCCACCAAAATCAAAGCCAAGTATAGCTATCAAATTACAAGTGCAAATACCGTTTGACAAAGAAATTCCACTTCTGGAAAATTATTCTACAGATATATTCACATGTGTACAAGGTTATTCATTCCAGCATTATTTGTTGTAGCCAAAGATTGGCAACAATCCATATGCCCATCAAATGGAGACTGCTGAATGCAAATAGTGGTACATTTATACAATGGATGATTACACAGACACAAGAACGAGGAAGCTCTCTCTATACTGATGTGGAAAGATCTACAGACTACATTGTTAACTGAAAAGCGCAGGGTGCCAAACAATGTGCCTAAATGTCACTGTTTGTGAAAAAAAAAAGGGAAGGGTGGATGCGATTTTCTGTTGTGTGTGCACAAAGAATCCTGGAAGGATACATAGGAAAGTCAGAACAATAGTGTTGAGTCGGGGGATGTAGTGTCAGCGGGCAAGGCTGGGTAGATGGCGGAAAAGTGTGGGAAGGAGACTCTTCATATGTAACTTTTTACCTACAAACACATAGAACAATAAAAACCAAGGGGTGACAGAAAGGCTCACCTGAGAGAAAGGCTCACCTGAATGCCGGGGGGGATGCTGTAGATGATCCGGATGGTTTTGCAGTCTGGGTGGCCAGGCAAGGAGTGGGGGATGAGGTGGTACTCCATCTTCCCTGGAGGTTGGGTGCCTGTCTTCACCCCATAAATGGTCTTGCAGGTTGGACACTGCAAACTTCCATCCTGAGGGGCCAAGGCCAGAAGAGCCAGATTGGGAAACAGTTTTGGTAATAACTTTCCCACCCAGTCCCAAAAGGTACCAGAGATGAAGGGCCAGGGGAACAAAATGCACCCTGGTGAGTGATAGATCTTAGTTTTTCCCTCCCAGCCCAGTCACCTAGGCTATTTCTGCTTTCTCCAAAGTAATAGGAGGTAAATTCCACAACTGGTCCCATGCTCCATGCTGAGGGATATGTAAGAGAAGCCCCTGTCCCTGAGGAGGGGACCAGCTCTCTAGGGCAGGAGCCTACACAGGGAGTCATTATTCAGCCACTCAGTACCAAATGGGTGGAACAGACAGAAAGACCTGGAGAGCAGCAACTGCCCAGTTCCTGAGCATCAGAATCACCCACAGAGCTTGTTAATCACACAGATGCCTGGGCACCACATCGGGTCCACTGAGTAAGAACTGGGAAGCTGCAAAGCATAATGTTTCAGGCTGTGAATGTGAAAATCAGACTGCCTAGACGTAATTCTTAGCTCTGCCATCTGACTGCTGTGTGACCTTGGACAAATTAATTAACTTCTCTGAGTCTCAGTTTCCCTTATAGGAGAAGGATAAAAAATATCTGTCTCATCGGGTTGTTGGGAGAATTAAATGAGATAATCTATAGGAAGATCTTAGCATGTGGTGTATCTAAATGTTATTAGCATTTTTATAATTTCCATGGAAAGACTGATGCTCATACAGGTTTGGAAACTACTGCTATGAAAAGAGAAATTGGCCACTAAGAGCTGGAGTAAATGAGGATAACTTTAAGAAAATGGTCCTTGAAGAATAGCTATGAATTTGCTTAGAAGGATAGAGTGTAAGGTCTGCACAAATACCTAGAAGAGAGAATGATGCCAGTAATTATAGTGCTTTAAATCATACTATAAAGAGTTTAATATTTCTTGTTTCATTTAGGCTTTAGCTTCTGACAATGGCCTGGAAGAAATTATTAGCCCCTTTTTGTAGAGAGGAAAATCGAGGCACAGCAAGATTAAAGGACTTCCTGCTTGTCAGGGTGTGGGGTCTGTTTAAACCCCCAGCTTTGCATTGCAACTCGGTGGCTCCATTAGTGGGAAGAGGCAGTTCTGGATGCAGGGGTGTACAGGGTGACGGTTTCACTGCAGGACCTGGTGAGGTGCTGCCTGGAGGAGGGCCTGGACACCGAATCCTATTCCCAGGCTCGCAAAAAGGAGGGGCAAAGAGAAGGAAGGCGCATGGGCTGGGAGCAACGTGTGTAAAATGTGCTGCTGCGCAGCTGGGATGAAAGCTTGCCAGGACATCCCCAACTCCTCGGGAAGACAGGGATCCTCTGCTGAGCTATTTAGGGACTTCTCCAGTCTACTCGCTTAAAGCAATAGCTCGTATTCAGGGTGACTATTCTCTGAAACCAGGTTCCCACTTTCTGCTTTGGCCTTGACTTGCTTCATGACCTAGGGTGAATCACTCCTTTCTTCTTGGGCCCTTTTCTCTCATGTGTTTGATAAAATAAAAACACATGCTTCAAAGTATTAGTGCAAAAGAGAATAAAGCATAGACTCTTGAGAAACATTTTTGAAAGCCCCATGGAAATAAATGTAGAGTTACCATATTCTTCTTGAATATAGACATCAAATAGGGAACAAATGTGCTAAGAAACCCCTTTAAGCCCAAAATAACTTCTTGAAATGCAAGATCCCAATGAATCCTTTTAGCCCAGGGTTGGGAAAGTGAGCAAGTGATCCAGATTTGCATCCCCCATCAATGACTGACCACCACTATAAGCATGTCTCTCAGGGACACCAAGAAAGCACTTTGGGAACTTCAATCAAATAGGCTACATGAAGATGAAGGAAAAAATTACAGCCTTTAATACAAAGGCGATATCAATTTGAATAATAATAGCATAAGACCCCATAAAGTAGGTATAGTTTTAATCTCCATTTTCCAGATGGAAAGTCTCTCTCAGAGATTGGAAAACCTTGTCCAAGGTCATTCAGCTAATAAGCCAGGATTCAAGCTCAGGTCTCCCACCTCTCTTACCTCTACTTCTTTCCCACAGTAAGAGACGTATAGACCAGACCAGACAGACGTATAATCCAGACATACTTCTTGCTTAGTGAGAGGTTGGGAGCTATCAGGGAGATCTCAGACTCTGATGTAATCTAAGCTTGGCCTGGAGAAATAAGTACTCATGGAAATAGGGAGTAAAAGTTATCTCAGGTACACGAAAGAACATGAGTCAATGACTTAGGAAATGCTCAGACACTGTAAGGAGAGAATGATCACCTATGGAGTCTTCCAGATTCCAAAGAACCAGCTCTAATGAGGGGATACCATTGCATTGTCAGATAATAGACAAGACAAGCATCCCAAACAGCCTTCCCCTCTTCCAACAGTGGGATTCTAGGGCAGGGATTACCAGGTGTACTTTGGCAACAGTCTTTAGTACCTTTGAAGGGCCAATCAAGGGTGTTTTGAAATTGTCCAAAGAAAATTGTAGCTGAAAATCACTAACCCTGGGGAAGAAAGGGTGATTGGGAAACCCATTTACAATGGTATGAACGAATACTCACCATGGGTCTAGCGCTGTGATAAGAACTTCCTTCTCTCTCACTGATGGGAGCACACTTCACCTAGCAATGGGCCATGACAATGGGCCACTCCCCTCAGAACCCTCAGGGGCAAAACCTACCCCACTCTTAGACCTGACACCGAAGATGGAGAATTAGATAGCACAGCCCAAAAGGGAAGGTGAAGACAGGTCTTACCAGCACTGTAATTTAGTAAAGAACTGATCCTGCTGAGAACAGCCAAGATCATCACTCTTGCCTAGGGATAACCTCTAAGACTTCCCAGATCACTTGAGCAAGGGCCCTAAAGGGCCTTCACCATCTTGCTACTCCAGAGCCCAGTGTGAAGGGTGGCAGGAGCCCCATAGGCTGGCACTGACCTTGTTCCCATTGTTGTACATGGCAACCAAGCAGTAGATGTGGTAGACGTGGCCGCATCTGGACAGCTTCCCTACCAGGTCAGGTTTTACCGTAGGCTGCGGGCCCTTGTAGCCTGAGGGGGCCGTGAGGCGTTCCATACAGATGGTGCAGTCCTGGGGAGGGAGGAGACACAGCAGAGAGGCTGTCAGCTCTCACTCAGCCTGGGAGATTTCCACATGATCTCAGAGGTCAGATGAGCTCTTACCACTTCTCTTCTAAAACACCCACAAATCAGGGTGTAAGTGCTTTCTGGAATCTAAATATCGTTTTGTCTTTACACAACAACGTCCTGAAATAATTCCTGGTACTGATTAACTTGGGCTCATCATCTAAATTATCATAATCGTGAGGGCTATAACAATGCACTGTCCTTCTGTTTTGTCCTTCAACGGCTTATGGAGGAAACAAATACTGTCAACAAGCCCACTGAGGAGCTTTACTTAAGGTGAATTTTTAAGGAATGTAAAGGAATTGTATTTTAACTGTACCAGAGGGACGGCTATTTAAATAAATGTCCAACAGGGTTTCTAAACCTCAGAACTATTTACATTTTGGGGAGGACAATTCTTTGCTGTGAGGACTGTCCTGGGCATTGTAGGGTGGTTAGCACCATCCCTGGCCTCTGCTCTACTCACAAGGTCCTGAGAATAATGACGACCAAAAATGTCTCCAGACATGGCCAAATGTTCCCTCAGGGGCCAAATTGTCTCTGGTTGAGAACCACTGTTCTGTATCAAACCCATTTTAAGGTGAGTTCTTGTGGCTTATCACACTGTTTTTCCTAAATTGAGACTGTCATGTTAAGGTAGCTTAAAAACAACCAGCACTATGCTGAAGGGGGAGGCGGGAGAGATTGAGGTGCAGCTGCAGCTCTGGACCATGGACCTTGAACCCTCAGTGTCAGTTCTGACCAGTTCTGTATCCATGAGAACTTGGAATGCAGCCCCCGCCATATCCTGTAGAAACCAACAGCAGAAGAGGAAATGCTTGTGGGTGATGGAGAGGTGAATCCCGCTCTTCTAACCCTGAACTCACCTCATCTGGTGGGTGCCGGACTTTCTGTAGATATTTTTTTAGCACTTCCTCTGGGGTTTTACCTGCAGAGACAGGAGGTTCAGTGGGCCACCAAGGCAGAGGTAAGAGATCAAACAGCCTTGTCGTGCTAGACATGGTAGAGGGGGACGTTATCAGGCAAGTTAAAAGCAAAAAGGGGAGGAATTCCTTCTGCAATTTAAGTTAAGAACATGGAAGAGAGTATGGATTGTGGAAAAGCTAGTGAGATGGTTTGACGAGAAGGCTTTATTTCTTGCAGTCCCTTTTCTGACATCTCTCTGCCTATTTTCAACAAACCACTTTTTTAATTGAGAAGAGTTGAGTGGGTTTCTCTTCCTTATAATCAAATGATTTGATAACAGCACTTTGCAAACTGTTACACGTTAAATAGATGTTAGGCAGTCTTACCACCTTCATTTTACAATTTGCTAAGTGTAGTCTCAATTTATAATGTGGTGTCAAAGTGTGATTATTTTTATGGGAAACAAGGAAGTTATGACCCACGACTCCAGAACAATCTTTCCTGGCTGTGGATGGCACTGTCACTGCCAGCCAGCACAGTCCTGCAGCAGGGGAAGGGTGATCCTCTGGGAAGCATCCTGATGGGCTGCAATGATTTAGGGATTTTTTTCAGGGGACTGGACTCTTAAAAGGTAGCCCAACCTGAAGGTAGAGGATGGGATGATATAACCTGAAAAATGATCAGTGCTACCTTGGGCCACTCCCTTAATTTCTCTAAGCTTCTGTTTTCTCACCTATGAAATGGGGATGAGCAATAGCACTACCTCAAAGGGTTGCTTTGACAATTGAATGAGCAAATGGATGTACTGCCCTTTAGCTCTCTGCCAGATAAGGGCCCGATATGCACTATTAATAATAACAGGAAGAGTGGGAAAGTGTAAAATGCTGTTATTTCCGATAAGACTATGAGCAAGGCAATTGAGCTCATTTAAGCAGGGAAATCTTGACGGACTGGAAAAGTAGGACAAGGGTTTGAGGAAGTGGATCATGCAACAGCCAAAAGCTTCGATGCAGGCCCTTTCCTCCAGTTGCCCTGCTTCTCTTGTAAGAATTAAGCTCTAGTAATTAAGAGCCTATTTCTTGCCAGGCCCTGGGCTAAGTGCAACACACACATGATCCAATTTAAACTTCACAAGCCTGCAAGATTGGGGCTTAGGGAGATGGTCAAATTTAACAACTAATGCCAGTGACCAGAAAGACAAGCCACAGAGCTAAGCTGGGGTCCTGCAGTGCTAGGAAGGTACAGATATTGACCCCTTATTTGCCGGATTGCCTGCAGGTAGGAGGGGGTTCCTAAAGGAGGATTTCAGAGCAGAGATTTCTGTAGGTTCTAGGGGGACACAGGACAGGGACTACTTCCTAACTGTCATGGATGCATTCCAGGATATACCTGCTGGATACCAGTTATACCAGTTGTGACTATTTTTACTTCATTATAAAGATGAGAAAATAGGGGCTCCATGTGGTCACACAACTTGCAAGAAACAAAGGTACGATTTGAATCCAGTCTGTTTTGGTTCCAATGCCAAAGTCATCTTTCTCTTCTAACATATTTTCTTTGTACCACGCCTTATATTTTTATGTTTCTATACTTTTGCATTGTATATTTTTATTTCTCAAGGTGTTTCCATCTGATCCATACACATCAGCTGTGGTATAATCGTCAAGATTTACTGGTTAGGCCCACTTACAGATGCAGAAATTGAGGCACAGAGGGTGAAGCCGTGGCTATGACCCTTGGAGGTTGAGGCAGACTCAGGGCTGACAGCCAAGTCTTTGACTCTCAGTACCCCACGAGACAAGAGGCTGGTACCTTTCTTGGCTTGTTTTTTGGTGGTCTTGCGGCTTGTGTTGGAAACCCCTGGGATGGATTTTATTTCACTCTTGCTGACGGGGGGTGGGTGTAGGACCAGCTTTGGTGGCCTGGTGAGACACACAGGCAGCCCCGCTGCACTCATGAGGATCCCAGTGATTCCTGGAAGGGGCAGGGCATGGGTGAGGAAAGACTGGAGACTTAGCTCTCAACATTCCCCAAATTCCTCTTTCCCCATTAACCTACTCTCCTCCTTTCCAGCAGAAAGTTCTCATAATTCCTGGATTCTCTACCCTGTACTTTCCCCAGAAACTTATTCATTCACTCACTTATCTTCAATTGCATGCTTTCCTTTTAGTAATCAGTTCTCTTCCAAACTCTTCATACCCTTCCCATGCAATTCCTAAAATCACCATTTGCTTTCATTAATATCTAGATTCTCTCCTTTTTTTCCACAAATGCTCATGACCTATTTCATCACTCTGATTTCTCTACCTTAACCCAGAGCATCCTGGGGTTTCTCTTACCTGCCAAGGCAGGGTTGACAGGACTGGACCCATTTAGGTTCTTCACTGGGACTGTGGGGACCCTGTGAAAGGAAAGAGCAGATACAATGTCATTTTGACACGTGGAACAAAATGGACCAGTATTTAATTCTAATAAAATGCAGTTAAGTGCTTAACACAGCAGACAGCAGGAAGTGACATCTTCAAAACCTAAGTCAGGCCATGTCATGCCACCACTCAGAACCTCAGAACTATGTTCCTCAGTTCACTCAGAGTCAAAGTTAAAGTCCTAGCAAGGCCTACAGAGCCCAGCACGATCTGCCAACACTGCCACCCAGCTTCTCTTATTCATCTTGCTTCCTCTCATATCACTCAGCTCTCAAGGAGCCAGGTGCACTCCTGCCTCAGAGCCTTTGCATATGCTGTTCCCTGTACCCAAAATGCCCTTCCACCAGACAACTGCTTAGTTTCCTCCTACAACTCCTTCAGTCCTGGCTTAAATCCTACCTATCAGGTGAGGTTCCTGAGACCATAGTATTGAATATTGCTACCCACCCCTCCATCCCACGCCAGGACTCCTGCTCTACTTAGGATCCTTTAAAAGAAATTATTGCTTATTATGCCCCCTTCTAGAATCTAGGCTCTACAAAGGGCAAAATATCTTTGTCTGTTTTGTTCAGAGCCAGGCACTAGTAGGCATTCAATTGATATTTGTTGAAGGATGAAAAAACAAAGAAGCAAGTTCAAACCAGGGTGTACAAAAGAGTCACCTAAGATGTTTTTAGAAGGACAAGGTCCCAGATCCAGACCAGAATATCCACCTGTGGAGCACGAGAAGCTGCATTTCCCAAAGCTCCTGAGAAGCTGCAGATGTAGCAATCCCCAGCCTAACATTTGGAACCACTGCTAGAACAGCTGTCACTTCTCCTTTTCCCTGAGACATATATAAATATTAGGCAAAGCCTCCTCCCCTTTCTGTCCTTCTCCCCAGCAACTCCAGCCAGGCTGGAGAGGAGATGGCACAGCTGCCTGGGAAAGGCGCGGCCCTCCCACAGCGCTGACTTGGAAAATATGGGACACATGGGTCTGGGTCTTGCGCCATCCTCTCTGTCACCCACACTCCTGCAGCTGGGCTTGGAGAGGCTAATGGACCCGGTCACAGATGACTCCAGGAGGCAGACAGCCTGCAAAGCCAACAGCTCTGCTGTGGGGGCAGGATGGTGCTGGGAAAGCAAGAGGAGGAAAAAAAGAATATTTATGTATTGATTTATCCATCCAAAAAGTGTTTATTGAGCCCTACTTTGTGTTGTTTGCTATTCCCGATGCTGGGGGTCAGCAGTGAACACATGGCTCATGGCCCTTCTTCACTCACATGTTACAGTTACCAACATGCACAGAGCTCACCTCCCCCCAACAGTGGCTCCAACTGCTCACAGCATATAAACCTGTCTGATCCTTCCAACATCCTATGCAAGAGGTGCAGTCATTAACACCATTTTAGAGACAACTACATTGAGGCACAGAGAGGTTAAGGAAACTTGGTAAGATCACACAGCTAAGCCAGAAAATCTGGCACCAGAGCCCATTTACTATGCCAGGCTCTTGTGTTTACGTAATCCTTATAACATCCCACACTGCAAACATAGACCAGAAACTCAGAGAGCGTAATGAATAAACCCACCACTAGGAATGGGGAAAGCTGCAACGGGACCTCCATGCCAAGCAGTGGGGTCTGTCTCTGCCCCTCATGCCTGTAAGGAAGGTTCTTCCCCAGCTCTAACCTACTTTGAGCCTGCCTGGGGCTCTGTCCCTTCCCAGGGATGATGACATGTGCACCAATGCTGGGAGATGGATGTGAAAGAACAGATGTGGGAATGGGAATGTTTGTGTCTCACCAGGCCACCCAAAGCCGCTTTTCTTCTGAAACTGTCCCCAGGATAAATCAAACCAGGATGGGAGGATGGAGGAGAAAGCTGAATACAAAACAAGGGCCACTGGGCCAAGAAAAGAAGAATGGACTTGTTTCTGGACTCTGTGACCTGCTCCCCAGGGCCAGGCATGGTATGGTGGATGGGCAGTCAGGAAAATCAGGTGCAAGTCCCATCCCTGCCAGGAGTTTCTCGCTAAGGTAGTTAACTTTTCTGAGCCTCAATTTCCCCATCTGTAAAACTGTGAGGGTCTTGGGTTAGAAGACGCTACGGAAACTGGCTGACAACTTCCCACCAATATCTGAGAAAAAAATGGCCACCCAAGCCCTGAGTCCTCCACTTATGGCCGATTCTCCTCGCCCAGCTCTTTCTGGAGAGGTTTGGGGAAAAGACCCGGCTTCCTGTGTCCTGCTCCCAGCTCCCCAGCAGGGGGCAGCACTCAGAACCCAGACCTGCACCTACCTTCTCCCTCGCCATCTTCAGAGCCCCCACTCCAGCTGATAAGTAGCTGTGATCTGGGTGACAAAAGCCACCTTTGTTCCCATAAACTGGACTGGCAGGTTTCCACACCCAATCTGGCCAACCAGGAAATAATCCAATCCCCAGAACACCACACATTTCAGGCAGCTCAAGAACTCAGGGGCAAGATGTGGAGAGAGGGAGGGAAGGGCCCGCATGTGGACCTGGGACACACAAGAAGACTATGGGTTCAACAGGTGGGAGAGATACATGTCCCTGCCACTTGAGGAGAGGAATGACATGGCGGGTAGGCTTGTCACTGGGCTCTGGGAAGGAGGGGTCTGGGGAGAAGGGGTATATTTGCTTGTGAAATCCAGAACCGTGTAATGGAAGGAGCTCTGCACTGGAGTCAGGGAGTCTTTGTTTTAGCCCCGCTCAGCACTGACCTGCTTTGCCTTTGGGAGAGCCGCACAGCCTCTCTGCGTTCTGTTGACCATATCTAAGTTACCACAGCCGTGAACAGGGCATCCTAAATGTCTGCCCCATGGGGTCCCTGTGAGGATTTAGGAACTAGGTCAACTAACTGTAAACAGCTGAGCCCTGTGCAAGTTTGGGTGACTGTTTATGCTTTTACCTCCCAAGTATAAAAGGGGCATTGGGCTGAATAAAGACGTTTTCTGCTCTAATATTCCAATTTTCTGATTCTCGAGGTCATGGGTATCCAGCATAAAGTTGAGTGCTGGGCAGTACTTGAGACGGTTGATCTCACCTCCCCCACTATTACTGGTTAAACCTTGGAGAACAGCCCATGAAGTCCCAGCTGGTCACACCCTTTTGGGGCCTCAGCTTCAAAAGCCTGAGCTCTCCTAGAAAACTGCAACCCAATGGCAGGCATGCATCTCACATCCTTCAGGCAACTCCATCAGCCAAAACTGTCTGTCCTAACCACTGCTTGGCCAATCATAAGACACCCCCTGCCCCCATTCAGTTGGCCTGTTCCCTGATATGGAGGGTCTTTTGTTTCTGTCGCTAAAACATAAAACTAAGACAAGAGAAGAGAGCTGGCAAGGTGGCAGAGAAAGGAGTTTTGAGGGAGGGAGTATATCTCTGCAGTCACCATGATGAGAAGCAGTGTTTTTCTCGGAGTTATGCACCAGTCCAGGAATCCTCCAGCAGGACAAGGATCTTGTCTCTACGGCAACTGAGGCCTAGCTGGAGACAGAGAATCCTCAGCTCTAGAGGAGGGGGCTAGAGGGGTGACGCTTGCCTCCACTGCACAGCCCCCTTCTTGCTTCCCTTTAGAAAACCCCTGCTTCTGTCTCTGAATAATTCACAGGATCTTTTGTTCCTGCCCCCAAACCTTTCTCTTCATCCCACTCCTCCCGCCCTCCCTGGTCTTCCTTTTTCCGTGGGAAAGTTGCTGGAAGAGGTCATGGGCAGAGAGAGGAGGGGGAAAGGGGCCCTGCAATGACAGAAGGTCGATGGCAATGCCAGACAAAGGGAATAAACACGCTAATTAAATGGCCAAGAAAGGCTGGAGGAGAAGATGGGATTGGGGGTGAGGGAGGTGGTAAGAGGTGAAAAGCAAAGGGCTGGAAGATCGAGAGGAGTAGGCAGGGGCCTCCCTCATCAGGAAAACAGAGTAGAGAGAAAAAAAAGAAAACAACTTGTTTCTATAGCCCTTTTGAAACTGTACTGCTCAGACCTCCACCCATTCTCTAGCCCCAATTCTATGAGCGGGCAGAGGAAATAAAGAAGATAGATAAAGCTGCTGACTCCACTCCCTCATCGAGATTCAAAGCCACCTGGGTGCCTCTCCCTCAGTGATGGAAATGAAGTCACTTGGCATTTGTCAAGGGCACCAGAGACAAGGTGGGATGTCAGACCCTACTCAGCTTTGACTTCCCCTACATGGACACCTGTTAACAATAATAACAGCAATCACAATGACAGCAGCCTATACTGACTGAACTCTTATGTGTCAAGCACTGTGCTAAGTCTATACACTTAGTATGTCATTTGAACTTAAGACAACTGTAAAAGGAAGTTACTATTACTATCCCATCTTACAGATGAGGAAACTGAAGACAGAGGATGCAAATCTTGCCCCAACTGACACAGCAAGGCACTTGGGTTCAAGCCCAGACAGTCCTAGTTTCTGGAGGACGGGTTCTTACCCAGCACAGGAGCCTCCCTCCTCCATGCTAGCAATCACCCTGGAACTCTGTTAGAGGCCCCCAGGATGGTGCTGTGTGAAATCGGGGAGAAATTAAGCAGCAGCAAGGTTTAGCCATCCATTCTCTGCTCCCAAATACTTCTGCCATCTCAGGGGAAGTCATGAAAATCTCATGCATCTCACCAGCATTTTGCCTGTTATAAACTGCCTTTGTGTACAATGAGGAGCTGGGCTTTAGCCAAAAGAACAGTGGATCAGGAGGCCAAAACCTGGGTTCCAACCCCTATTGCATAACACATGAGCTCTGTTTCTCCTTGGGAAATCAATTCTGAGCAGGATGTCTGTGCTTAACACTTAGATCACAGAGTAAGAGAATGCACTGCCAAGAGGCCAACTCCCTTAGTGGAGGTTTTCACGATAACTCCATGCAGTAGGTAAGGCCACTGGATCTTGCAAAGATTCTGTGGCTCACCCCAGTGACAGAGGTAGGAGTAGGGGCTGGGCCTCTGGATTTCCAACTCGGCACTCTTCCCACTCTGTGGTGTACCCTCCTTCATTCCTCCTCCCAGTGCCAAACCTCTGTGTGCAGGGACCCAGCTGAGTACCAAAACCACCTTCTTAGAGCAGCCTGGACTTTCAGACTTAGGCACCCAATGCAATTGAAAACCATCCGGATCAGCTGGGATCAGGGGCCACAGGCAGAGCCAGGCCTCTCTGGAGACAGAAAGGGAAGATTGGGTGGCTGTGAGATGCTAAGAAACCAGGGGCTGGCAGGCAAAGGTTGCAGCCACCATATGGATCTGGGTCACTTCGATTTTATGATCAGGAAAATCAAGAACATAAAAACCAATACAAACAGGACCTACAGCATCAACAGGTTGTCACAGAAATAACTGAGACAATGTATGGAAAGTGCCTGGCACATAATAAGTCATCACTAAAAATAGGCCGGTATTCCAATTTGGAGTCACCTCTCTGGCTTCCAGAGAGACTACGGGAAAGAAACTCTCATTTTGCACCTACTGAATGCTGGGCATTGTGGTAGGTACTTGGTAGAAGAGGAGCACAGCAGAGTCAGAATCTGGGCTCTAGTGTCAGATGTCCTAAAGTCTGAATCCCATTCTCTGCCAATGATTAGCTATGTACCCTTGAACAAGCGAACATCTACTGTCTTCATCTGTAAATGGGGATAATGCCTACTTGCCTACTTCATAGAGTTGTTGCAAGGATTAAATGAGATGTAAAGCCCCAAACTACAATATAGTGGGAGTTCAATTAATGTTATTAATGTTGCCTATTATTGCTTAGTAGGCACAATCTCATTCTGTCACCCAAGCTGGAGTGTAGTGGTACAATAATAGCTCACTGCAGCCTTGACCTCCTGGGCTCAAGAGATCCTCCAGCATCAGCCTCCCAAAGTGCTGGGATTACAGGTATGAACCACCACGCCTGGCCACAATCTTCTTTAAGCCTCACAGCCACCCTAACAGGCGTATTACTGCCAGCATTTACAGATGAGAAAGTTAGGACTCCATGACGTTAGGGATCTGGTCCTAAATCATATGGCTAGGAAGAGCCAAAGTCTCAACCAGAGTCCAGATCAGAGGCCAAGCATCAAACCCTCCCTTATCCACCACACCTGCAGCCAGGTGCACCACCTTCACCTGCAGCCAGGGGTCAGCACAAGATGAGAAGCTTAAGTCTTGGCAGCCCCTCCTTCTGATCCAGAAGATCTGCTGTAGCCTATCTCTACCCTGAGTAAATGCTCTGAGGCAGCTGTGGAAGCACTTACCCAGAGGCGATCAGCACCCGGGACTGGGCAATGGCCAGTCGCTGCAGGTTGGTACGATTCAAGGTGGCCAGGGCCACCCTTCCGGTCTTGCTGTTGGGTCCTGGGGGACTGGCAGGAGAGCCCATGGTTGTCCCAGTGGGCATGCTGGAGGCTTGTCTCCGGATCACCTGCGATGGGGCGGTCTTCAGTGGGCCTCGAATGGTGCCTGTGCTGTCCAGTGGCTTGGCCCCAGAGCCTGGCAGTGGGGGTAGCTTGACCACTCCAGGAGGCGGCATGTTCTTGCGGGTCACTGGCAGCTGTAGGGGCCCAGTGCTGCCATTGACCACGGCTGCCTTAACACTCATCACCAAGACACACTGGGGACAGGAGCAGGGGGACATGGGGGGCGAGGTGGCTGGCCCAGGGCTGACTGGCCAGGACTGAGCCTTAGGCAAGGTCCCTGTGACCATGGGGTAGATGAGGTCGAGGCGCCGGCGGACGCGGCGTTGGCGCTGGGTCTGACGGTTGATCTGGCCCATGGTGTTGAAGTCAATTACGTAGCTAAAGCCAATGGAAGTGAGGTCGATCCAGGGGTGCTGCTTCTCATAGGCATGCTGGATGGTGATGCCCACTTCCATGTCGTAGGGCGTCCAGGAGCCATTGTCGTTCTCCCACTCCCACACCACGCCCTTCCCAGGGGCCGAGGAGGGGTCGTAGTAGTTGCGGCGAACTGGGCGGAGAGTTCCTGCCAGGGTGGGATAGGGGAGAGGTCAGAGTCAGCATGCAATTACACTGAGTGGCAAGACATTAACAAGTCATGCCATTGCCATAATGGCAAACATGAAACAAGTCCTACTGTGTACTGGGCATGACACTGCCTGAAGTGCCAGCTTTGAATGAAACTCATTTCTCCCTTTAAGATGTCTATAGTCCAACCAGGGTAGAAGCAGATGAGTTACAGCATGAAGGATATGGGTGGCAGTATAAGGTAAGGTAGCAGAAAGACTGCCTCCTGCTTTGCAGTCGGGACATCTTGGTTTGCAGACAAATTCATTCCATTTACTAGCTAATATAGAACCTCTCAGCCTCCCTTTCCCTCCTGGGAAACAGGATAACTCCTTCCTAGAGTTTTTGTACAAACTAAATATGACTCACTTATTTATTCAGCAAATATGTATTTGTACATGCGAGGTTCTGGATTTCATGTGAACCCTATGAATGCACTAAGGCATGTAAAGCCCTTGACACACAGTAGGTGCTCATAATGATCATATTCCTTCTCCTCTGTTCCTCTAAATGCTCTTGTGCCAAGAGTCATGAGGAAAAGAATACAGGGCTGTGGAAGCCTAGAGGACTGAGGGAAGACTCTGCCTGCATGCGGGAAGGCTGCCCAGAAGTGGCTGTGAGGGAGCTGGATCTCTATACATTTATAAATGCTGTCCAAAAAAAAAATGGTGTGTTACTATGAGAAGAAGGGAAATCAGGTTGGGAGAACTCTCTCATATTTCCCAACATTAAATCTTATATCAGTAGCAAAAGTAACATTCTCAATGGTCATGAGAATAATTTTATATTTATCTGATGTCTTTCTTTAAGAAGCTAAAACCCTCCTAAAGGTAGGATTGTCTTAATTTTCAGAGTCTCACTTTGGGGCCGGGAAGAGGTCAGGGTTATTACAGGGTAATGGTACAGCAGATATGAACTGGCAGGACTGTAAGGGAACTGAACCTGTAACTGTTGCCTCTTTCTCCCTCACTCAAAACCTGAATCCTGACTCATCCTCAACCAGGGCTCATTTCATGGTGTCAACATTAAGGCTAAAGATGTCTAGCTCAGGGCAGGGTGGGGAGGTCGGGGAGGGCCCCTGGGATGCTGGAATCTCTGCATCTGTCAGCTTAAGCTCTATCCATCAAAGTGGTGAGAAAAGGCTGCCTTCACCAGCCTCTGACCCACCCCTCCTCCAACCCAGAGGGATACACCAAGACTGGGGACAGAATCCCATTCAAGGGGGGAAGAAAAGAAACAATGGCTATTCAGGCCTTTGCCAGGGTCATAACCTGCCCCCCACCCCATCTCCAAGCTCCTTAATGACCCAAAACATCAACATTCAGAGACACAAGGGAGAAGCAGAACAATCCCCTATTCATCACCATGGCCTCTGCTGGGGAACATGGGGGTATCAGGATGGTGGGGGCAGGGGAGGGGGAGACAATAGTTCCCTGGTTTGCCTCCATTTCCTTCCTAAGTGCGCAGCTTGCTGGGGAACAAAGAGTATGGGCTTTGGGGCCAATAGGGGTGGTTTTGTCCCTTCCAGCTGTGTGATTAAGCCTCAGTTTCCTCATCTGTTTGGGTCCTGGGTAGTGACTTCAAAGGGTGGATTTGAGGATTAAATGAAGAAATGAATGTAAAACTCAAAAATAGCACCTGTCACCATGGCAAGAGCTCAATGAAAATTGGTGATTATTTTTGTAATTTATTTTCTATTATATGTCTAAGCAGGATGGAGAAACCATGGAGAAGGTTTAGCTCAGGGTGTGTGAGGGTGTGTGTGTGTGTGTGTGTCTGTGTGTGTATGTGTGTAGGGTGGTAGGGGGTGTAAGAAAGAGAGAGAGAAAAAGTTTCTATATAACTGACACAGGATTTTCTTCTCGGTCACTTTTCAAGCCAGGGACCTCTGGCTGGCAACACCCTGCCTGGGCCTCACTCGGCCACACAACCTGCTGCAGGAGATGGCAAGAGATGACTCGCCCACTCTGCCCACCTGGGCCAAGTTTGGCTGCACACCAGTTCCTAAGTTCTTGTCCCACACCCAAGAAGAATGAGGATATGCTGACAATCGAAGAGTGAACAAGGTGGGGAGTTTTATTGAGTGATGAAACAGCTTTCAGCAGAGAGGGGACCCAGGGGTGGTGCCCCTACCGAAAAGTGGGAAAGTCCCTGCAATGTGGCTGAGTCTGGGGCTTTTATAAGCTCAGAATAGGGGAGGGGCAGGCTGTAGGTAGTACTGGAAAAGGCAACATTTGATTGGTTAAAAGGCATTATTCAGAAAGAATCAATTGGGAAAGGGTACAAAAACAGGAACAGAAGTTCTCACTCTGGGTTGCGGGTTTTATCTTGGACCAGCAGTCCAGTCTTTCAGCCTTCAGGCTGTTTTTGGCTTGAAAGTGAGGTTTCACTGGGGACCTGCCCCTATCTGCCTAGTCATTTGGCTGCCTTCTGCTGCTCTCAAATTGGTATTTGCACAATCTTTATTACTTACAAAGCACCTCACATATCCCACGTAAATTTCATAGCAATCCTAGAAATACCTTTCACAAATGAGGAAATTAAGTTTAGAGAGTTTAAATGGCACTATTTTATATTCTCTCCAGGGTGGCAGGGACTGTGCAATTAACCCCCTCACAGATTTGCCTAAAAGACTTTTTTTTTTTTTTTAAACACAATACTGTTATCAATCCTGGAGATGCCTGAGAGTTGTCCCAGAACTTCTGGAAACTATGCCATGGATCTATAATATACCTTTCTAGGTTTGTCTTCCTCAGTCTCTGTGTTTTCTTCTATTCCTGCCTGACAGAGGCCCCTTTTATCCTCATGCATTCCCCCAGAGTTCCCTGACTCCCTTCCCCACAATTCGCTAGGTCCCTTCTACTGAAATGGCCTCTTTTGCCATTTTTACCTATTGAAATTCTCCTTACCATTCAGGTCTCAAGCCATTTTCCATCCATTTCTTAAAATGTTCTCCCAGCCCAGGCCCCACCCTCAGGAAGCCTGAGCTGTGTAGCTTGACTATGCTGATGTGCACCAATGTTTCAGCAACATTTTTCATACCATCCTGCCTTAAGTGGGTGCAGGAATGCCACTGTGGAGCTCTTTGCATTCTTAGTGCCTAATGCAGTGTCTGGCAGTTGCAAGGGCTCCAGAAACTGCTGTGACTGATTGAAGACTTCTGGCTACTTTAATATTTAATCATTTATCACATATCCCTGAGCACTCATTAACTGCTATGGGGAATGCAGATTCAAGCATTCCTCAATTAGCTTTCAGTCTGAAACAGGGTTAGAAGACAAGTGTGTGAATGACTATTTATGAGGCAGAACGTATCACAAGGAGAATGCCAACAAAATGCATGTTGGCAGGAAAATTGACCATGTCCCTTCCCTGCGTAAATCCCTTCCATGACTTCCCATTAGGTTGAAATCTAAATCCCCCCTACCCACCAACATACATGGCCCCCTCATAGCCTAACTGCCCACATTTCAGCTACACTGGCCTTCAATCTCTCCTCATTGCCAGGCTTCTCTGATTCTGGGCCTCTTCACAATGCTGGTTCCTCCCCAAAACTCTGGCATCTTTTCCATAGCTCTTCCCACAGGAAGAGCTTATTTCTTCAAGGAGGCCCCCTGGGCAGTCCTGGCCAGGTGAAATTCTTGTTCCTTTTAAAAAAATTTTAATAGCATTCATCTCAATGTGCAGTTACATATGTATTTGTGTGGCTAATTTGATGAATATCTGTCCCCTTCACTAGAGAGTGAGTACCATGAGAGTGGGCATCAAGGTATGTGCTCATGGCTGTATTCTCTATGCCTGCATGTCCTAGGCACTCCAAAATATTGATTCAATAAATGAAGTAATGATGGTTTGGAAAGCATTTCAAGGTGTGGAGAATGTTTTAAGAAATGAATAACAAATGGCATGGACTCGTATAACAAAAAGAATTTTGAGAGGTAAAAATGGCAAAGGACAGTGTTTCAGAAGAAGGGACCTCAAGGCTAGCTGGGGGGGTGAAGGGTGTCAGAGAACTCTAAAGGAATGCATGAGGATAGAGGTAGCCTCTGTTTGGCAGATTGGAGGGAAATATAAGGCATAGAAGAAGACAATCCTGGAAAGATATGTTAGAGCCAGAGAGGGTATGGAAGGTCTGAAATGTCAGACTATGATAGATTTAATTTGTAATCAATGAAGAGCCAGTGAAGTTTGTTAAGAAAAGAGGGGCAAGACCAGAGCCACTCTGTCCATTAGTTCCAGGTGAGTGGAGAGGTGTTGGCATAGAAAATGAAAAGAAGGTGACAAACTGGAGAGACCTTACAGAGAAAAAAATGGGTAAGACTTGATCATGAGTAGCTGAATGCTTTCCAAGTGAGGTTTGAGGATCGCCTCCGTCAGAATCTCCTGGGGTATGAATTGAATCAGCAGTGCCCTTGAGACCTACAGGCCAGCATCTCCAGGGCCTGGGCATGGGAATCTGCATGTGAATGGCCACCTTGAGTGGTGCATGGGTACACTCAAATTTCAGCTGTTGGGCTACAGGGTCTATGTGCCTGTACCTATTAGGTGCCCAAATAAGATTCTAAATGACAGAATGAGTCAAAGAATCCTGGGTTTGGACCATGGGAAAGTGGTAAAATGGTGTCAGAGGGATGTCAAGAGGAAGAGCTGGTTTTGGAGGGAAAGTTGTTGAGTTCAATTCAACGCTACAGAGAGTCAGAGATAGCATGCAGACCTCAGAACCAAAGTGTTGAGACAATAGACATGGTGGGATTTTACTCGCTGATTATTTTCAGAGACCACCCTATTTTGGATGTGCTAGTTCTCGACTTTTCTAGAATCAGTATTATAAACCAGATAATCTGTGAAGTAACCCAAGGAAAGGGGCTCCAGTAGGATAGGGATTGAGGATGTTCATAAACTAAGGATGAAGAAGGAGAAAGAAAATCAGTTTTTTACAGATTTTCCACCTGCGTTACAAAGCACCCAAAACCTTTCAGCTTCTGGGAAGTGGAAGGCCATGCCTTCCAGGCATGCACTGAGGTCTCTGGGGCATGTTACACACATCTATGTAAGTGACTCACTGCCGTTAGGGCATGCGCTAGGTCCAAGAAATCCCAGGCCGCTCTTACCAGCATCCCCCACGCCCACCAGAATTTTCCGTAAGGACAAAGAAATATTTGGATGCTCTATTATTGCTATATCTCACATGTCTGGAACAGTGACTGCGCTAAATAGTTGCTCCATAACTATTTACTGAATGTAGAAATAGGACATAGGGCACCTAATTCAGAATCTCGGCCCTGCCATTGACTAGCTGTAAACCCTTGAGCAACTTAATCACTTTCAATTTGTTTCCTTACTTATAAAATGGGGATAATAATAGGTTCTTCATAAGATTGTTGTGAGGATTAAACAAGATAGTGTGTGCAAGGTGCTTGCCATGATGCAGACACATGGTGCATCCTGCACATTGTAATTATCATGTGGTCATCATGATGCCTGCCTCCTCCACTTCTATGCTAACATAGGGTAGAGGGTTTTGTGGCGGGGCTAAAACTCAGCTTCTGTCAAATCATTTAATTCAGCCCATGCTCTTTCTCTCCATCTGACACTTCTCACCACTTTAAAAGACATA
Source organism: Homo sapiens (assembly GCF_000001405.40). Lineage (NCBI taxonomy): Eukaryota > Metazoa > Chordata > Mammalia > Primates > Hominidae > Homo > Homo sapiens. The sequence continues at coordinate 59,176,080 of NC_000011.10, read as the reverse complement.
AAGAAGGCAAAACCTGCACAGAAAACTCAGAGCTGGAAAGAACGCTCCTTTACCCTGTGCTTATCAGTATCATCACTGGCACAGGGGCCAACCCATTCACCTGTTGATCTGCATGATGGGAGGAAAGAAAAAGAGGGAAAGAAGAAATCTTAAGCCTGCTCTTCATTCTAAAAAAAAAAAAAAAAATGAGGCCTGACCATTTAGAGACTTGGTCAAGGTCACGGAGTAAACAGTGAGCCTGGAATGAGAGCCACAGTTGTTTGTCTCCACTCTCAGCCTGGATCTTCCGCATCCTGCTACTGAAAACCTGGAGTTGGTAGGGTCAGGCATGCTGAAAGGTACAGGGGAAAGTGATGCTGAAGTAAAGCTCTTCAGTCACTGCCCTACAACAGAAAAAGGACAACCCAGTCAAGGTAAATGATGGCAGGTGGAGAGGGGCCCACCGAGGCTTTTGGAAGTGGCCAAGAGCCAGTCCCATCTATCTCACCCCATCTCTACCCTTATTCCAGATTCTCTAGCCCAAAATGCCTAGAGAAGACTGGCATAGAATGCAAATAAGATCAGACCTCTAGGCAGTCTGGGGAAGGAGAAGGGCCCAGGGCAAACAGAGGCGGGCAGACGGGTGTCTGGGACCTCCCAGCCATCTCCCTGGAGACAGGCTGGATGAGGTCAGGAGCCCAGGCGAGTGGAGAGCCTGAGGACTCTATCAGCAGCAGAGCAAGCAACTTCTAAAAAGACAAAGCTCTCATGTCAGGAAATGTCCCCATACAGAGGAGGCAACAAAAAAGGAGAGGAATCGCCTCTGGGCAGGGGACTTCCAGATCTCTTTTGTTTATGGGGATGTTTCTGGTTCCCAGCTTTGAATTATGGCTTAAGGATGGTGGGTAATTTAATTAAACATTGCAAGGGCTTAGCTGAGGTTGCCTGGGAGCCACTGGTTTAAAGTTCCTACCCTGTCATGGCCTCATCAATGAGATTGAGAGGAACTATGAGTGTGTTGGTGGAGAAGGGAGAGGAGGGGGCTCAGAGCTAAGAAACCCAGAGATTCTTCTATTCTTCTTTGACAAGCGCCCTGACAGACCCAGCTTTTCTGGGAATTCAGCCCAGTGTCCGCAGCACCCAGCACAGGGCCTGGCGCACAGCAGAGAGGTATTCAGGATGGCTGACTGACTCTAGCAATGAGCGGATGAAACCACAGCAGTCTGATGATAAACACACCCTGAGGCAGCCTTTAAAATGATTCAGGGCAAGTTCTCTGCCTGAGGTTTAAAGTCCAGGGAGCGCCAGCCTCTGACTAAATTGCTCACCACCAGGCAGTCCTCAGGTAAGAGTGATCAGACCTGGGAAACGTAGCTTCTTTCCTTCCACCCAGTTTTCTCTACAACTTCGCTTCTGTAGAAAGGGTCATGAACCTTTGTAGATACCTTGCCTATCCTAAGTACCCCCAAACACAGATTCCACCTTTGCCCTTTCCAAATGTGGGAAAGGGGCTGAGACGTTTCTGTCACAAGGGTGGTTTTCCAAATGCTGTAGAGATTTACTCTGAAATAGAAAAGGTAACACCTGCTTTTTTTTTTTTCCAGGACTGGAATCCCCTGTCAGATGCTTTAACTGCTGGTCTCTCTCTCTCTCTCTGGTCCCACCTCCGTGGCTCAGCTCCGCCCAACACACACCCCCTCCACCCTCACCTTCTGATGCCTCCACCCTCACCTCCACAACCTTTACCCAAGTTGCGCAATGACATTCTCTCCCTCCCCCTCAGCCACACTTAATCCTCTTTCTCAATCTCCCCACATTCCTCTCTATTCTCTGCTCCTCCCAGTCTCCCTCAGCTCCACACACGGTTGAAGCCCCTCCAGATTCTAACACTTCCAGAATCCTCTCCCCAGAAAGCTCTCCTCAATCAGCCAGTGTCTGCAGAGTCCTTGGCAAAGGGGTTGCTGGGAGTTATGACTAAAGATGGGGACATGAGGGTGGAAAGATACCCCTTTCCCATGACAATCCTAATTAGCACACAGGATGTGGGGGCTTTCCAAGGAAGCAGAGAGACTCTGCTCAAACAGCTGTTCACTGGGGAGGGCCTTTCCGAGTCATCTTCTCTACGTCCTCCCCAGCACACCGGCCTCTCCAGGCTCCTCGGTTGCACTCTTGGGAAAGCCGAGCCAGAATTCCAGAAACAATGGCCCCCTCCCCACCTGTCACTGACGGAGGCAGAAACTCTTCCCGGGTCATCGATTAAGCAAGGACCGAGCAAAGAGAGGCAGTTTTGCTCTCCCTTGGGCAGCACCCCCACTCCCCACCCCCCAAGGCCCCATCCTGGAGGCTCCCTTCCTGGCTCTGACCTGGAAAGGCAGGTCAGCTGGGAAGCGGGTTTGTGCTGGCTACAGTGACAACTTGATTCTCATGAAAAGATAGGAGTTTGGCGCTCCAGGAGACCATGGGTTCCTTACAGGCTATGGTTTCAAGAGGAAGCCTGGGGACAGTTTCTCCTTAGGAATCTGCGTCCTCCTCCTCCGCAGACAAAGGGAGCGGCTTCCCTGCCATGCATTCCGAAGCCCCGAGCCTCCCCCTCCTCTCTCCATCTGCTCCGGCCTGTTGCTTCCGCGCATGTAGTGTGTAGCAGAGGCATTCGCCAATGCCGCGGCGTCCAGGGTACCCCAGCCCTAGTCTCTCCTCCCAGGGAGCCCGGCGCTTCCCTTACCCGACTGTAGCGAGAACCTCCGGGGAATCCCTTCTTCCTCCCCCAGTTCCCACACCCAGGACCCAGCTGCGGGGAGGCATCCCACACAGGAGACGCAGAGGCAGTGAGATCGGGGGTGAGGGGACGTGTGGCAAGCCCCAGCGTGCCTGAAGCAAAACAGGGTCAGGTCAGCCAAGGTGCCGGCCGCCACGGGATGAGGGCAGGAAGCCTTTGCGAAGGGCTGGGATTGCCTGTAGTCTGGGGCGGCCCTAGAATTTCTACATAGAAAGACTTAGGGCCACCAACTGCTGAAAAGCGGGGGCATGAAAGGGGTGGGGAGTGGATTGTTACCGACTAGGTTGAAGCTGGGTTTGCAAAACCACAACACTGATACTATTTGCATGGATGTTTAAGGGGGAGGGAGGATCCTGCGAGGATTCAGCGGAGTGAATCGCCTCCCACCACCACCTCTTGGTGACACTGCTGCACAGAAGTGCCGACTAGGTGGCCAAGGTGGGTTCACAGGGAGGGAGGTACCTTGGCAGGTTGGGAAGGTGGGAGCAGGCGGGGCGGGGTCAGGGGCGGCTGGCTCACCCGTGTCTTGGCGGAACTGGTTCATGGACTGCAGGTCGATGATGTAGGGCGCGAGACGGCTGTCCACCTGGCCCAGCACCACGCTGCCCCCCGCGCGGGGGCCGGCGCGGACCACCGCCTCGATGTGGTGGCTCACCGCTGGGCTGTAGGGACGCCAGCGGCCGTGCTCGTTCAGCCATTCCCAGACCACCACGGCCGAGGCCAGGAGCATGGCGAGCCCGGGGCTGCGGCGCTGCGCGGCCCGCCTCCCGGGCCCCGAGCGCCCGACCTCCTCCGCTTCCTCCTGCGCCGCCGCCTCCGGGCCTCGACCGCGCCCCCTGCCCCGCGCCCCGCCGCCCCGGGCAGCCTCAGCTCCGGCCCATGGGCTCCTCCCCAGCCGTGCATCCACCGGGGCCGGGACACCGGGGCCGCCTGGCTGGGACCGCGCGCCGCCGCCGCCGCCGGGGTCCGCTGCTGCTGCCGCTGCTCTGTGGGGTCGAGTCGCTTCATGCAAATGCCCGGCTCTCTGCAAACAGGCCCCCGCCTTGCAAAAGCCACTCGGCGGGCGCGCGGCCCGAGCCCCGGCGGCCGCGAGCTGGGGCTGACGGCGAGGCAAGGACCCAGCCCTCGCACCAGTTGCGCCTCGGCCTCTGCAGACGCCGGGGTGGGATCTCGCCGCACGGCCGCGCTCGGAATGGCACGCTCTGGTCCCCTCCCCTCTCTCCCTCCCTCCCCACCCCTTCGCCGCACGAATTGCAGTCCCCGCCGCTGGGAGAGCTCCCCCTGCCTGTGGCTCTGCTCAGTTCCTTCCAGAATGAACCACCCCTCCCAAGCAGGGCGCTAAGGCAAACCCGCGCCCGCGTGTGTTTCCCTGGTTCCTTGATGCAGAGAAGCGACCCGCCATGACACGGCCCCGGGACCACCACTGTCGCCCAGCCGCAACTTTGCAGCCTCCTTCCCCCAAATGTAATTTTCTCTCTCTCTCTCTTTTTTTTTCCTTAATGCAGCATGATCAGTGTCCGCAGCGCGAACTGGAGACACGCATTGTCTCGGGGCTTGCGCACGCACTGGCACACTCACAGTCGCACACACACGCGCGCGCACCCCAACTCCTTCCTTGCCCCGGCTCCTATTACCTCATCCTCTCCCGCATCCTTAGCTGTCCGTCAAGGAAGCAGAAGACACGCCCCCTGCTGCTCGGGCGAGTGCCCTGGAGCTTACCCGCCCCCTGCTGGCCTAAAGTGTCGTGTGCCGGCCAGTGGCCACTCCAACCTCTGCTAATGAGACCCAGTCCAAAGGGATGCAGCAATTTCGCTAATGATGGATTTATATTACCTACGTAGAGAGCAAATGTGGTTTTTCTGGCCAGATTCAACGTACTAGAGTCAGGAAGACGCATGTTAGATTAATTTTATCTGCATCGTTTCTGTAACTAAAATTATGAAACACTAGGAAAAACACGAGTTAGACTTATTTTGATCATCAATAGTTAATATGGAAAATAACCTTAAATAGGTAGGTTCTGACTAAAAGGGAAGACTGAAGTCAGGATTATGCATTATCCTTGTCAAAGAACACAAATTTTGTTTTGTTGAGATTGCAAACCACATAAAACAACGAATCGAGTCTTATCAAGATCCAAGTTATAGGATGCGGGAAAGTAAAAATAGATTATGTGTTAGAGAATGGGATTGTGAATCTTTTTGAAATAATCAATTTTTTCATAAATATCATATGACCCTTTTATGTTTTAGAAGAGTTGCTTCCCCCTCCCTCTCCTTGCAGCTGTCATTTCTCCCATTGTTAGAATTTTGCATCCTTCTACCTTTATCTTTCTCCCAACAGAGTTCTAAATACAAAGCAAAAGAAAAAGTGTGAGATCTGTTCTTCTTCAGGCCCCTAAAGGCACCAGGCTCAAGGAACCTCTGAGCTTTGTTCTTTCTGGTCTTCTTGCACAGCTTGGCCTCCAAAATGCCTAGTCGGCCTCTCCCTTATTTGGGGACTGTTCCTAATCCAACCTAAACAATACCACTCATTAAAATGTCGAGTTTCAGAATTAGAAGAACAAAAAGAAAACAAGGATACCTCGACTAATTATATCATAGGCCATTATTATTACCATTTTACAAATGACAGGACTTAAGGAATTTAAACTATTTGCCCTAGATTACATAGCTAGTTAGAGGGGAAACCAGTATTCAAAATTTAGTTGGGCTGTCTCAAAAGAAAATGCCTGTTCCATAGCATGTCCTATACAACACAGAGGTGGCACAATAACAGGCAATGTAGAAGTGTCTCAGTGTGAAAGAAGGGAAGGGAGAAAATGGGGGTAGAATTTTCTGGAAAAGAAACAGAAGGCAAACTGAAGAAAAAGTAATTTAAAAATTTATTGGGCTACTTTTATTTCTAGTCATAAAAATGGAAAGTATCAAAACTCAGGAAACTTTCTTATAGTCTTGGTAAGTATGAATCAAAAAGTGAAGAGTAATGATTCAAGGGGATATTGGAAGTACCAGCGAAAATATAGCACCTGACCAGCTAAGCCAGAAATTCCAAGGTGAAAAAAATCTAAACTAGATAAGCAGGCTACCAGCAAATGTTAGATGAGCTGTTTGAAAGGCGAATGGAAGGCAGAAGGAAACTGACGCCTACCTGCCTATGTCCAGCCTAGTTTTGTATCTGGTCTTCTTGTATCTTCCATGTTAAACACAACAGAGTATTACAGCAGAATAAAAATATCTTATGACATGTGAGAAGGTTTGTATGTAGTCTGATTCATTTGCAAGAGGAAGTGAATACACACACACACATACACACATATACACACAAATGAGAGGGGTCTTTAAAATTTTATGGAAAATGCATATTATGAAAAAACTAGGCTGGTAGTTCAAATTGTTTTTTTGCACCCAAATAAACTCATACTAACTTGTTATAACATGTCTGAACAGGATCTAGTTTGAGACACTAAGAAGGGTAAGACAATGCCCTTACTGAAGAGGATCAAGGATTAGCAGTCAAAACAATAGCCTACACCATAGATATGTCAACTGGTTCAGCTTACACAATTCTGACAAAGAAATTAAACTTTCCATTCCTTGATAGGTGCCAAAACCATTGCACCCAGGTTGGCCACAGACAAGAGCAGGCCTTTCAATAGAGATTTTAAATGGGTGGGATCAGGATCATGAAACATTTCTTTGAAGAATTGTAACAGGAGATGAAACATTACCAGTATAATCCTGATGACAAGGAACAACCAAAGCAATGGCTATCAAGAGGTAGAAGTGGTCCAGTCAAAGCAAAAGTGCACTGGTCAAAAGCAGAGACCATGGCAACAATTTTTTGGAGATGCTCAAGGCATTTTACTTACTGACTTTCTGGAGGGCCAGAGAACAATAACATCTGCCTAATATGAGAGTATTTTGCAAAAATTAGCAACAGCTTTAGGATAAAATACCTGGGAAAGCTTCACCAGAGTCGTTCTCCACCATGGCAATGTTCATGCTCATTCCTCTCATCAAACAAACGCACTTTTGTGAGCAATTTGATGGAAAATCTTTTAATCTGCTGTACAGTCCTGATTTGGCTCCTCTGACTTCTTTTTGTTTCCTAATCTTAAAAAATTTTTTAAAGAGCATCTGTTTTTCTATAGTAAAGTAAAACTGCATTGATATGGTTAGGGTCCCAGGACACTCAGTTCTTTAGTGATGGACTAAATGATTCATATCATCACCTACAAAATATCTTGAACTTGATGGTGCTTATGTTGAGAAATAAAGTGTACATTTTTTATTTTGTTTTTTAATTTTATTTTTCACAAACTTTTGGAAGTCCCCTCGTGTTTGTGTGTGTATGACTTGACATTAATAGTAAATTATAGATGTAAAATATTTGTATTTTAATAATCCATGATAATTTATAGTTTATCATGACCCAATTAGAAATAATAATTTATAATTATGTATAAATAATTATTATATATGTATATACATTTCTTAGATCTTCTAACACAATCCTAATTTCAAATAATCTGTACCATAAACCCTGAAAATCTCAGAAATTCCATTTTATTTATTTATTTATTTTTTGAGACAAAATCTTGCTCTTGTCCCCTAGGCTGGAGTGCAATGGCATGATCTCGGCTCACTGCAACCTCCTCCTCCCAGGTTCAAGCGATTCTCCTGCCTCAGCCTCCCCAGTAGCTAGGATTACAGGTGCCTGTGACCAGGCCCGGCTAATTTTTGTAGTTTTAGTAGAGATGGGGTTTCACCATGTTGGCCAGGCTGGTCTCGAACTCCGGACTCAGGTGATCCGCCCGCCTTGGCCTCCCAAAGTGCTGGGATTACAGGCATGAGCCACCGTGCCTGGCCGACATTCCATTTTAGTATCCAAACTATATCTCCCAAATTGTCTCCTGTACTCATAAGTGGCATAAAAATCTTTAACCAAATGATATGCCAAATTTTTAATTTGAACATATGATGGCTATAATAAAACCTCACTAATTGAGACTATGAAGCCAGTTTTGAACTGTTCAAAGGTACAATTTGATGATACTTCAAAAAAGGTCGTCATTGTCTAACACAAAGATTCAGTGAAAAAGCCGCTTCTCTTCTTTTTCTGTGGAATGTTCATAGACAAAGCCCTTTTTTTTTTCAATTACCTATTATTATGTAATAAAGCACCCTAAAACTGGTGGCTAAAAACAGCAGCAAGCGTTTATTTTTCAAACACATCTGCACTTTGGGGAGGGCTTCCAAGGACAGCTGGTCTTTGCTACACACAGCATTAGCTCAAGGGAGCTCTCAGGAAAGCAGGTGGCTGGAATCATCTGTAGGTTTGCTCATTCATAAGTCTACTGCTTGATACTGGCTGTTATCTGGGCACTCAACTAGGGCTATCAGCCCAAGTACCTACACATGGCCTGTCCATGTGATTGATGGGCATTCTCACAACACAGAAGTTAGTTTCCAAATAAACGAGAGGCAAGAGAAAAAGCCAGGCAGAAGATGCATTGCATTTTAATTTTTTATTTTAAAATAATTTAAATTCACATGCAGTTATAAGAAACAGACAGAGCCTGTGTATCCTCAACATCCCATAAAACTATAGGAAAACTATAGTGCAATACCATTGCTGATATTGACACAGTTAAGATACAGAATGGTTACAATTCTGCTCCATTATTGATATAATACCATTGTGTCACACATTATACAATACACATTTTGTATACAATATACATTTTCCACACCACAAGGATTTCTCATGTTGCCCTAAAAGGTCACACCCACTAATTCCTCCCCACTACCATCCTGTCCATAACTCCTGGCAATAACTAATATGTTCTCCATATTTATGATTTTGTCATTTCAAGAATATTATGCAAATGGATCATAGAGCATTCAATCTTTTAAGATAGGCTTTTTCCACTCAGCTTAATTCTCTAAAGATTCATCCAAGTTGTGTGTATCAAGAGAAGTTTGTTTCTTTTTATTGCTAAGTAGTGTTCCATAGTATCCATGGACCACCTTACTGTTCATCCATGGAAGTTCATATAAGTTGTTTCTAGTTTGGGCTATTATGAATAAAGCTACTATGAACACTCTCATCCAGGTTTTTGTGTGAAGGTAAAGTATCCATTTCTCTGTGATAAATGCCTAGGAGTACAATGGCAAGGTCATAGGGTAGTTGCATGTTTAGCTTTTTTAACAAACTGCCAGTTTTCTAAAGTGGCTGCACCATTTTGAATTTTCACCAGCAATATACCCATGATCTGGTCACTACATCTTCACCATCATTTTTTGGTCAGTATATTTTATTTTAGCCATTTTGGTAAGTGTGTAGAGTTATTTCATTGTTTTTAACTTGTTTCCTTATTGACTAATAATGTTGAACATCTTTCCATGCGTTTATTTGCCATATATGCTCTTTGATATCTGTTCAGGTCTTTTGCTGGTTTCTGTTTTCTATTATTGAAATTAGAGAGTTCTTTTTATATTCTAAATATTGGGCTGGGCACAGTGGCTCAAGCTTGTAATCCTAGCACTTTGGGAAGCCCAGTCAGGAGTTCGATTGCCTGAGCTCAAGAGCTGGAGATCAGCATGGGCAACATGGGGAAACCCTGTCTCTACAAAAAATACAAAAATTAGCTGGCCGCGGTGGTGCAGGCTTGTGGTTTCACCTACTTGTGAGGCTGAGGTGGGAGGATCGCTTGAGTCTGGGAGGTTGAGGCTGCAGTGAGCTGTGATGGTGATGTTGCACTCCAGCCTGGGCAACAGAGTGAATCCTAGTCTCAAATAAATAAATAAATAAATACTCTTGGTGGATATATAGTTTGAAAATATTTTTTCTCAATCTGTAGCTTATGTTTTCCATGCTCTTCATAGCGTCTTTCACAAAACAAAAGTTTTTTAATTTGATAAAATACAACTTACCAAATTTTTTTTTTCTAAATGGCTTCTGTTTCCCATGTTAATTTTAAGAACTCTTTGGCTAGTCCTAAGATTTGAATATTTTTTTCCTCTGTTTTGTTCTAAAACTTTCATACTTTTACAACTTCCATGTAAATCTACAATCCATTCTGAGTTAAATTTTTGTGTATGGAGTGAGGTTTGAGTGTCTTTTTATGTGTTTATTTGCCTATAGATGTATTGTCCTAGCGCTATTTGTTGAAAAGGCTTTTCTTCCTCCTTTGAATTGCTTTTGAGTCTTTGTAAAAAAATCAGTCTGGCATATTTGTGTAGATCTATTTCTGGTTTCTCTAGTCTGTTCCATTGACCTATATGTCTGTCCCTTCACCACTACTGCACAATGTTGATTAATAAGCTGTATTAATAAGCTATGTAATGTCTTATTGTAAATTGGGTAGATTGATTCATCTCACTTTATTCTTCTTCAAAATTGTTTAGGCTATTCTGGATCCTTTGATTTCCACATAAATACTAGAATAATCTTGTCTATATGTGCAAAAATTCTTGCTGGGATTTTGATAGGAATTGCATTGAAGCTGTATATCAATTTGAGGAGAATTGACATATTTTTACTGTGTTAAGTCTTCCAATCCATAAACACGATATGGATATGCTTCTCTATTTATTTAGATCTTCTTTGTTTTATGTGTTTTCTAGTTTTCAGCATACCTATCCAGTTCATTTTTTGCTCAATGTACACTTAAGTAGTTCATTTTGTTTCAGAGTGATTATATTAATAAATGGCATTCTATTTTTAATTTTGGTTCCACGTACTTATTGCTGGTACATATAAATACAATGGATTTTTGTATGTTTATTTAGTATCTTGTAAGCTTGCTAAGGAGTCCAAATCTGGGTCTAAGAGTTCTTTTATAGATTCCTTAGGAGTTTACATGTCATCTCCAAATAGGGACAATTTTGTTTCTTCATTTCTGATCCTTATGCTTTTCTTTTCTTTTCTTTTCTTTCTTTCTTTTTTTTTTTGAGACGGAGTCTTGCTCTGTCGCCCAGGCTGGAGTGCAGTGACGCAATCTCGGCTCACTGCAAGCTCCGCCTCCCAGGTTCACGCCATTCCCCTGCCTCAGCCTCCCGAGTACCTGGGACTACAGGCGCCCGCCACCACGCCTGGCTAATTTTTTGTATTTTTAGTAGAGACGGGGTTTCACTGGGTTAGCCAGAATGGTCTTGATCTCCTGACCTCGTGATCCGCCCGCCTTGGCCTCCCAAAGTGCTGGGATTACAGGCGTGAGCCACCGCGCCCGGCCGATCCTTATGTTTTTCATTTCCTTTTCTTGCCTTACTTAGAATTGTATTACCTGGAATTTCCAGTACTATGTTTAATACAGTTGTGAGAATAGACATTCTTGCCTTGTTTCTGATCTTAGATAACATCTAGTTTTTCACTAAGAACTGTGATAATAGCTGTAGGTGTTCATTTTAGATGTTCTTTATCAAGTTGAGGAAGTTTTCCTCTATCCTTATTTTTCTGAGAGTTTTTTAAATCATGAACAGATATTGAGTTTTATTAAATGCTTTTTTGGTATCAATTGATATGATCATGAGATTTTGTTTCTTCAGACTGCTAATATGGTGGATTGCATTGATTTTCAAATACTTAATGAGATGTGCATCCCTGGAATAAACCCCACTTTGTCATAGTGTATAATTATTATAAAATATTGCTATATTTCATTTGTTAAAGTTTTCAGGGGGCTGGGCATGGTGGTGCATACCTGTAGTCCAACTTCAGAGGTTAAGGCAAAAGGGTACCTTGAGCCCAGGATTTCAAGGTTACAGTGAGCTATGATGAGCCACTGCACTCCAGCCTGGGTGACAGAGGAAGAGCCTGTCTCAAAAAAAAAAAAAAAAAAAAAAATTGGCGGTGGTCTATATTTATAAAGAATCTTGGTGTATAGTTTTCTTTTCTCTTTCTTTTGTTAAATTAAGCTTAGCCTAAAGCTACCTCCTTACATACTTTAAGTTTAACCTAAACGTTTCTCAATACATAGTGAACTATAACTTAACCGAATGTGGAAACAGACTAGCCTACTTTTGTAGCAACTACCTGAGTCTCAGCCAATCACAGAAGCAATACTTCAACCACTCACAGGAGGCCAACTGTTCCAATAGTGTTCAAACAAGGTAAATGCTGCGCTGTAGCCAAGGCAACTGTTTCTTTTCTTTTCTTTTTTCTTCTTTTTTAAACTTTTTATTTCAAAATACTTTCTAAAATTGTATTTTAAAATTGACACATGATTGTACATATTTATGGGGTACATAGTGATGTTTTGATACATATAATATATAGTGATCAGATCAGGGTAACTAGCATATACGTCCACCTCAAACATTTATCATTTCTTTTTGTTGGGAACATTTAATATCCTCCTAGATATTTGAGTTGCTCTCTTATTGTATAGAAACAAGGCTGCTGTTTCTATACCTCACTTTCATTTTCTCTAAGCTACTTTCCTTTCTCTGTCCATAAATTATCTTCAACTAAGTGGCAGTGTTGGAGTGTCTCCCAATCTATTCTAGTTCTGTGGAGTTGCCTGATTCTCGAATTGTTCTTTGCTCTGTAAAATTCTGTTAAATTAAATTTGTCTAAAGTTTGTCTTTTAATACTTTCATTTTGGGAGGGGTGGTATCAGAATAATACTAGCTTCATAAAAATGAATTGGGAAGTTTTCTACCCTCTTCTATTTTCTGAAACAGACTGTATAGAATTGGTGTTAATTCTTCTTTAAAAGTTTGATAGAATTGTCCAGTAAAAGCATCTAGCCCTGGAGATGTCTTTTTCAGAAGATTTTAAATTACAAATTCAATTTCCTTAATAGAGCGCTATTCAAATTACCTATTTCATATCGGATGAGTTGTGGTCATTTGTATTTTTTAAGGGATTGGTCCATTTTATACAAGTTGTCAAATTTATGTGTGGAGTTGTTCATAATGTGTGCTTATTATACTTTTGATATCTTCAAGGGCTGTGGTGATAACATGGCTTCATTCTTGATGTTATTGGCAATTTGGTTTTCTCCCCCCACCTCTCCCTTTCTCCTTCCCTCCTTCCCTGCCAGTCTCGCTAAGCAGTATGTCAATTTCATGTATTTTTTTTTTCAAAAGAACCAACTCATTGTTTATTTTGGCTCTTATCTTTATTATTGTCTTAATTTGGCTACCTATTTTGCTCTTTTTTTAGATTATTATAGTAAAAGCTGATATTATTGGTTTGAGGCTTTTCCTCTTTCCTAATGTAAGCATTTAGTGCTATTGATTTTCCTCTCACCATGGCTTTGGCTGTGTCCCACAAATTTTGAGACGCTTTATTTTCACCTTTATTCAGTTCAATGTCTTTTTAAATTTCTCCTGAGTCTTCTTCTTTAACCTACGCACTATCTGAGGTGGGAGGATCATGAGGTCAGGAGATCGAGACCATCCTGGCTAACAAGGTGAAACCCCGTCTCTACTAAAAATACAAAAAAAAAAATTAGCTGTGCGTGGTGGCGGGAGCCTGTAGTCCCAGCTCCTTGGGAGGCTGAGGCAGGAGAATGGCATGAACCCGGGAGGCAGAGCTTGCAGTGAGGCGAGATCGCACCACTGCACTCCAGCCAGGGTGACAGAGTGAGACTCCGTCTCAAAAAAAAAAAAAAAAAGAAAGAAAGAAAGAAAGAAAGAAAGAAGTGAGAAGTGTGCTGTTTGGCTTTCAAATGTTTGGAGGTTTTTCTGTTATTGTTAGGTTATTGATTCCTAGTTTGATCCCATTGTAGCCCAGAGGACACACTCAATATGATTTCAACTCTTTCAAATTTGTTGAGGTTTGTGTCATGGCCTAGGATATGATCTATCTTTGTATTCACTCTGTGGGTGCTTGAAAAGAATGTGTACTCTACTGTTGGATGAAGTGTTCTATAAATGACCAGTAGACCCTGTTGGTTTATCATGTTGTTCCGTTCTTCCATATCCAGGCTGATTTTCTGTATAGTTGTTCTATAAGTTGTTGAGAGAGGAGGATGTTGAGTTCTCTAACTATAATTGTGGATTTGCCTATTATCCTTTTAGTTATATCAGGATTTGCTTAACATATTTTGTCACTTTGTTGTTTTGTGCTTGCACACCTGTAATTACTGTGTCTTTTAGGTGATCAATCCTTTTATTATTATATAATAGCACTCTCTGTCTCTGGTAATTTTCTCTGATCTGAAGTCTATTTTATTTAATATTTATAGTGGTGGACTTGGACCACACATTATCAGCACCACTTCTGGAGGATCTGGAGACTAAGGTCAGCCATATCTACATGAATAGCCCCCAGTAAAAACCCTGACACTGAAGCTCAGGTGAGCTTCCCTGGCTGATGATACTTCATGTGTATTGTCACACATTGTGGCTGGGAGAAATAGCACTATCTATACAACTCCACTGGGAAGAGACAGCTGGGGCATAAATCTGAAAAGACTGAACAAGCTCTATATGAAGAAAACTACAAAATTCCGATAAATGAAATCAAAGAATGACTAAATACATGGAGAGATAGTCAATGTACATTTATAGAAAGGCTCAGTATTGTCAAGTTATCAGTTCTTCCCAACTTGTTCTACAGATTCATTGCAAATGCAATCAAAATCTCAGCAAGTTAGTTTGGATGGGAAGGAGGGAAATTGCTCAAATAAATGGTATTTTTTCACTTTCAAATTCCAGTTGGTACAATGCACAGCTGGAATTTGAGAGATAATTCTCTCAAATAAATAAAATAATAAATAAAGGGAGAATTTATTTTATTTGGAATTTCGGAGAGAATTCTCATTTTTCTCACAGCAATTGATTTAGGGGATGTAACTGATTTTTACTCTCTCCCTTCTCTGGTGTCCATTCTATATCAGCCTCAGCCTCAGGTAATGCTTCTCCTAGTATTGGTGTCTTACCTGGTGGCAGGACCCAAATCTTCATTTCTGAGGGGTCTGAGACCCTGGCTGCCATGCTATTTTCAAGCTATGGTGGTGTAATTGTCTGTTTACTATCAAATTTGGTCAAGTAGGGTCCAAATGGATCATGTGAGTGGCAAACACATTTCTCCCTGCCCTTACTGTGTCACATAAGCACTTCCTCCTCCTGAAGAACTGGGTTAATTGCCTGAGCCCAGGCAATGACTCTTCTTGCATACTGGTCTCTGGATACAAAGTCTTTGCAGTGACAGGCAGAAGCTATAGCTTAGAGTTCAGCAGGACTCTTTCCGTGTCCCCTGGCAGAAGTGTGCCCCCACAGGGAATCAGGACCTTTCATCCTACAGAGCCCTGACCTGGGGGCTGGCAGGGGCATGGATGGCAGAGGGAGAGACAGGAAGCACAAATTCCCTAAGTGTGTTATTAGGGATACAGATAAAGCTAAGCAGGGCCCTTCCTGCCTCTACCCTTTGTTTCCCAGGCTGATGTATAGGCCTACATAGGTCAGATACCTGACATGGGTCTCGCTGGACTAAAATCAAGGTATCATTATGGCTCAGTTCTCTTCTGGAAGGTTTAGAAGAGAATCTGTTTCCTTGCCTTTTCTTTCTCCTAGAGCTCACTCACATTTCTTGGTTCATGACCCCTTCCCCCATCTTCAAAGCCAGCAGTGTTGCATCTCTCTGTGCCTCTTTCATGGTCACGTTTCCCTCTGAATCTCTGATTCTCCCTTTTCTCACCTTTAAGAATCATCGTGCTTACATCAGGCTATCCAGATATCCAAGATAACCTTGCTATCTTAAACTTAGATGATTAGCGGTCTTAATTCCCTTTTCCCATATAACCTACATGGTCATATTCCAGGGATTATGGTGTGAACATCTTTGGGAGCCTGCTCCACACATTTGTCATACAACTCACTTGTGGTCTCCTTTCCTGCTCATGCTGCACAATGCTAGGCATTCCAACTCCATCATACGAGAGACTGGTTTTTTGGCCACACTTGACATTATGACTTGATAATTCTGATAGAACTCACTAAAAAATGGCGAGATTTGGATGCAGAGTCACTTAATGTCTCATGGTTAGGTGCTCCCTACCAGGGCCCAAAAGGTATATTCAAACAGTATATAATTCAAAAGGAGTTGTTATTCAAAAGATATATAACTATCCACTGCAAAAAACACGGGCTTTCTCCAGAACCCCAAAACTTTGCCTTGTAATTTTCCCACTTGGGCTTGCTATCAACTCCACATGGTATCTTTTCCCACATCTGATACCAGAGGGTCAGCCAGGGCACATGGTCCAAGCAGCTGTACTGTTTTCACTATAGCTTGGATCTTCTGGGACCCTTTCCTAATCCAGACCCCACTCAAGGCTGGCAGCCTATAGCATCCCCTGTAAATTGGCTGAAACAGTATACCCATGCATGGAATATGCTACCTTCAGAACCCAAAGAGATTTATCAGGCAGTGTACTTTCTTTTTCTTCATGGGGTATGCAAGATTCAATAATTCATCCTTTTCTTTGGATGGGTGGTCTTAGCATGCCCCTGATTTAGGGGGCCTCTGATTCCTCACGGGGTTTATTTCCTGTCACCTGAAATGCATGTGTACCGGCACCTCCAAGGTAGTTGATTACTTCTTGCCATCTGGCCTAATTAGCATGTTAACATCGATATAGTAGACAGGTGTGATGGTCTGAAGGAAGTACAAGTAGTCCAAATCTTTTCTATCTATATTATAACAGAAGGAACACTATATCTAATATAGTCCTGGGGCAAAAATACACATGTACACTGTTGTCTATTCCATGTGAGTGGAACTATTTATGATCCCTTTTTCTGATAGAGATAGAAGAGAATGCATTAATTCAACTGATGGCCACATACCATGTACCTGATTAAATGTGCATTTGCTCTAGCAAAGATTCCACATCTGGCACAGTGGCTGCAACTGGGCCCACCAGTTGGTTGATTTTGTGATAGTGAATGGTCATTCTCCACAACTGATGAACTAAATGCATACATGACAGGGAGCATCATTTCTGTATCCTTTAGATCCTTAAGGATGGCACTAAGTTTCATGCCTTGTGCCCATTGGAGTCATCCAGTGAAAAGTGGAGCAGAGTGCCCTAAAGACTTACAGTGCTGAGGAGATAAAAATTGGAGTTCTGAATTCGATAACGCAGGAAGTGGGAGGACACTAGTAAACATCCCAAGGCCTCAGCTGGGGCCCTTCCAGGCTACACTCTAGAAGTGAAGCCAACCAGAGGTAGACAGAGCCTTGGCATTATACAACTGAGTCTCAAGTTGATTTTATCCATGACTGAAATCTGATCATTAAAAGGTCTGATTGATAATCAGACCTCTTAATTGATAATCAGACCTTAATGATCTGATTTCACTCTGTATCAGGAGGATACAGTAAACCCTCCTTGGAGGAAAATAACATAATTCAGGTGACAAAGTAAGAGATAACATTTCACCCGGAAAGGCATCTGACATTTTCTTTTCTTGTAAAACCAATGTGACGCCAAGACCACCCTGGCTGAGCTCTTGAATATACCATTTTCATTTAACTGCTTTTTTGGCCTTTTGGATTCTCCCTTTGTTAGTCAACCAGTCTTAGTTGACCCAAGACCCAAAAGGGATGCCAGATGGAAGAGGCATCCTTGAGTCAGGCAGTGGATCTCAAGAGTTTGGCAGCAGGGTAATTGACAGCTGCCTTTATTGGTGTGTACTTGTGGCTACCTCCAGTAGGTGGCAATGTTGTCCTAGGAAATGGCCTCTGAGCGCTTCTGTATTTAAGCAAAGCTAGGATTTCCCATTCTTTTGAAGAGTCTATATTGTTGTTGCTAGACTACTGAGAGGGGACAGGGAAACAAACTGAGAGGATGATCTACATGTCCCACAGGAAGCAGTTGCTGAACAGGGTGATCCTCTCTGACACGAGATGAGGAAGTGAAGGCACTCAACATCATTCCACAACAACGGTATCTTGAATCCGCCCAAGGAGCTCCATCTATAACGTTACTTTAGCTTTCTTTCTCTCACAGCAAATCATACCTAAACTCCATCAGTTGAATTCGTTTGCTTTTCCCCCTGTAGGAGCATAATGAAAATCAGGCTCCAACAATTGTGCCTGTCTAGGAGCCCAGGGAAGTTCAGGGTGAGAGGGAAAGGACAGCTAGGGTGGCAAATGGAAGACAGCAGAGAGAGAGAGGGAAGAAAACTTAGTTGCTAGCCTTTTCCCTCCTTTAACTCCTTGCTGCAGGGTCAGAATCTAAGCACAAGTGTCAGTTCTTTTCCATGCACCTCTCAGTATTTGGTGAACACCCAGGCCCAGAGATCCCTTTCTACCCCTATGTACACTGCCTCAGCTCCATCCTTTAGTCCTTGGTGCCTTTGGCCATTCCTGTGCCCAACATCTTGTTCTCTTACAGGACAGGGTAGGATGGTGACTTGGACACCTGAATCCAACAGAGCCATAAGCTTGAGCCCTTCCCTCCCTGAAGTTCCCCAGTATATGCACACAGGTGTGCATGGCCTCCGTCCCATTTGGGGACAGAGATATCTCAGTTGCATTCTAATTATCTTTCTCTAAAAGCAGCTGAGGTTGAGGCAGAAGGGAAGGGATGGGTTAAAGGGGGGCAAAGGGGAAGGAAATTGGCTACATGTATTTTTAGTTTTGAATGACTAGTTTGTATTCAATCAAATAAATTTCAAATGTTTTGTTCGCCCGAAGCTATATATCAAATAGCAAGGTCCTTATTGCTGACACCATGTATTTCAACTTCAGGGATTCTTCACTCAGTAGCCACAACCACGTTGCTTTTCTGCTGGGCTGTGGGGCTTGCTGCTCCATTGTCATGAGAGCATCCCTTCCTGTTCCTGCCCAGAGGAGACTGAGTCACATGAGTGACAACCAAAGAATCATTTGGGTGGCTTATTTCAATTCTACCTCTGGCCACTCAGACTCATTAGCAGGTAGGTCAGTGGGGGACCCTTAATTCACTCGCCCTTACCCCCACTGCACCTTCTGGAGAAAGTACAGCCCTGCCAACACCTTGACTTCAGGTTATACATTTCTGTCCTCTCATGACTGTGAGAGACTAAATTGTTTTAAGCCACCCAGTTCATAACAAATTACCCCAAACTTGGTGGCTTGAAACTACAGAAATCTACTCTCTTATTTCTGGAGACCAGAAGTCTGAAATTAAGATGTTATCAGGGTTGGTTCCTTCTGGAGGTTTTGAGGAGAACCTGTCCATGCCTCTCTCCTAGCTTTTAGTGGCCTCTGGCAATCCCTGGCAACCCCTGGCTTGTAGATGTATCTCTCCAATTTCTGTCTCCATCTTCACATGGCCTTTCTTTCTCGGTTTCTCCTCTGTGTTTCTTCTTTACTTATAAGGATGCTCGTTACTGGATTTAGGGCTCACCCAGTAAGTGCAGGATGATCTCATCTCTTGAATCTTAATTTAATTACATCTACAAAGCATTTTTGTCTAAATAAGGTCACATTTATAGGTATATAGGGTGAGGATAGTGCCTGCCCTTAGGGGCAGGCACAGTTAAACCCACTACAACCTTGTTTAATCCATTATCCCATTTCAAAGAGAGATCTGGAGTAGAATGTGATAGTGGGTTAGCTCTGTAACCAGGAATTGGATGAGTGAGTGGTGATAAATCCAGACCTAAGCTGAATTTTCTAGCTACCTGGTCTTGAGAGCTAGGACAAGAGAAAATCAGAGAAAGGTATTTGCTGCATTCTGAAATGCTTATATTTCTTAAGTGATCCAAGGTGGGTGTACTTTAGATGCAGGAATGGCCATAGTAGTGTCTGGATCTGATGAACTAGCTCTTAGGAGAAAGAACAATAAGCTATATTTCAAGATATAAGTCCCAGTCTTTTCCAAGATATCACCAATTTGGGTAAAAATTCAGTTATACTTCCTTCTCACACAGGCAACAGGTATAATAATATCTGCTCTAATGTGTATTGAGATAATATGTCAGAAATTATTTAATAAACAGTAAAGCCACGTAAGTTTAAGTCTCTGTGACGATTAGGCAGGCATTAGACTTGAAACCATATTTGAAATGATACAGTCAGTTCTCATTATTTGTGGTAGTTATGGTCTATAAAGATGCTGCAAATATTGAATTAGCAAATACTGAAGCATTGCCTTTAGGAGTAACACAGTGTTAAATTCATATTATCTTCTGGTCACAACATTTTCATCAAAGTCAGTAAATAAACTTGCTTTATGTGTGTTTCTGTTAAAAATACAGCTTATTTAATATATATTGTTGATTCCTTAACATTGAACTCACAGCCCAAAATGCCATAACTCCTGTCTGAAAAGCTTATCTAATACATATGTTTTCTTTATAAGGCATATTGCAGCCATCTTTTGGTAGGGAACACTCGACAGAACCTCAGTTTTATGCATGGGACCCATTTAAGCACTTAAGCAGAAAAATCACCACCAACAACAAAAAAGAAAAATGTGGAAAATGTACTAACTATATAAACAGAATCTGATTATATAGCATTCTAGAAGATGCAAAACCATAAAGATAGTAAAAAGATCAGTGATTTTTTTTTTTTTTTGCTGGGGTTCAGGGGAGAGGGGAGGGATATGAGGGATACATAGGTGAAGCACAGATTTCTAGGGTGATATAACTATTCTGTATGATAAAACCCATAGAACTTTACAGCACAGAGTGAATCAATGAATACACATTAAAATATCATTTAGGAGGTCAAGGGGTCAAAGGAAAGAATTCAAACTGTGACAAGAAAATCTAACTATTATATTATGTATAACTGTACTATAAGCATATAAAACGTCACTGAAGGAGGTAAGAAACAACAGGGTGACTGAAATAACTTTGGGAATGAATGGAATATATAAGACTAAAAGCAGGGAAATTGCACATAGGCACTGTATTCTAGTTGATAAAATTATTTCCCATTGAGGTAGAGGTTAACAATTCTGACACTGCTATATATGTATACTTGGATTAAGCAATTAAGTGAATGTGTGAGGGATGGCAGGCATCACGCTTCCAACTGTTTGGAGTTGGAATTTACAGATAAGCAAGGCATATATACATATGTGTACATATACATATGTGGGTAAATATACACACAAATATTTCTTTGCCCTGTCAGCTGAGGGGGCCTAAAAGAAACAACACGCCACCAGCAATGAGCATATCTAGTGCCTAGATCTTGGTTTCTAATGCCATTCTTCATTAAAAGTCACCAGGTGTTTCACGGTGAGCAGGTCAATGCAAACCTACCCCAACCTACCCCCAAAGACCAAAGAAGCTGAGAGGCCAAAGAAAGAGGCTGACAAATACGGTTTCTCAGAAAGAAACATTTAATAGGAACTTACAAACAGAAGCAATGTTTCTAGCAGCCACTAAATGGCGGCACTCACCCTCCCAAAAGTACCCTTTATATAACAAGCATTTTTGGCAAAACGTGTAGCTAGTCATATCTCAGACTTTCTTGTGAAACACCTGAACACTGGGGAGGTTAGATAAGCATCTTTATGAGGGGTTATCTGTACTACCGGCACTGTTTAAAGACATTGCTGCAGAATATCTTGGTATGCAGGAGTCAAACAGCAGTCATCATGCCAGCTGCTCTTCAAGATGACATCACTCTTACAATGCAACAGGCTGTTTTCCTACACTCGACCCCTCGAAACCAGTCCTTAAAATCTTACATGCCTGCTTCTTCTGTGATAGTCCCTGGACCTAGAGGGAGGGTGCTTGATATTGTATGGCTTTAGTAGTATTGCAATGGAAATGGAAAACAGATTGGGTCCAGTGGAATTCCACAAGAGGGAGATTTGCAGGCTTGGTTGAATCATCTATATAGTCTTCATAATACCATGAAGAAGTAAAACAATGAGAAATACATAACATTAATAATTGGAGTAGTAGAAATCTAAATAAAGTAATATGATGTTTAAGATATCCCTTGCCTTAATAGCCTATAAATATGGGAAGAGTGACTATCATCTTCTGAATTTCAAGACCCATATATTCCGACAGTTTCAGTAATATGAAGATTTTGGAAATTCTAAAAGGTTTTGAGATCATTTCTAATCAAGCATTTAGCTCTTATGTTAGCATTAATTGCAGCCCCAACTTTTGCAACTTATTGACCTGCACATTTTTCTGAGCACTTACTTTCCTTATGTCAGATGTAGGGAATCATGAGATGAACAAGTTTTGGTTCCTGCACTGTAGCAAATGAATTTAGGCAAAGATATGAAAGATGAAAAAACCCTATGACTATATGACTTTTAGTGTCATGAAACTGATTACTATATAATCTTGTTATTCTTCCCATTGCTTGACTTTAAAATAGGGCAAGTTAGCCAGGTGCAGTGGCTCAAACTTGTAATCCCAGCACTTTGGAAGGCCGAGGCAGGTGGATCACGAGGTCAGGAGTTCGAGACCCGCCTGACCAACATGGTGAAACCCTGTCTCTACTAAAAATACAAAAAAAAAAAAAAAAATTTAGCTGGGTGTGGTGGCGTTTGCCTGTAATCCCAGCTGCTCAGGAGACTGAGGCATAAGAATCGCTTGAACCTGGGAGGTGGAAGTTGCAGTGAGCTGAGATCGCACCACTGTACTCCAGCCCAGGCGACAGAGTGAGACTCAGTCTCAAAAAAAAAAAAAAAATTTGGGCAAGTTATAGTCCATCTCATAGTGTTGTTAGGACTAATTTCTTCATGTGCTTAGAAAAATGCCTGGCAGATAGGAAATGGTCAATATTATTATTATTGATAAGATGACCATTTTGGAGTTTAGAAAACCATTTTCAATGCCTATGAAATAACAACTCCATAAGCCATTCCCTTAAATCCAGTAGACTGAATTCTCACAAGTCCTCATCACTCATCATTTCTACATCCTGCTGATTTACAAATACTTCTTCATACCATGGTTTATGTCTTTGCTTAATATCAAGGAGGATGGATTCCATGGTAGAGCCAAACTCAATGATACTACGAGTCTCATTTTGGTAAGTATAAGCAAAGCCAGCAGCATGCATGGCCACCAATGAACCTTTTGAATCAAACACAGGGGAGCCGGAAGCCCCAAAGAAAAATTCAGTGTCATAGGTAATCACATCAGGGTTGTGAACTATTTTCTGGAAACTTCTTTGAGTATACATATGGACATACTCTGGACTTTCTGCTTTTTTAGACTGAACACGTTCCTGACATTTCTTTGCTCGCTGACCCTGAGGGATCACAGCACAAGCATCAATCTGCTTTTTTTCTCCATATGGATGGCCAATAATATGTATCAACCCACTAAGTGGCACAGGAGTAATTCCATTATATAGTTCCATAGGTACTTGTTGTCCATTTTCCTTCAGTTTCAGGACAGCATAGTCAAGCTCTTCATTATGTATCTCAAACCAAGGTTCAACAAAAAAGTAGTTTGTTTCCTTGTCTTTTAGCTCTTCATAACCAAATGTCACCCTTACACATTGACCAATTATGGTTGCCCACTTACTTGGCTCTATTCCGTCTCCCACAATGCTATCTATTACATGCCGACAAGTTAAAATGAACAATCCTTTAAAAACAAAGCAGGTGGCGTAACCCGTAGTTGCACTGTCCCAGAATAAGTACCCAACTGAGTCACTGAGACGTACAAGAAGTTTCACTACTTTAATCGAAGAAGAATTTTTTGTTACTTTCCCAAACGTTGTTCTATGCAATTCAAATAATGTTTCCCCATTTTTTACTTTCATTTTTTTCTTGAAGTTTTCAATGATTTTTTCACTTTCTCTTTTCAAACTGGGGTACTGAGCCACGATTTGTTCTCTCAACACACAGGTGTTTCTTTTCTCTGACTCAGGATTCTGAGAAGCTGCTGCACTGGGGACCATTCTTTTCTCAACCTCAACCTGAAAGTATCTGCCTTCTAATTCATCAACTGGCTGGGTGCTTTCTAAAATGGTGTCATTGTTTTCAATGAGTTTCCAATCATCATTCTCCAGAAAGGAAAGAAATCTGCCATCCTTGCACAGTGCATCCTTGATGGTTTCTCCTTTGAAAGCATAAACACAGAGTTTGCGCCCCTTTTTGTGAAGCTTCCCACATTTAACAATCCTTCTTTTACACTTCCCAATTCCAATTGCATGAATGTAAAATTTGACACATTCAGTCGATGCTTTGTCCTGCCTGCCAAATATGTGGTTATCTTCCTTCTGCTTACTTTTACTTTGGGAAAATGTAATGACCACCTGGCCACCTTCAGGGAAACAACTGAGGGGCATTCCAAGGTTTATGTACTCTTTGATTCCTTCTGTGCCACGCACAAGCATTTCTTGGCCTTGGTGAGTTTCTATCTCTTTTCTGACAGCCTGGAGAGTGTTGAGAGCCATATATAAGCTACTATTCTCACTATGTGTGAGCTTAAGTTTCATATCTTGGTTTCTCCTGTGGTTTACCTTCAAGGTAACATATATTGTCCTATTTTGGGGCATGGTCTGGTCTTCTGGATTTTTCTTAGGTGAATGGAATCTTTGAGCCTGGGTATTAGTTGTGGCTCTTGGGTCTCCTCTAGACTCCATCCTCATTAGAGAAGTACTGCAATTATTCTGTTGCTCTTTAGAGACCTAAAAATAAATGTTAGATACTTTAAAACTCTGAATGCAACCCGAGTCTTTTGTTTCTCTTTTCAGGTATGCAATTCACAAAATTCCTATGAGAAACTGAGAACCAATCTAAAAGGGCCAGTGAATAATATTAAATCAGTGTTTGACATGGGATCCAAAATGAAAGCGGAGCTTCCTATAACCTCTGTCAGATAAACTCTTGGTACCACTACACTAGTGCATTCTTCTGAAAAATATGAGGGAAGAAAAAATTTTTTCCCAGGTGCCTCAAAAACAGAGATTCTTAAAAGTTCACTAGTGGCCGGGCATGGTGGCTCCCACCTGCAATTCCAGCACTTTGGGAGGCCAAGGCGGGTGGATCACCTGAGGTCAGGAGTTTGAGACCAGCATGATCAACATGGTGAAATCCCGTCTCTACTGAAAATACAAAAATTAGCTGGGTGTGGTGGCACATGCCTGTAATCTCAGCTACTTGGGAGGCTGAGGCTGGAGAAATGCTTGAACCTGGGAGGTGGAGGTTGCAGTGAGCGGAGATAGCACCATTGCACTCCAGCCTGGGCAACAAGAGTGAAACTCCATCTCAAAAAAAAAAAGTCCACTAGTATTTGAAATAGTTTTATTTCAGGACTTGTTTATTATCTTCAGCTATATAATTTTTATATTTCCTGAGGACAATAATGAATTACAGCAAAAAAAAATTGTTCTTGAAATACTGAATTCAGCGATAAGCTACCGCAATTTATTATAAGCATTACATATTAAACAAAATCATTATTTAACTAATCATTTGGTTATAATGTAGTTATTTGTAACAATAAATACTTTGATTTGCCCAGCATATATCATGAAAAGAACTCTATTTTCTCTATTACATCAACTAATCCCCAAAGTTTATAAAATAAGGAGGAACAAACATGACTTATCTATCCTTTTGATGGAGAAACTAAGGCACAGAAAGTTTTTCTTGTAGACGTCTTTTCTAGGGTCACATAATAACCAATAAATAAAGTGAGTATCAAAATTGCAATTCCCAGTCCAATTATATTTTCCACTGGACTAGTGTATACATTCTTTTTTGTAAACTTTATATTTATGATTGCCATTTTTGTAGCGCATTATCTTAAGAAACGGGGGTGGAGGTGGGGAGAGGAATTAAATAAAGAGGCTTAATCAAATAGTAGAAACTCAGTGAAAAATTAGAGTGTCTGTTTCCTATGTCTAAAAAACACATTTTTCCCAAGTCATATTCATCATGGCATGGGTACCAGCAGATATGGGTCCGTATGCCAGCAATGCCCCTTACTACTACTGGGAATAACAATGCTAGGAATATTGTAAAGATTAAGTGTAGCATCATTGTATGACAATGCCTAGCACAATGACTAGCACATAATATGTTAACATTTGTTTTCCTTCTTTATACTAATATTCCAGATCAAAAATAAATAAATAAAAGGGACTTAAGGTAATGCAGATTTACCCTGGGCTCACATATAAACTCTCAAAGAGCATCCCTTCAGCCTAATGCTGTCAGAAACATCTTTGTCATGCACCCTATTAGAGTACTATAATAAATTTCCTATTTATTAAAATGATTCTTGGGCAGATATAGACACTTCTGAAAGGGGAAGAGGAATAGGATATAGTAATTAGCTCTGTCATGGAATAGGATAGAGAAAAACATAACTAAGTTTGCCTTAGACTTTTTAGATACTTGGATATTCTAGTTTTCCAGAACCAGGACAAAACAAAACAAGTTGAGAAATTGTAAGCTTCATACTCAAATGTTTACCATTCCTCAACTTTTTTCTTGATAAATTCAAGGAGAATTTTAGACTCAGGGAAAGATACAATGGTTTGATATGATAACAGAGCCCAATCAGTAGAAAAAGGCCCAACTACATGTCATTAAACTTAACTCCAAGTCTTCACTTCATTCCTGCCTTAAGCAACAACTCACTTTCTCCCTCTTCTCCAATAAACAAATTGAAGATTTGTCAGAATCCTTCCTGACTTCCTAACAAGGTTATGGTAAGAACAAATATATTAAAAAAATTGTTTTATAAACTATATTCAAATGTAGGTTATAATTACAATTGAATAGATCAGCCACGTTTGGAATGGTATATGTTTTCATGCTATGAAATGGTATTAATTTTGGTTTATTACATAGTTTACTGTAACATATTGTATTGAAGTTTTTGTTGTTATTCAAGAAATATTACAATAGTTTTTCATTAAAGACTGCTTTGATATAGCCAAGATTTGTATTACAACTCTCTTCCCCATGCCGCCCCCAAAATAGAAAGGATAAAACAAGTAAGGACAATTTTAGTTTATTTAATATGCCCAACACTCAAGGTAATTTCTTGGCAAGAAGAACTATAAAACCCAATGCCAAGGATAGGTAAGTCTAATATTGGTAAACAGGCTTTAGTATCTGTGAGTTCTGTATCTATGGGTTCAACCAACTGCAGATTGAAAATATTTTGGGAAAAAAAAAATGAGTGTGCCTGAACTAAACGTGCATGACTTTTTTTTTCTTGTCATTATTCCCTAAGCAATACAGTATATCAACATTTTACAGAGCATTTACCTTGTATTAGGTAATACAAATAATCCAGAGATGATTTAAAGTATACAGGAGGATATGATACATTATATGCCAATACTATGCCATGTTATGTGAAGAATTTGAGCATTCATGGATTTTGGTATCCAAGAGAGGTCCTGGAACAAATCTCACATGGATACCAAGGGATGACTAGATTACATAAGTAGAATTTACAGACATACCGGAGAAAAATAGTGCTCGATTTTCATATTACATTTTTCATTGACTGAGTGCTTCCGTGACCTCTGCTTCTTACAGCTCATGATGGCTTGAAGATGAACGGATGGTTCAGCTGAAACACTAATTTCAAATTTTCAAATTATAGCAGTATCTTCAAAGCTGTCATTAATTGTACAGAGGAAAAGATTAGCTGGTGTCCTGCGTCCCATCTTTCCCCTTAGGCTCCAACCTTGCTCTCCCTGGAGATGGTACCTTAGCAAATAGATAGTTTATTCACCAACTATAATCACCTTAACAATAAAAGCTCTCTTTTCGAGAACACTGCGTGTCAGGCACTTCATGAAAATTATACTAAACACTTTATGAAAATTATCTCTAGCTGCAAATTCCTGCGGATGCTATGCAAATTAGGTATAGCTACACTTTGCTGATGGGGAAAGTATAGCTTAGAGAAGGTAGACGAACTGCCCAAGGCCAGAGCTATGTGGCAGAGATGGAATTCAAATGCAAGTATAAATAATAGAATAATTTTCAGTTGGAAATTTCAAAAAGCTGTTCTAGTTACATTGATGTTAAAATCTGTTATTCATTTAAGATGAAGATGGCAAGGGGAGATAAAATTACAGGGAAGTGGTGAGGATAGAGCTGAGGAAAGAAACTTGGAATGAGATTTTAAAAAGAAATCTGGAAAGTTTGCTAGGGATGATAGTCAGAAACCTTAGTTGCTGCTTTAGATTTTTTGTTTAAAGAGGTATTTTTCCTTCTATCTCTCCTCTGATGTCTCCCTAGAAGAGGATGAACAAACTTTAAATAAAATAGTGACATCTTCAATAGTAATAAATACCGCTAGAAAGATAAATACCATTGAGGGCAGCAGCCATGTCTGTCCTTAGTACCTCAATATTTCAAAACAATGTCTGAGACATGTCAGGCCCTTGAAAAAGATACATTTCTAAAGATACATTCAATAAACGAATGGAGTAGGCATATGGTGTACTATGCCCTGTTCTAAGTGCTTTTCATCAACTATCTCATGTAATTCTTACAACCCTATGAGATAGGTACTATTTGTCTCATTTTACTGGCAAAAGAGCTTGAACACCCAGGGAGATTAAACTTTTACTCAAGGTCATAAAACTCAGAGAATATACTTTCAGGACTTTTTATTATGAACAATTTATTAGAGAAAAAATGAGAGAATGGTATAATGAACTTCTACATACCTATCACATAGTTAATTGTTCATTTTTTTGCCAATTTATGTAACAGTGAAACAGTAAAAGAACTAACATAAAGAACTCTATTTTTGTTCACGGGGTCTTTATCCATTCATGCATGGAGGGGAGGTTAATTTTAGAGCAGTGAGATAATATGCAAAAAAAATGTAGTTTTAAAAACTAGCTCTGGGATTAAAGGGAAAGTATGTAAACAACTATGGATTGTTAAAAATTTACAGGAGGGTTGTGACCTGGAGAACAAATATAAATATAATCTTTAGATAACTTCCATTTGACAAGAAATACAGGGGCTAGAACATAAGCTAAACAACAACATGTAGAAGCAGCCCAGGAAATTAACATTCTATAGAGACAACTTATCTGTTCTCTTCAGCAAATCAATGCTTGGGCTCACTGGAACATCAGGACAAAGACATTCCCAACCTTCTTGGATCCTTGATGGTGCTCAGATGTCTCCAGTCAATGGTCACCTCTTGATCGTAAATCCCTTCTCTTCCCCATGCCCTTAACATAAAGAGCCTGAAACTTGTACTCACTTAAGAGGCTACTTTGGGTTGCTAGTCTGCCATCTTCTCAGTTTGCTGGCTCTCTGAATGAACCTGCTTTTCCTCCCACCAACTCTCATCTCTCATGTTTGGCTTTGAGGTGTGAGTTGCCAAACCCGGGTTTGGCTACCCTTACACCATCCTTTTATTTTACTAGATGATTTATGTTACAGCTAGAAACATCATGACATTTAAACGCTAATGGTCACTTCCCATCTCTAAAAATTACATAATTTTTCTTTTATAATCACAATACTGATTTATTCATACCAAGATCCAACTGAGGTACACAGTTTCCTTTATATGTCTTATAAGGCTCTTTTATTCTAGAAAAAGCACTGATTTGTTGAAGAGAACAGAGAAATTGTCTCTATAGAATGTTCACCTCCTGGGTTGTTTCCTCATGTCATTGTTTAACTTATGTTCTAGCCCCTGTATTTCTTGTCAAATGGAAGTTATCTAAAGGCTATGTTTACTCTCGTAACCATTCCACTATGGAACAAGAGTCCTGGCTTTCTAGTTTACTGTCAGTCATTGACTAGGGAAATTCATTTAGCCTTTCTGAGCCTCAATTTCTTGTTTGTAAAAAGAAGCAATGATTCTAAATGAGATAATGAATATGGAAGTGCTAAAATAATGTTAGAACTTATAAAACTGTCTGAGTTCAAATATCAGGTAGCCACTTACTAGCTGCATGACCTTGGGCATATTAATTAACTATTCTTCCTTCATTTTCCTCACCTTAAGGTGGGAATCAACCTTGTTATAAAGATTAAGAAATATATTGTGGTCTGGGTGCGGTAGCTCATGCCTGTAATCTCAGCACTTTGGGAGGCCAACGCTGATGGATCACTTGAAGTCAGGAGTTCGAGGCCAGCTTGGCCAACCTGGTGAAAACCTGTCTCTACTAAGAATTAAAAATTAGCTGGGCATGGTGGTGGGTGCCTGTAATCCCAGCTACTTGGGAGACTGAGGCAGGAGAGTGGCTTGTACCTGGGAGGCAGAGGTTGCAGTGATCCGAGATCACACCACTGCCCTCCAGCCTGAGGCCTGAGCAACAGAGCGAGACTTCATCTCTCTCTCTCTCTCTCTGTCACACACACACACACAATATATATATACACACATACACACACATATTATATATATTATATATGCAATCTATCTATATATACAGTGTGTGTAAATATATATATATATAGAGAGAGAGAGAGAGCATATGCAAAGCCTTTAAAACACTGCCTGTATGTAATAGGTCCCCCAGTAAATAATCAATAAAAAGGTCATGTAAATGTTATCAATATCAATACACTCACCACAGGGATACTTTTTAAACAGCAGAGAACCTAGGAAAAAAAATAGAAAATGTACAATTGCGGAACTGGGCTATGTTGCAACATCCCTAAATGCAAGAACTTGTTGCCCAACTATTAAGAAAATCTAGGGATTCACTGTGTCTGTTCATGATGTCTCATCTTACGAAGTTTGAGAGAGGATCCGGGTGCTTTAGGAATGATTAATAGACACAGACAAAAAAAGGAAAATAAAATGGGCAGAAAGAAACATTAATTTTGCATGTACTTGAGCAATCACAGTGGAAAGGGGCAAGAGGTTAAGAAAACACTCCAATATCCTCCGTCTCCCTACATTGTTTTCAGTATCCAGGATAAATCAGATTATATCAAAATATAAAGTGCTCTTAGCTATCCTATACCAACCCCTGTTTTATACTTGACATCAAGGTTCTACTTACCTAAAGAACTTGCTTGACTTCCTACAGCAAAGGGATAAAGCAGTGCAGCCTGGGGCCCATGTCCAGCCCACCTGACAGCTCCCCTTAGGAATTTCTCTGTCTCTCAATCTCTCCTTCCTTCCCTCTCTCCTTCCCCCTCTCTGCCTCTCTCCCTTTCCTCCCCTCCTTCACTCTCCCTCTTCCTCTCTCCCTTTCCTCCCCTCCTTCACTCTCCCTCTCTTCCTGCTTCTCCGCACCCCAACCCCCACTTTCTGCCTTTCCAGGGGCAAGGGCAGGGGTCGAGGCCAACTCTAAGCCTCTTCCAATCCTACCACGCCGCCCCGCTCCCCCCAGCACACAAGGGGACTTGCAGCACTACCAAAATAAAACCTGTGTCCTCCCGGCTCCCCAGATGGGTGGCGCTGTCAGTCCCCGGCTTCCTGACACCCAGCTCCTTCTCCTCCCAGCCGGGACTCGAGCCCGCCGCGGCCGCGCCCGTGACCGCGCCCCGCGGAGCACCCCAGCGCCCTGTGTGCTCACTCACTGCGCGCCTCGCCAGCACTCGGCCTGGAATCCAGCGCTCAACGCAGTTCCCGCTCGTATTTGAGGAAGCAAAGGCTCCAGAGCTCCAGCTGGGCGGGAAACGGAGCAGGTGGGGCTAGGGGTTTGAATCGCCCGCCTTTTGGGAAAAGGTTGTCTGCGAACCAATTGGTTACTTTCTTTCACTTTTAAATCAGCCGTGCCTCTTCCGGCCTAAACCTCAGGTAGCTACAGCGTGCAGTACTTGACGCTGTGTTTATATCAGACAGCACTGCCAGTCTGAAACAAAACTTTCTGAATTTCCTAATCCCCAGAGCCAGCGTGAGAAGTAGACTTGAGCCTGTTCTCTTCCCTTGAACTTTTCTTTTACACGAGTACAACAAAAAACAAGAACAGAGACAAGTCGTAGTGTTGCTAGTGATAAGGCAGATTTTTCACCAAGCCTAAAAAGCTTTTAAAAATCTGGTCCCATAACCAAAGGGGTTCCTAGAAAGATTTCTTTATGCCTAGGGACAAAATAAACTCAGCGCTTGAAAAACTGAGCAAAAAGAAACTGGAGTTCAACCTGATGCAAGATCTACTTTCTCCACCTTTGAGATCAGGGAGAGCCTCAAGAAGGTTGAAGGGACTTCAGGGCACACACTGATTCTGAGTTGAGGGTTGGGAGGTTGATTAGGTCTTGCTGGAGCCTCCAAGAATGTCAAATGTTGGCTCCCAGTAATATCAAAGCAACCTGTTGATAAGACAAAGCTAAGTTTCTTGCTCACTTAGGTAATGGAGAACAATAACTTGACAGAATTTAAGTGGTGTCTCAGAGAGGGAAGAGCAAGTTTGGGCTATATGTATTGAGATTTTGAAGTCCCATTGTAAGTCTAATATTTAATGAGGGGAATTGGTTAGAATTGAGTCAGCTACGGGTAAAAGTTTAGGATTGGTAGATAAAACAAGGCTAGGATTTTGAGGTAAAGGTTCAAAGTCTTAGAATGTAAACTGTTCTTTGATGTTTTCCATTGAAGAGTGGTTGGATCTTTGAAGAAGATACTGGATTAAGCAATAAAGATATTTGCAACTTTCCGGTCCCTGGCAAAAGTTTCTTGAAATAGTAAATGTATGTTGATGAAAATAATGGAATAAGAAGTCAGGTTAATGTAGTTGGCAAGCTATGTGAGTGTAGATGGCTTCAGTTCTCACAATAGTGAACATACCTGATAATGTACTCAACATTTGTCACTTAGAGTATTTTATCCTGGAAAGAAGCGTAGTTGGGAAAACGCACTTGAGATGATGTTTGCTGCACACAGAATTCGGACACAGAGATGTGAATCTCCTTAGGAACCATTTTCATAAAGTTAACATTGGGTCTTAATAGACATCAGTTTTTAAAAATTAGAACAGGCTTGGGCACTGCAAAAGAAAGACACATCCGTTCACTTGGCTGTTCTTTTTAAGTTTCCAGGGAGAGCGTCAGTGCCCCTTTCAACAATAAAAGCCCGCAGGAGTGCAGATTTTATTTACCCTGTCCCCACCAGCATCCTGCTGCGGCCAATGAATCCTGGCAAAACTCCAGGTCAGCCCCAGAACCAAAGAGTAACTCACCTAAGAGGAAGGTCCGTTCCCACCAAGTCTCAGACGCCTGAACTCGTGATTTTTAGGGACTTTCCCTTCCAGTCCCTTGGAATCCAGCACTTTGGTTGGAGAACAGAACTCACTTGGGGAATGGCGCGTCTGGCCAATGGAATGAAAGATACTGGAGTTTGTCTTTTCTCTTCAGGCAGCAACTCACCTACTTCGGAAGCCGATTGGCTGCGCTGGGGACACCTGTTGGCGTGCAAAAAAGAGTGGTTGGAAAGGCAAGGCCGAGGGGGCGCGCCTACCCTACCCACCCACAGCGCTCCTCCTTGACGCCGCGAGCAGGACCCTGTCTCACTGACCCCGTGCCCACGGCGGTCCTTGCCTGCTTCTATTCTCCCGGTTTCCCCAGTCCCGAGTATTGGAAAGCGAGAGCGAAAGCGAAAGCATCCTAGTCGCCGGTAGGCTGGCCTGGGCCGGGCTGGAGAGGGAGCAGGAAATAAAAACTCGGGTGTGGGAGGAGCTGGGACGCTGGCGGCAGAGCCACTGTGGCAGCTTGAGTCTCGCGCGCGCAGGAAGCGGAGGTGGAAGTTGGGGCGCAGGAATGTGGCTGTCCCCGCCTGTAAATCATGGTTGGGGAGGAGTCGCGGAGGCACCAGGCTGGGGTCTGCAGCGCGCCATCTGCTGCAGCACACAGGAGGCGCTGAGGCTAGTTGGGTAAGTGGGGAGATTTCAGGCACTTCCGAGGGGGCGGCATCCCCAGCAGGTGGGATAGGCCCGGTGACTAGGACAAAATCACGAAGAAGCCGCGGATGCAGGAAGAGTAAACTCCCTTGTCATAAATCGATTCTCCAAACGTTCATCAATATGTGGAGACGTTTATGATAGTGATGAAGAAGATGATATGGGCTCTAGGAATATGCATCTCAAAGCTGATGATCGAAGAAGATTGGAGAGGGTTTTCAAGGCAGCCTGCTGTTTAAGGACCTGCATTCTGAGTAGATGTGTATTGGAAAAGGCGATTACAGTCACAAAGGGGACAACTTTTATGCAATTGACAGAGGACTATATGATGTATATAAACAGATAGGGTTGAAAGGTGTGTTGGTAACTACAAAACACATGGGAATTTGAAGGAAGGAACTGGCCTTAAATGCATGTACAATACACCAAGAGAAGCTAAAATTACTGCTTCATCTTCTGTGGGTTCTTTGGGGTTTGGATAGAGTAACCTTAAAACATATTTGAATGCTGACTTTTTCTATGAGACTCACTTTTGGAATCTGTGCATTCCTACATTCACAAAGGGTAATCACAGCTAGTACCCAGCATCCAAACAATAGCAGCCAATAATTCTAATCTGGAGAAAATTTTCTTTTCTCTCTCTTTCTCTCTCTCTCTCTCTTTCTTTCTTTCTCTTTCTTTCTTTCTTTCTCTTTCTTTTTTTCTTTTTCTTTCCTTCTTTCTTTCTCTTTTTTCTTTTCTTCTTCATTCCTTCCTTCCTTTCTTCCTTTCTTTTTTCTCTTTATTTCTTCTCTTTCTTTCTTTCTTCTTTCTTTTTTCTTTTATCTTTCTTTCTTTCTCACTTTTCTCCTTCCCTCCCTCCCTCCTTTCTTCCTTCTTTCTCTTTTGCCTGTTTTACATTTTAATGTGTAAGCAAATAGTGATTAAAGGACAATAGGCTTAACATTTTCTAAAACATGGGTGTTCAGAATTGAATATACTGATAAAATTTGTTTCCAAAAGGAAGGATTATATACTAGGTGGGAGTGTAAATTAGTTCAACCATTGTGGAAAACAGTGTGGCAATTCCTCAAAGACTTAAAAACAGAACTACCATTCAACCCAGCAATCCCATGACTGGGTATGTACCCAAAGGAATATAAATCATTCTTTCATAAAGACACACGAACACGTATGTTCCTTGCAGCGCTGTTCACAATAGCAAAGAATCAACCTAAATGCCTATCAGTGGTAGGCTGGATAAAGAAAACTCAGTATACCATTGAATACTACACAGCCATAAAAAATAATGAGATCATGTCCTGTACAGGGACATGGATGGAGCTAGAGGCCATTATTCTTGGCAAACTAATGCAGGAACAGAAATCAAATACTGCATATTATCACTTATACGTGGGAGCTAAATGATGAGAACACATGGACACGCAGAGGGGAACAACAGACGCTGGGGCCTATCGGAGGGTGGTGGATGGAAGAAGGGAGAGGATCGGGAAAAACAACTAATGGGTACTAGGCTTAATACCTTGGTGGTGAAATAATCTGTACATCAAACCCCCATGACATGAGTTTATCTATATAGCAGACCTGCACATGTACCACTAAACTTAAATAAAGCTTTTAAAAAAGTTTTCAATCTACGAAGTTGAGATTTACTAGAAAGGTTATTCAAATGACTTTGACATATTGAAATATTAGTGCACAAGGAGATAATAAAAAGTTATTATTATAGAAGATATAAAACTTGTACCACCTAATATCTGTGCAACTAAATCTACTATGTACCAAGATATTTATCAATATTCTTTCTGAAATTTTTATGTCGTTTTGTATAATTTTAATCATATTTCTTTTAAAAACATTTATGGCATGATAAGTTATGTGTTGGCTTATTGCGGAAAGGGCCTAAAATAACAATTCTTAAACTTTATATATATTTGCAATGAAATATATTTTGGCTTTAGACAATAGGAACATAACCTTTTTTTGGATGAAAGATTACTGTCACATTTTTTCTTCATTATCTGACATCTTTGTCATTTTCTTAACTTATATTACTAATTAAAGTTCCCTACCTTTTCAAAAGAAAAAAAGTCTAATATTGACATTTATTTATCTGTAGCAAACTTTAGCTATTGTTTTTTCTACTAATTTCAGGCAAAAATGAAGTATTAATTTCAGTTACAAAATATAGCTTAGTAAGATCTAAACCAAATAAAATTCACATTCTAAAGACTACAAACAAGTTTTAAAAAGATATTTTGGCCATTAAACTTATTTATTAAATTTAACTTTTGTCTTCTAAGAACCAGAGTTCTTACAATTACTATGAAGCTCCTATTCTATAATCATAGCCTGGGTTCCTTGTCAATGCTTCATTAAACAGGCTATTTTTTTCTTTTTTCTTTTTTCTTTTTTTTTAGAGACAGAGTCTCACTGTGTCACCCAGGCTGGAGTGAAGTGGCATGATCTTGGCTTACTGAAACCTCCATCTCCCAGGTTCAAGCGATTCTCATGCCTCAGCCACTTGAGTAGCTGGGACTACAGGATTTCGCCATGTTCCCCAGGCTGGTCTCAAACTCCTGAACTCAGGCAGCCCGCCTACCTTGGCCTCCCAAAGTGCTAGGATTACAGGTATGAACCACCGCGCCCGGCCAGTTTCTTAATTCTTAGACTAAATCTACGGGGGACACACTTTTGCCAACATTAGCTGCAAAGGGTTTTTTCCTCCACACTTAAGTCACGGTCAGTAAGTAGTTTTTTTTTTTTTCCTGTGTTTTTGTTTCCTTGTTTGTTTTTATTTGGGAAAATGCCTCTTTTGATAGTAATGAATTATTTTTTACACGCAAGGTCAAAAACAGCATGGAGTGAATTTTCTTCCACACGTATACACCCTTTTTTATTCCTGCCTCTGGCTGTAAATAGTTGCACAGTTAAAAGCAGGATGGACTTAACGGAGTATCATTTATATTTATAATTGCTGTATTTGTAATTCTGCTACAGAAATGAATTCTGTTATTATAATCAAAGGTTACACTGTTATCTGAATTCTTGAAAAATATGTAAAAATACTGCTCTTGTGGCTTTTCATAGGTTTATAGTCTATAAACACTAATTTTAATCAATAATTCATATCATTTATGATTAATTTTATGAGAAACAGATAACAATAATAGACATAGGCATAATTATTTTGTGACAGCTGGTGTGTTTGGAGTATTTACTATCACCCTTAAATATGATACCCTGGCTGGAAAACATTAATTTGATAACATACCTTTAAGAAATTATATAAAATATGCAAAAGCATAACCTTATGCACATTTTTAAAACAAGGCCTTCTTGTAGGAAAAAGATTACACCATGCATGAAGATGTTTTGTTTTCTATCATTATTTGAATTTATTTTAAAGGCCATTACTGCTCTGTGTGTGTATATATATATATATACATAAATATACATATATATACACACACGTATGAAACCAAAAATTCCAGGTTCATCATATTATACACAGATTTTCTTTTTTGTTGCCCTTATTCTTAATCATTGAAAGCACTGAAAATCAATACCTGTTTGATAAGATGTGCAATCAAGTTAAAAATATCACAGTTATTATATATAAAACTTTCTTAAGATTACTTTTGTAGTAACCTTTAAAAGGGGTGGTGGTGGTGTGGGATCCCTTGGCAAAGTCCAACTTGGCTGCTTAACTGCTTTCATTGGCCTGGCTAACACTTATGTCTGCCCACGGAAGCAGCAGGGAGTGTGTAGAGGGAAATGACCTCTGCTGCTGTACTGCTTTGAGTTCCTCTCTGAGCTTGGCATTTACATGTGTCTGTTTCATTTAATACTCTCAATAACCCTGTGGGGAAGGTGAGATTATCTTCGCCATTTCACAAAAAGCTTTAGCAAATAATTGTGCAGAAACATCCTTATGAGGATTTGTATTCCCATCTGAAACTAGAAGCCAAACTTATTCTATTGAATGATGGCTGCCTCTCAGATCTAACTGCAAAAAGGCACAGTGGCTTACTTCTTCCTAGTATAATGCTTTTTCATTAATCCAATAATCTATTCAAGGTATAAATTTCGGGTGGCAATTTACAAGATCCGGTGCCACATTCTATGAAGGGTAAAATGTTGACCCCTGCCCTCAAATAGGGAAGACAGAAGAGGTACACAAATAATATCATTTCCACATGGTTTCATTCATTTAAGAGATGTGTTAATTCCTACTTTGTGCCAGGTATTGTACTGGACATTGGGGAACAGAGGTGAATGAATATGATTCTCACATTCATGGACCCAGAGCAGTTTAATGCAATATTGTATCTAAGCCTAGTGCTTTTCCAGGTCACGTCTCATAGCCTATCCAATATATTAAAATGCACACACATTCTATATTAAATACACGTTTGCTGTTTAATCTAGTTTGAAGTACTTGGAGAATTGGAAGAACCAGTGGCCGAGTGTGGAAAATTGTTCTCAGATCTTCCCCCTTCCCTGTACACACACTGGTTGCCAGGTGCCTTTGCAGTTGCTCTCCACCCCATCAATGTTGGGCTTTGGGCAGTAGAATATAGACAGAATTAACACTGTGCTGAGCTCGACCCTGAAAGCCACTGCGTCTTTATGTTTGCCTCTGTCCTGGTTCTGTCGTTGCATGTAAAGAACATGCCCCCGCTAATACTGTCTCATAGAGGGCATGAGCCTAAATGAGGTAGCCTATGGGATGGTCGTGGAGATGTACCTGGCACGAACGCTCCGGAAATGGTATGGCGCCTTTGCCATTGTTACTTCTCTTACTACTACCATGTTACTCTGTTTTGATGGTCTAGATGATTGTGCATGATTTTTAGGTTTTGGATAAATATTACCAAATTACTCAACTACTAGCAGGAAAAGGTGATGTTCACTTCAATTTGAGGTCAAAAGTGTTGTGAGATCGGGATTCCTAGGATCCAGATCATAGACTCCAGCTCAGTCAAAGACCTGGAAGGCAAAGAACCTCTATGAGAGTAATGCCTTCATAAGGAGCCTTCGTTTGGACTCTTAAGGGGGTGTCGGCCCCATCAAAACTCCAGAGGCTGCTAGCCTTCCTCCTTCCAGAAAAGGGAATAACCACCGCGCCCATCCTAGCTGTGGCCCGAGGTTCGAGCGCCCAGGGCCGCAGGGACTAGTAGGGGCACGCGGTCTGCAGTGGCCTCCATCTTCCTGGTACCTCAGGAGGAAGAAACCCGCCCCGCTTTCCTCCAGACCTCACCGCCCGAATGACCCTCCAAGACCCTCTCAAGGCGCCCGCTGTGCTCCTTAATTCGGAGGCAGCCCCTCCACACCTGTGGGTAATTCTCATCAGGTGGGAGGAGGGACTGAGAAAAGAAATAAGACACAGAGACAAAGTATAGAGAAAGAAAAGTGGGCCCAGGGGACCGGCCCTCAGCATACAGAGGACCCGCACCTGCACCATTCTCTGAGTTCCCTCATTATTTATTGATTACCATTTTCACTATCTCAGCAAGATGAATGCGGTAGGAGGGCAGGGTCATAGTGAGGAGAAGGTCAACAAGAAAACGTGAGCAAAGGAATCTGTGTCACAAATAAGTTCAAGGGAAGGTACTATGCCTGGATGTGCACATAGTCCAGATTTATGTTTCTCTCCACCCAAACATCTCAGTGGAGTAAAGAATAATAAAGCAGCATTGCTGCCAACATGTCTTGCCTCCCACCACAGGGCGGTTTTTCTCCTATCTCAGAATTGAACAAATGTACAATCGAGTATTATACCGAGACATTCAGTTCCCGGGGCAGGCAGGAGACAGTGGCCTTCCTCTTATCTCAACTGCAAGAGCCTTTCCTCTTTTACTAATCCTCCTCAGCACAGATACTTCAGGGTGTCGGGCTGGGGGATGGTCAGGTCTTTCCCATCCCATGAGACCATATTTCAGACTATCACATGGGGAGAAACCTTGAACCATACCCAGCTTTCCAGGGCAGAGGTCCCTGCGGCTTTCCACAGTGCATTGTGCCCCTGGTCTATAGAGACTGGCGATGAATTTTACCAAGCATACTGCCTGTAAACATTTTGTTAACAAGGCACATCCTCCACAGCCCTAGAGCCGTTAAACCTTGATTCCATACAACACATGTTTCTGTGAGCTCAAGGTTGGGGCAAAGTTACAGATTAACAGCATCTCAGGGCAAAGCAATTGTTCAGGGTACAGGTCAAAATGGAGTTTCTTATGTCTTCCTTTCTACATAGACACAGTAACAGTCTGATCGCTCTTTCTTTTCCCTACAACCTCACAGCCCAAATGACCCTCCAAGACCCTCTGGAGGCACCCGCAGTGCTCCTTAATTTGCAGCTCTACAGAATGAGACCAGCGTGGCAGCCCCCTTTCAGGACAGCTCCCGAGACGAGACGCGAGAGCAGCCCCTAAATCTCACCCAGCAAAGCCGTTTCTTCCTAACCGGGCTGGGGAGTGCCGCGCGCTGCCAGCAGATGGCGACAGAGGATTAGCCTGCGGAAACCGGGTAAGGGGAGGGCGGAGCTGAGGTGAGAACCCACATCCCTCATGCCCAGTGGCAGCAGGACGTGGAAATGGTTTGCCCAGCCCTCACTTCTCTTGGACAGAGCTTGAGCCTTCTGGGAAACTGCTTTTCCCTGGCTGAGTGATTAGCGGGGGTGTTAAGTTGGGAAGCTGGACGTTCACTTCCATGTGCTCCTCTGAGAACCATCTGTTGGTCTGATGGTGCTAGATCTGAAGCTGGTGAGCCTCTTGGGGCGGCCTCAAGGGCTAACAAGATCTCAAATGCCCTTCTCTCCATCATTTGTGGTATCCTGGATTATTGTGAAAATGTATAGGGATTCCTGGGGAAGAGTTAAGGATTAAAATATAAAGGTTTAAATATAAATAACTTTATATATATATGTTTTTTCTTGTAAACCAATATGTTATATAGTAGGAAGTTTAATTCCTTAACTTTGGTTTTTCTCCCTAGCCTTTTTATAGCCAACAAGAGCAAAAGCACACTGCAATGTCCAAACGAATTGCAGGCGTTTTCTGCTCCCTGAAGCCTGGGAATTAATTTATATACTCAGTCCCTTTTCCCTTGGCTGGCCATTGAAGTAGTTGAACCACAGGATTGGACTGTCCAGAATCATTAGCCAGAGTTCACTGTGAGTGGACGTCTTTTAGTTCTGCTTCAACGCTATAACCAACCTTTACCAAAAGCAACAACAAAACAAAAAACTGCAGAAACCAATGAGTTCTGTTCACAAAGGATGGCTCCTCATGTCATCACACCGGCAAGGAATGGACGAGCCTCTGATTTTTCTCTTCTTGGCTGACTTTACAAGGTTGGATGCAGTCCATGAGGATCATGCAGCAAAGACAGAAAGTGCTGGAGAAGCCCAACCTGCAGGGCCTCACCTTTAGCTGGTTTGTGTGGTTCCACTTCATGTAGCTGTTGGAACACCAGTCTCTCTAATGTGCTCTATGGGATAGCTGTTACCTTCCACTAATTTATGTCTAATACCTATAAACCTAAAGTATCTTTTTAAAAATTTTATTCCGTCTTTTTGGAGGAAATTTTTGTGCATGCCAGATATAGTGTCAAGCATTGGGATTGCTAAGATGAACGTAACATTGTCCTCACCACCCATTAAGTCACAATCTAGTAGATGAGTAAAAGTAAAAAAAAAAATTAAAAAAAGAGTTATAACCATAATACAGAAGTGAACAGGTTGCAGTGGTAGCACAGAGAGGGCTTCAGGGATGCTGTCACAGAGGTGGTAACATTTGAGATATAGATTCCAAATTCAGATGTGTTTGCTGTTGCAAAATTCCAGGGTCTATGTGCCCAGTTCCTGAACATTCCAGTGATAATTTTTACCTAAAATTTAGGTGGCAAATGAATCTTACTATAACCACTTGGAACCACTGTGTTTCTGGTCCATCTTGTGAGGCCCATCTTTGGTTCAGAGGGATGGAGGCAGAAGTCATACGG
The DNA here is from genome assembly GCF_000001405.40 of Homo sapiens. Classification (NCBI taxonomy): domain Eukaryota; kingdom Metazoa; phylum Chordata; class Mammalia; order Primates; family Hominidae; genus Homo; species Homo sapiens. Next base: position 59,134,580 of record NC_000011.10, on the reverse strand, counting down.
CAGGTAAGCTCAAGCAGTGATACATGACAGGGCTTTCAGAACTGGGGCCATGAAGAGCAGGCTTTATTTGCATGCTGTTTAAAAACAAGATTTTACAACTGATTTACCCTATTAAACACTTCCATGAATAACTCAGTGGAGATTTATTTGCAATAGTAGGATCAGGTGATTTGAAATCTTTAGTGTGTGTGGTTGTAGCAGGAGGAGTACTGGGTTCCAGCATTTAATAAGAGGACCCATGGTTTTATGAAAATGTCCAGAGATATAATTTTGGTTAAGGTTATACCTCATCTTTGGTTGTACAGTTGTTTCTTTTAGTTTCAGTACAATCTAAAACAGGAAATGTCAATTCACATGGTCTGGTAGAGAAAGAATGACTCTAATGCTCTACTATTCAGGTAGAAATGAAGAAAGAAGGGTGATCACTTCCATGAGCACTGTAAGCCCTTGAATGGGCTTATAGGCAAATACTTATAGTTAAAATATGTAACTCCCATTTTAGTATTGGATAGAATACTGTCACATTTTTTCTTATTAAATCTACATTTTTACCATCTTTCTTGATTGATTTTGCCAATAAAAGTTCCTTACCTTTTTATAAAAGTCAAAGATTGACATTCATTTTTCTGTAGGAAATTTTGTCTTGTAGAAAAAATTAGAAGCCAAAGATAATATAACCTTCCTCCAAAGAGACTTTACCATTAATTTTTGCAAGCAGCTGGGTGGGAGTCACTTGTAGTCCTAGATTACATTAACCTAATTTAGATTGAGGTGATTTCAAATTGACTTGTGTCCCTGTGAAGGCTGAGATATTTCTGGAACATTTTTATTCCTTGGGTACAACAACTTTTTACCCATCCAAAATCCTGTGGTGTTTATTAGGTTTCCTACTAGCTGACAGGCTTTAAACTCTGACTTTTTCCTCCCTCAGCTTCACGATTCGAACTCAAATGTCTGGTCAGCTACTCAGCCATCTCTTCCAAGCTGTCAGGTTTCCCTAAGGTAAGAGCCATACTGATATGGTTTGGCTCTGTGTCCCCACCCAAATCTCATCTTGAATTTTAATCCCAATAACCCCCAAGTGTCAAGGGGGGAATCTGGTGGGAGGTGATTGGATCATGGGGACAGTTTTGCCCATGCTGTTCTCATGATAGTGAGTTCTCATAAGATATGATGGTTTTATAAGGGGCTATTCCCACTACACTTTTATCTCTCCTGCCACCCTGTGAAGAAGGACATATTTTCTTCCCCTAATTCCATGATTGTAAGTTTCCTGAGGCCCCCCAGCCATGTGGAACTGTGAGTGAATTAAACCTCTTTCCTTTATAAATTACCCAGTTTTGGGTATTTCTTTGTAGCAGTGTAAAAACAGATTAATACAGGAAATTGGTACCAGGAGTTTGGGGCACTGCCACAAAGATACTTAAAAATGTGGAAACCACTTCGGAACTGGGTAACAGGAAGAAGTTGGGACAGTTTGGAGGGCTCAGAAGACAGGAAGATGTGGGAAAGTGTGGAACTTCCTAGAGACTTGCTGAATGGTTTTGACCAAGATGCTGAGAGTGATATGGACAACGAAGTACAGGCTGAGGTGTTCTTATATGGAGATGAGGAACTTATTTGAAACTGGAGCAAATGTCACTCTTGCTATGCTTTAGCAAAGAGACTGGAGGCATTTTACCCCTGACCTAGAGATCGGTGGAACTTTGAACTTTTATTAGTCCATTTTCATACTGCTATGAAGAAGTACCTGAGATTGAGTAATTTATAAAGAAAAAGAGGTTTAATGTACTCACAGTTCCACATGGCAGAGGAGGCCTCACAATCATGGTGGAAGGTGAAGGAGGAGGAAAGCCGTGTCTTACATGATGGCAGTCAACAGAGCATGTGCAGGGGAACTGCCCTTTATAAAACCATCAGGTCTTGTGAGACTTATTCACTATCACAAGAACAGCACAGGAAAAACCCACCCCCATGATTCAATTACCTCCCACTGGGTCCCTCCCAGGACATATGGGGATTATGGGAGCTACAATTCAAGATGAGATTTGGGTGGGGACAGAGCCACACCATATAATTCCACCCCTGGTCCCTCCCAAATCTCATGTCCTTACAATTCGAAACACAATCATCCCCTTCCAACCGTCTCCCAAAGTCTTAACTAATTGCAGCATTAATACAAAAGTCCAAATCCAGAGTCTCATCTGAGACAAGGCAAGTCCCTTCCACCTATGAGCCTGTAAAATCAAAAGCAAGTCAGTTACTTCCTAGATATAATGGGGGTAGAGGCTTTGGGTAAATATACCCATTCCAAATGGGATAAATTGCCAAAACAAAAGGGCCACAGCCCCCATGCAAGTCCAAAATCCAGCAGGGCAGTCAAATCTTAAAGCTCCAAAATAAGCTTTGACTATATGCCTCACATCCAGGTCACACTGATGCAAGAGGTGGGTTCCCATGGTCCTGGGCAGCTCTGCCCCTGTGGCTTTGCAGGGTACAGCCCACTCCCCCTTCCCCGGCTGCTTTCATGAGCTGGCATGAAAATGGACATTGGGCAAACTCACAGTCTGGCATGAAGCTTTTCCAGGAGCATGGTGCAAGCTGTTGGTGGATTTACCATTCTGGCGTTTGGAGGATGGTGGCCCTCTTCTCACAGCTACACTAGGCAGTGTCTCGGGGGGACTCTCTGTGGGGGCTACCACCTCACATTTCCCTTCTGCACTGCCCTAGCAGAGGTTCTCCATGAGGGCTCCACCCCTGCAGCAAACTTCTGCCTGGATATCCAGGCGTTTCCATACATCCTGTGAAATCTAGGTGGAGGTTCCCAAACCTCAATTCTTTACTTCTGTTCACCTGCAGGCCCAACACCATGTGTAAGGCACCAAGGCTTGGGGCTTGCACCCTCTGAGTCAATGGCCTGAGCTATATCTTGGCCCCTTTTAGCCACAGCTGGGACACAGGGCACCAAGTTCTAAGACTGCACAAAGCAGCAAGACCTGGGGTTTAGCCCATGAAACCACTTTTTCCTTCTAGGCCTCTGGGCCTGTGATGGGAGGGGCTGTCATGCAGACCTCTGGCATGCTCTGGAGACATTTTCCCCATTGTCTTGGTGATTAACATTTGGCTCCTTGTTACTTATGCAGATTTCTGCAGCTGGCTTAAATTTACCCTCAGAAAATGAGGTTTTATCTTCTATCACATCGACGGGCTGCAAATTTTCTGAACTTTTATGATCTGCTTCCCTTTTAAACATAAGTTCCAATTCCAAATGATATCTTTGTGAATGACTAAAACTGAATGCTTTTAAGAGTACCCAAGTCACATCTTGAATGCTTTGGTGCTTAGAAATTTCTTCTTCCAGATACCCTAAATCATCTCTCTCAAGTTCAAAGTTCCACAGATCTCTAGGGTGGGGCAAAATGCCACCAGCCTCTTTGCTAAAGCATAGCAAGAATGACCTTTGCCCCAGTGCCCAAGTTCCTCATCTCTGTCTGAGACCATGTCAGCCTGGAATTTATTGTCGGTATCACTATCACATTTTGGGCAAAGGCATTCGACAAGTCTCTATGAAGTTCCAAACTTTCCCACATTTTCCTGTCTTCTTCTGAGCCCCCTAACCTTTTCCAACCTCTGCCTGTTACCCAGTTCCAAAGTTGCTTCCACATTTTCAGGTATGTTTACAGCAGCACCCCACTCTCTGTGATACCAATTTACTGTATTAGTCCATTTTCATACTACTATGAAGAAATACCTGAGACTGGGTAATTTATAAAGAAAAAGGGGTTTAATGGACTCAGAGTTCTACATGGGTGGGGAGGACTCACAATCATGGTGGAAGATGAAAGAGGAGCAAAGGCACATCTTACATGGCAGCAGGCAAGAGGGAGCATGTGTAGGGGAACTCTCCTATATAACTATCAGATCTTGTGAGACTTATTCACTATTGCAAGAACAGCATAGAAAAAACTCATCCCCGTGATTCAATTACCACCCACTGGGTCCCTCCCAGGACATGTGGGGATTATGGGAGCTACAGTTCAAGATGAGATTTGGGTGGGGACACAACCAAACCATATCAGAACTTGAGAGAGATTATTTGAAATTGGAACATATGTTTAAAGGGAAGGAGAATGTAAAAGTCTGGAAAATTTGCAGCCTGACCATATGGTAGAAAAGAAAAACCCATTTTCTGGGAAGAAACTCAAGCTAGCTACAGAAATTTGCATAAGTAACGAGAAGCCAAATCTTAATTGCCAAGACAATGGGGAAAATGTCTCCAGGGCATGTCAGAGAACTTAGTGGCAGCTCCTCCCATCACAAGCCTGGTTACACGGTTAGGTGGAAAAGACAAGTTGTATGTAGAGATCATTATCAGAAATTGCTAAACTCTGTCATCAAAAACTCTGTTGGAATGGATTTTAAAATTTCTTAATAAAAGATGAAACATGACTTTGGTTTAGTTTTTGAAGTGGTGCACTCTCCAGAGATTCTGTATTCAACACTCAGTCCTGGGAAGCCAGTAGTATTTATAATAAATTTTATAATGCTCATGCAAATGCGAACCAGATACTGGCCCACAGTAAACGCTAGTAGGAGGATGGACATCTCTTGGCATCACCTAGGAAGTTTTCTTGGGAAAAAGTCAAAACTGAATATTACCAAACCTCTAGATCTAACTACCAGTTTACAAGAAATACTGGGTCTACAGCTACACATTAAATGACATCAGGTGGATGAATGGTAAAGTGCAGAATGTGGAACACTTCATAGAAACATGACTTTCTTCAATAAGCAAATATTAGAAAAAATAAAAAGGGGAAATACACACATTAAATTGTGACTTTAGAGACTCACATAACCAAATATAACGTATAGACTTTTTGGATTCTGACTTGAACAATCCACATGTAAAACAAAAATGAACAAATCTAGAAGTTAGGGAAAGGTAAACACTTAAGTTATTAAAGTTTTATAAGCATGTTGACAGCACTGTAGTTTTATTTCATAAAAAGTACTTTTTTTTTACTGTAGTAGTAATTACTCAATTATGCCTGTGTCAGAATTCATAGATCTGTACACCAAAAGAATGAATTTTCCTGCACATAAATACTAGATCAATATAACTAGACTTAAAAAAAGAAATGGCCACTGTAAACAGACACAAGAGAACACCTTGCAGGACAAAGTCTGGGGGCATGAAGGACAATAGTGAAGGACATTCCAACTCCAAAGAGAAGTAACCAGGACTCGCAGTATGAGCTAATCAAAAATTGTACTCCCCTGCCAGAGCTGGACATCATGTAAATTCCTGCACAACAGAATTTGGTCATTCCATAGGATTGTGGCTGCTATATTTCCCATTTATCCTTTTTTTCTGAATAAAAATGTAATTTATTGGATTATGTTCATACTCCACTATAGTATATTGGGTATGTGGGTGGAGCAGGAGGAATGCAGGTAAGTCTCTGCACCATGGGGAGCTGCATTCAGATGTGCTGAAGAGAAATACACATTGCCCAGAAAATCTGGATCATCTTGGCAAGTGGGTAAGTACATTTCACATGTGGAAAGGAGAGGACATACATATACTAGAGGGGTGAGATGGGTAGTGAGTAACTCCTGGTTACTTCTCTTAGGAGACTATGACTTTGCCCAATGTCCATTTTCCTTTTATTCCAGTTATAGAATTTAGGCTGGGCATCTGGAATAAGCATTACATTCCACAGCCTCCTTTCCAGTGAAGTGAGCCATGTAACTGAACTGTGAACACTGGGTGCGAGCAGACATGGTATATGCCATTTTCAGATGGTGTTTTTAATAGGAAGAGGTGCTCTGTCCTTCCTGATCACTCCTGGCTGTAGTAGAGGTGTGTTGGCTACTTTAGCAGCCTTTTTGGCCATGTTGCATGTTGAGGACCATAGTATAGCCTCATTGAAGAAACAATACCTTCACAGGTTGGAATTCCCATGACCACAAAGGACTGCATTTGGACTATTATGTGAGAAATAAACTTCTCTCTTAAGTTCCTGTTGCTGGTTTTGGTTTTTTTTTGAAATTCAGTATGCTTTTGAATAAAGATTAGCATTTCTGAATGAACAATTTATGTAGGTCAGATTTACAGGTTTTGCACAACTGAGACTATCACATATTTGGAAAGTCCAACCAATTGCAAGTTATCAAGGAGGGTACACCAGTCAGGATTCAGTGCAGGTTAAAGAGATTTAATACAAGGACCAAGTGCTGGAAATCTTTAGGATAACAGCAGTGAGGATCAGGAGGCCAATACTGGAATTATTAGGTTTATGAACACACTCTCTTACCTGCAATCCAGAAATCAGAAAACTCAATTAGGAACTATTACCATCAGAAATACCTCTGCACTCCATCAAAGTGAATGAATAGACACTGCAACAGTTTCTGGTTGTTGCTACTGCTGAAACCACTTGTAGATACCCAAGAAGCTGATGACTAGACACTGACACCGAATATAGTCAGCAGCACTACTATCTCTAGACACTCACTTTTTGATGACCCAGCTTCCCAAAAGATGGAGCGGAAGAAAGAGGACCCCCACTTTACTTTTGTCTTACAAATAGTATCTATTTGGAGGAATCTCATTTGTATTCAGAATCTTACTTGCAAATTAGTCTGAAATATGTAGCTTCTAGCTTTCTAGACTCTGAACATAAGAGGATGGGGATGGAGACTGAGCAAGCTACTCTTCTCATCTGCCAAAGAGTTAGCTATTGCTGAATTAGAAGAAAGAACTGAAAAATTGGAATTTTCTATGGCCATTTGCAATGGAGGTTGATGTCACAGGTGGCATGGAAGGAAATAAATTATGTTTACCAAATAATTTTGGGTTGTAGAGGAACTATACATATTTTTTCCATATTTAAGTGTATTTACCACTATCTAGTTAGGCAGAGAACAAAAACCACCTTGCCAGTAATGAAGGTGTACCACCCTAGGCATTTAGAAAAACAAATAACAAATTATTTTTAAGTGTAAAAGTGAGCTAAGCACTTTAAGTGAGGCTTGAAAAAGCCAAGATAAACAAAATCAGTATTTGAGCTCTAATACATGTTTTGCACATCCACATAATTCTCTAAAAGTTTTCTAAGTAGGAAATTTTATTAAAGGAAACAGCCTCCAATACTCTAAATTATTGGCATTATATATATTTTAAACTTTTATTTAGGTTTAAGAGTCCATGTGCAGTTTTGTTATATAGGTAAACTGCATGTCACCAGGGTTTTGTGTTCAGATTATTTCATCACCCAGGTAATAAGCATAGTACCCCATAGGCAGTTTTTCAGTCTTCACCCTCCTCCCACCCTCCACCCTCAAGTAGGCCCCATATCTGTTGTTTTCTTCTTTGTGTCCATGTGTACTCAATATTTAGCTTCCACTTATGAGAGAACATGTGGTACTTGGCTTTCTGTTCCTGCATTAGTTCGCTTAGGATAATGACCTTCAGTTCCATCCATGTTGCTGCAAAGCACATGATCTTGTACTTTTTTATGGCTGTGTAGTATGCTATGGTGTATATGTGTCACATTTTCTTTATCCAGTCTACCATTGATGGGCATTTAGGTTGATTTCATGTTTTGCTATTGTGAATAGTGCTGCAGTGAACATATATGTGCATGTCTTTATGGTAGAACAATTTATATTCCTTTGGACATATACCCAGTCATGAGATTGCTGGCTTGAATGGTAGCTGTTTTAAGTTCTTTTAGAAATCACCCAACTGCTTTCCACAATGGCTGAACTAATTTATTTTCCCACTAGCAGTGTATAAGCATTCCCCTTTCTCTGCAACCTCGCCAGCATCTGTAATTTTTTGGCATTTTAATAACAGCCATTCTGATTAGTGTGATGGCATTTTTTTGATTTGCATTTCTCTAATGATTAGTGATATCAGGTATTTTTTCATATCCTTGTTGGCCATGTGTATATCTTCTTTTGAAAAGTGTTTGTTCATGTCCTTTGCCCACTTTTTAATGGGGTTGCTTGTTTTTTTTGCTTGTTAATCTGTTTAAGTTCCTAATGGATTCTGAATATTAGATCTTTGCTGTATGCATAGTTTGCAAATATTTTCTCCCATTCCGTAGGTTGTGTGTTTACCCTGTTGATAGTTTCTTTTGCTGTGCAGAAGATTTAATTAGGTCTCATTTGCCAATTTTCACTTTTGTTGCAATTGCTTTAAGTGTCTTTGTCATGAAATCTTTGCCAGGAATTATTGGCATATTTTCTTGAAGACAGCATCTCTTTTCTAACATTCCATGGGTTCAATCTGATGATCTTGAAGTGATGACTCTTGTTTACCTTTCTCTTCATCGTAGGTCTCAAGTTTCTCATCATTTAATGATTTATACAAGCTCTCATTTGTCTTTTTAATATCACAAAGAATAGAATCCATAGAATAACCAAATTCAATAAGGGCATGCACATTAAATCCTCGTTGATAAAAAAGCCCAAAGGTATGCAAAGCAACCAATTTGCCAGATGCATTAAACACTGGGGAGCCTGAGGACCCATCAGAGAAACAAGTATCATAACTAAGCGTGTGTGTGTTCCAAACCTCTGATAGGAAACTTCTTTGGGTAAACATACAGTATACATTACTGGTGGTATCATAGAGATCTACCAACCCATCTTGACAATCGTTTGGATATTTTTTCAATCGTTCGTTTAGAGGAATCACAGTACAACCATCTATTTTCTTGATCTGGCCTTCAGGATGACCAATTAAATAAATCAAACCAGTAGATGGTTGAGGAGAAATCTGTCGCCATAGTCCTGGAGGAAACGCATTTCCATTTTCTTTTAGTTTTAAAATGGCATAATCTAGATTTTCATTGGACACTTTAAGCCATGGCTCAATGGAAAACCAATTGTCAGGAGTAGGGCAGAACTCTGTATAAGTGAAGGTTACCTTCGCACATTTGCTAATTATATCTGGCCACAAACTTGGATGTGTGTTTTTACCCACCATAAGATGTACAACATGTCGACAGGTGAAAATATAACCACCATTGAAGACAAAGCAAGTAGCATTACCTGTGTTTCCATTATTGTCCCATTGCATGAACCCAACTGACTTGCTATAATATGTAAGCTGTTCGCAGGTTGCAACTGAAACAGAATTTGCAGTCATTTTTCCGAAGTCCTTTTTATATATGTTGAATTGCTTAGCTGGTGAAAGATTCATTCTCTTTTGTTCTTCCCGAAAATATTTTCTTACCCACTGTGCCTCCTCTTTAAAATTCGGATACTGATGCATTATGGCTTCATTCAACGTTTGATAATTCTTTAAGAGATTAATTGCCTCCTTTTGGACATCCAGATTAATAGCATACCGCCTACCCAGATGCGGCCTCCGTCTAACTTGTGAGTTTATTTGCCTATATTTTCGGGGCAAACTACAAAAGTAATAATTTCTAATCCTGGGAATTGTCTGGCGAGTTTTATCTTTAATATAATGGCTTAGATCCTGAGGTGGGAGAATTTGCTCTCTGCTGTGTTCTACATCTTTGGTCTCTCCATCTTTCTTTGGTTTGTGGACTTTTTTCTTAGACTGTATCAGACTCTGGTGATTAATTTCATCAGTGGCACTTTCATTCTGTTTAATTTTTTTATGGATATCTTTCTGTTGTAATGCTTTTTTTTTTGAAATGTCCATTTCTAAGACTTTTCCAGATACTTCATCCACCATGGACTGTTTTCCATAAATTTTCTTATGACCTTCCTTTAGTTTCCATTCAAATTCACCTATGTCAGACCGAAAACGGCCATCCTTGCATAAGGCTCCTTCAATAGTCTCACCCTTCAAGGCATAAATACAAAGTTTACTTCCTTTTTCATGAAGTTCGTTGATCTTAACAATCTTCTTTCTTGTCCTTCCTATAGCAACAACATGAAAAAGAATGCATTCCATGTTTGGATTTTCACATTGGCGTAATATGTGTCCATCTTCTTTGCTACTCTTTCTTTGACCAAATGTAATTTTAAAATGAGAATCACTAGGCAGGCACTTGAGAGGCATTCCTAAATTTATATGTCCATCTATTGTCTTTTCTTCATAAACAATAATGTTCTTATTAAACTGATTCTTTATCCTTTCACTGAAATAGTCATTAGCACTCAGGGCTGAGTAGATACTCTCGCTGGGTTTACCATATGCTGTAAACACACTACGGTCTAATTTTCTGGAGTTTCCATTCAACGTAAAGGTGAAACAACATTCTTTATTGTTCAAATTTGGATTCTGCATTTCAAGGGCTGTTTCATGCTTGTTGACTTCACTTTTAAGCTTAAAGGTGCTGCTACACTTTCTTATGCCAGATAGACAATGATCAACAGGTGTGTCAGCATGTGTCTGCTTCATGACAGTATCCTTAAAAAGGAAAGATTAAAGAGGTTAACAAGAATCACCTTTAATAATGTTTTATATTTTTCTAATGATAGAACTAATAGATATTATGAATAAAAATTAGATAATATAATGGTTAACGAATAATGGAGAAAAAATCAATCACTATTCTATCAATTTAGATACTCATTCTACACTTTATTTTAATTTTTAATTTTTTTTCTCTGTATACTTTGATTTTGTTTTCTGATTCTTAAAAGTAGTACTTTGATTTTCAACAAGGGTCTTAAGACCATTTAATGGGGGAAATATCATCTTTGTAACAAATGTGGCTAGAATAACTGGATATCCAGATGCAAAGAAATGAGTTGGACTCCTACCTTTTACCTAACTTGAAATGGATCAGAAACAGCCCTCTATTATTTCATATGCAGATCTAAATCTTATGTTTCTTAAATACTATGATGCATGTGACTTTATTTTTCACTAGGCAATGTGTCACTACTTTGTGCAGTAAGCAAACTTTGAAACCACAAGTTGAGGGGCTACAGAATATTTCACTGTATAATAATTTGTAATCCATCCTTTCATTGCTGAATATTTAGATTATTTCCAGATTCTTATTCTAAATATGACAAAACTTCCTACAAACATAACATTTTTGTGTGCACATCTGAATATTTCCCTAGGTCATATTCCCAGGAGTGGAAATACCGCAACTGAGGATGTAAACATCTTTTGCAACATATATTCTGCCTAACTGCCTTCCAGAGAATTGTATCAACTCACCCCATCTCTTCTCTCCAGCTGCTCAAGGAGACCAACCTCAATCCTATGGTTGATTCCTTAAAAGGATTTGAGTGTTACTATTTTAAATATTTGCCAATTGATAGATAAAATTCTGTCTAATTTGACTGTTTTTAGAATGTACATTTATTCACTTACTAGTGAAGGTGGACTTACTTATCTTTTAGATATTTGAAAGATCACCTTTCAAGGATTCCCATTAAAAATCTGTTTAGTTTCTGTTCTGTCAATGGTTTTGACAGCACTAAGAAAATATATTAAAATGGCAGATAAATAATAGGATGGGATATATAAATAAATATAAATACTCATATACAATCAGTTGGTAGTAGCCCAGGATACAAGATATTGAGAATCTGATGGCAACAGAAATGAAAAACATAAGTAAAAAATATTATATGACAAGAGTCAACATAACTTGGAAGGAAATCATTGTGAAGTCTGAAGTATTGGATCTAGTCTATATAAATAGAGGAATAAGCCTGGAGAGAGTAAAATCAGGAGGTACAGCTCGGCTTGGATCATTTAGTAGGTAGGTGCAATGGAATGAGCTTAGGTCTTAGGAATAGTGATTTCCTTTTCGTCTTGGGGCTCTCCTATCACCTCATGTTTTCATATACTTATTGCCCAAATCTATCTCTGCAGCACTGACCTCTCATCTAAGCTCCAGATATTAATATTTTGTTGCCTCTTTGACATCTACTCTTGGATATGTCAGAGGCATTTCACTCTTAGCCCCTTTAAAACCAGAGTCATAAAATTTAATTGTGCCCCTCTTCCTGTGTTCTTGAATCTGATAATGGTGTCATTACACATTTGACTACTCAAGCTAGTATCCTGTGAATAGTCCTCAGCTTCTTCCTTTACCTCTCATATACTGTGTTTTTAAAAAACTGTAAAACATATTATGCATGCAAAAACATTTTATGACACCCTATATTTCATATACTAAACATCCATGTATCTCTTCCCAACCTAAGAAATAGCACACTACAAATCATTAGAGGCATACAGTGTGTCCCTCCTTCATCTTATCTTCCTTTCTCATTCTCATGGACAACCACTAAGTCTGAATTTGTTTTAAAATTATCATTGTCTTACACTTATTTAGGGACATATACATATGTAGTAAAAGTATAAATAGTACACTGTTTCATTTTGCTGGTTTTGATTTTATATAAACAGATCCAGCTGAATATGTTCTTCTGTGATTTGCACTACTTATTTATTTTATTTTATTTATTTATTTTTTTTGAGACGGAGTCTCGCTCTGTCGCCCAGGCTGGAGTGCAGTGGCACAATCTCGGTTCACTGCAACCTCCACTTCCCAGGTTTAAGCAATTCTCTGCCTCAGCCTCCTGAGTAGCTGGGATTACAGGTGCATGCCACCATGCCCAGCTAATTTTTGTATTTTTAGTAGAGACGGGGTTTCACCATTTTGGCCAGGCTGGTCTTCAACTCCTGACCTCATGATCCACCTGCCTCGGCCTCCCAAAGTGCTGGGATTACAGGTGTGAGCCACTGCGCCCGGCCTGCACTACTTTTCTGAGGTTCATTCTAGTTGATGAAATTCTGTATCCATTTTTACAGTTAGAATTCACTGAAGAAACAAACTGTTTGTGAATATTTCTGTTATTTCTGGGGTTTTTCTAATAAAAGCAGTGGCTAATTTTGCTATGAATATCCTCAAATATGTTTCGTGGTGCACATCTACAAGGGTGTCTCTCAAGTATAGACTTAGAAGTGGAATTGCTCAACTTCAGAAATAGATTTTATCAATAAATATTTGAAGACATGAGGCAGTAGGAGAGCAATGAGAAAAAGAAAATGAGTAATCATCTTTATTATAATAGATATTGCCATATTATTTAACATAATGGTTGTACCACCTTGCACTTGCACCAATGAGAAATGAGAGTTCTCATTATTCTATGTCTTTATCAAAGCTTGGTGTTATCCATATTTTAATGTTTACCAATCTTGTGGGTGTGAAATAGCATCTTACTGAGGGTTTAAACAGTAGTTTCCTAATTACTAATGAAATTGAACCCTTTTTCACACTTCAGTCTCTAAAATGCTTGTTTATGTCTTTTGTTCATTTTTATACTGGATTATTTTTCTTTTTATTATTGATTCTAGGAGTATTTTAAATATTGTAGACACAAATTGTTTATTCATCATATGTGTTAAACATCTATTCTGAATTTCTTCTTGATTTTTCATTCTCAGGTGTCATAAAGGAGTTAATTTTAATGTTGTCAAGTTTATTAATCTTTTTATACCATTAGAACACCTTTCACAGGATAATTGTTTTTTTTTTTTTTTTCAAAAAATTGTAAAGGTTGCTTTTACCATTCAAGTTTTTAATCTGGAATTATTTTTTGTACATAGCTTCAAGTAGGTATCACTTTTTATTTTTTGCATGTGGATAACTAATTACTCCAGCGATGCTGACTGAATTGTTCATTCTTTCTCCACTGATCTGTACTGTCAGTTTTGCCACATAAGATTGTTATGGGTTGAACTGTGTCCCCTCAAAATTCACATTACAGTCCTAATCCCTAGTACCTCAAAATGTGATACTTATTTGGATATGCAGTTCTTGTTGATATACTTAGTTAAAAATGAGGTCACACTGCAGTAGGATGGGCCTCTAATCCAATACCCTTGATATCCTTAGAAAAGGTGGAAATACAGACATAGACATACACAGAGGGAAGATGAGGTAAACAGCCATAGGAAAAACATGGCCAACTACAAGCTAAGGAGAGAGTCCTGGAACAGATCTTTCCCTCACAGCCCTAACAGGTCACAAACTCTGCTGACATCTTGACCTTGTACTTTGAACCTCCAGAATCATGAGACAATGCATTTCTGTTGTTTAAGCCAAACAGTCAGTGGTACTTTATTACCCCTAAGAGACTACATAGTCTGGACTTTTCTAAGAAAATACATTATGTAGAGCCCTCATTATCTAATCACCCATCAAAGCCCCATCTCTTAATGCCATCACCTTGGAGATTAGGATTTAAACATATGAATTGTGGGGGACGCAAAGATTCACACCATAGCACAAACTAATACAAAGATATTGTCACATCTTGAAATTTGTGAGTCTGTCTCTACTCTCTCTGTTCTATTCCAATGGTATATTTTTCTGTATATTCATGAAATATTGTCTTAATTTTGAATTTTTCTACTCATTAGTATATCTTGACATTGATTTATGTCTCATTTTCATGCCTTCAGCAAAATAATTTTCTCCATAAATGGTTAACAAATAATTTTTACATTTATTTCCAGGTAAATAATATTTTTCTAGGCATTATAAAATAATTTTTGATGATTACATTTTCTGATATTGCTGACTAAGCTAAATCCATTGTTTTGTAAATATCAACCTTAACCCTAGCCAATATGCTACTTTACAATCATTCTAATATTTTATCTATAAATATTTTTTGTTTCAAAAATAGATATGATACCATCTGTGGATATTTCATGAATATGCTTTGTTCCCTTCTTTTCAATTCTCAAATATTATATTTTACTATTTTTTCTTATCACACTGCATTGGCTAAATTAAATTTTATTTACCAGCTAAATAAAGGCAGTAATAGTGAGCACTCCTCTATTCTCCCTCATTATAAGGGAAATACTTATAATGATTCATTATTTAACATGATATTCCCTGTGAGATTTTTGAAGATGCTCTTAATCTGGCTAAGAAAACTTCTGGTATGTTTATATTTATGTATTTGATAGTAATAGGGGCAGCCAAGATAAAGTAAGCCCATTATAGCCCATTATTTCCACTAATTAAAACTAAAGCCTTTGGAAAAATAAAAAAAAGCAGCATCCTGAGCTTCTACTTTGGCCACCATGGAATAACATAGAACTAATTTACACTCCTGCCTGAAAATCCTGGAGAAATGGACAAAATATACAAAATGGTTTCCAAGACATTGAGCATTAGTCAAAGAAGGACAGTGACACCTGAGAAACGGAAAAACAATGATGCAAACTCTATGACTGCCCCAGCTTACTGCCTGAAAAGAGGTTCTAGGCCATGGTGCAGGGAAAATAATCCAGGCAACGCTCAGTAGCAGCTGAGTTGAGGAAAAGGAACCAAGTTCTGGGAAGCCAATGGGTTTAGCTTTCAAAGGGCATGAGAGGACTGTACAGAGAGGGTCCCCATTAAGTCTTCAGATGACTAGTGATCCGCACATGCATGTGAGGAAATCACCTAAGTCAGGGAAATCAGCTACCCAAAAATATTAGAAGGAACAATCCCTGGAGATCTTACAGGGCTGGGAATAGTTGCTGTTCCCACCAGACATAGGGAAAACATCATAATTCGTGAGGCATTGAGTACAATACTAAAAAGAACATTGCCTCAGCAATAGGGATATATTAGCTCTGTAATATACAGGCAAAACATTACAATAAAAGAAAACTACAGACCAATATAAACATAAATGCAAGAACTAATAGGTAAATACCAGGAATGCAAGGTTGGTTTAATTTTGAAAAATATATCACTGTAATAAGCCAATTAGAATAATTAAAATTTCTATATATACACAGAATCATCTCAACAGACATAGAGAAAGTATTTGGTAAGCCTGACATCTATTTCTAATAATATCAGCAACCTAGGAATAAAAGGAAACTTCTTCAATCTTATGAAGAACAGTTATGAAAAACTTACAGGTAACATCATACTTAATCGTGTAGGATTGAATGAATTCCCAAGACTAGAAAAAACACAAGAATGTTTGCTCTGGCAGAATCTCTTCACCATTGTGATGGAAGTTTTAGCCAGTGCAATAAAAAACAGAAAGAAATAAAAGGCATCTGGATCAGAAAGAAATTAGTAAAATTATCTTAATTCACAGATGACAGGTAATCTATGAAGAAAACTCTGACAAGATATGCAAGACTTTTGTCCTAAAATATATTGTAGGAAATTAAACAAGACCTGGCTGCCTTCCCCACTTCAGGTTCTGCTGAGTGATCAAATGCAGCCTTCAGGAGCCCCCTTGGAACCAAGGGGAGGAGCAGGCTGGCAAGAAGAGGGATGCCCCAGGTCTGAAGGAGTGAGGCAGAAGAACAGGACCTGGAGGCAGGGAACCTAAGGATGATTCACACTCACTTCCTGGAACTGAATCAAAAGGAAAATTCCACCTCTCCACAGTCAAGTAACAAAAGGATCAGAGGCTCCTCCTTTTTGCAAATTATGCCCCCAACTCCCGCTTTCCACTGCATTGCAGATGAAACATGGAAAGTACCTCTAGTTGGTCCTCTCCTGCAACCAGTGAAACTGGTTGTGGGCCACTACTTCATTTACATAGGGTGTAAACAAATTAACCAATGAGAAACCTCTAGAGGGTATTTAAATCCCAGAAAATTCTGCAACCAGTGCTCTTGAGCCCCTTGCTCAAGCCTGCTCCCACTCTGTGGAGTGTACTTTCACTTCAATAAATCTATGCTTTCGTTGCTTCTTTCTTTTGCTGCTTTGTTTGTATGTTTTTACTAAGTTTTTCTTTAAAATGCCAGGAACCAGGACAACTTTTAGTCAAGACCCTCCACTGGTAACAGGAGGAAGATTGGGGAGTCACTCTCTCACTCCCAAACCTCAGAAGAAGGCTTTGCCTGGGGTGCGGATTCCTTGAGGGCCATGACAGGGTACTAAGTGGCCTGAGGATTCAGTGCCAGTCCCAGCTTGCCCTGTGAAACCTCTGAGGGAGGTGGTAGGGTCCAGAGGGAGGAAGCACACATCCAGGCTCTGCTACATGTACCACCCACTGTGTGACCTTGGGCTACTTGTTTAACATCTCTGATCTGTGCTTGGTAAGTGAGATAATATATGTGAAAGGCCAGGCTCTTATGGGGACCCTTGATAAGTGTGAAGGGGGTGGAACCTTTTGGGGTAATCATACTTGCATCCCTAAAGGAGCCTTGAAAAACCTGCCCTCCTCCTACTCTCCTCAGAAACTATCAAAAAAGCAAATGTGCGAAACAAATGTAATTGTTCTTTCCACATTTTGATGGGACCTGAGTTCCTAAGGAGGCAGTACAGAAAAGTCCCCATGCCAAAAAAGAGTGGAAGTGGAAGGAGGGTCTAGGGATAGCAAATTCCAACTCAAACATGTCTCTTCCTTTCCAAGGTTGTGGGAAAGTATGTGGTAGTGATGGTGGGTTTTCTGCTTAAGGTATAGCAAGATCTCTAACTAAATAGGGTAAATGAAATATCTGGCTCATTCAGAGGGCAGGCAGCTCCCCTGTGACTTTACCCAAAGACATTCAAAGCAACTGCACGTAGTTTGTTTTCCCTCTAAGTGAGAAAGGGGTAAGGTTACAATTGTGTGTGCATCTCCCATTGAGATGTTCACCTGATTCTATCACTGCCTCAGAGACCTGGTAAAAATCCTGGGGCTTGTCAAATGGAGAAAGGGATGCCCAGGTCCAGAAGGGCTTTGCCCATGACCTCTCACGTTCAGAGTCTACTGGAGAGCCAGGACTCCACCTGCCTGACAGTCCCAGTCTGGGTCTGAGTTCTTGCCACCATTCTGCATCAGAATCACCTGGGGGTTTCTTGAAACAAAGATTGCTGAGCCCTAACCCAGAGGATCTGACTTAATATATCTGGGTTGAGGCTGCAGTTTGTGTTGATTCTGCCATCCTAGGGTCCAGGCTTTGAGAACCCCTGACTTAAGGCAAAGGACAGCTGACCAGGCCTAGCTACCTTAGCTCCTGTCTACTCTGAGGCCTTTCCTTGATGGCCCTCAACTGCCTTCTCCTCAGTTAAGAGTCCTAGAAGCCAGTCACTCTTCCCTCTATAGCTCTGGGCTCCAGAAGAGGGGCTCAAATGGAAAAGGAGGACCTGGCTCTTTTGAATGTCCCTTCACTGAGCCCTAGAATGCTCTGTGGAAAGGGCCTTTGGGACACAGAATTTCACCTTACCAGGAGGGGAGTGTCTAGAATTAAAATTAGAATAAATTATTGGATTGGGTAATCTGCACTCACTGTATGCGTTGTAAGAGTTCATGTGTGGTCAGGCATATTTGGAGATGCCTGTTACTCTTTGTTGGTAAGAATAAAAGAGTTTTGAATCAGCAGAATTTAGAGCAACATGTTCTGTCAGCAAGTTACCTAGAGAAGCAGAAATGACTGAGGAATAATAAGGAGGAAGTGACTAAGGCCCAGGACACAAGCAAGAGTCTAGGTGGAATCTGAGTAGAGATTCTAAGATTCTGGAGTCTTCTATGTACCTTCTCAGTCTCGAGGCCTTGGGGCAGAGCAGGAATTGACCACATTCACAGCATTCCCAAAGTGAGATTATGCCCAACCCCTGTCAAGATAGCCAAAGAGGCAGATAATGCACCGGGAGGTAAATATCCAAGTGAAACAGAGTAGGGACGGGACTCTGCCTCCACCACTAATAATGCATTTTTCCACACCCGCTGACTACCAGAACTTGCACCTCCACTGGTGCCATCCTCACTGGCTGTAAGACCTTAAAGAAACTAAGATAAGAAGCATTCTACCATAAATCTCATTCAAGGGAGTTAACTTTATTGCTTGCATGCACACAGGACTTTACCTCATTGCTTGCCTCATTATAATGTGAAAATCCCCACCCAGGGAGGGGCTTATCCACCATTTTTTGATCATGTGATGTAAGTACTAACATGATATCTCACTGGGCCTGCACACTCTACACTCCACCCAACACATGCAATGATATTAGCATACATCATGCTTTTCATGTCACCATGTTTAAAACAGCAAAAAGACCTCTCCTTGGGGAGCCATCTGGAGAACTCTCACTCCAGTGCTGTCTCCCTTGTATTCAAGAATAAGCCCCTAATAAAGCCTTGTCTGGGAAACTCACTTGGCCTTGTGTCAATTTCTATTGCATGGGAGACTAAAAACTTGTGGCTGGTAACACAAGAAGCTGGGTGTTTTAGTGTGATGGATGCCACAACAGTGGCAAAGATGGGGAACTGGATGACAGGGTGGGACCTGCAGGTGTTAAAAGCAGAAACAGCATGGATATGAGTAGTGGGTTCTGGAACAGCACAGAACCTTCCTATTCCTTGACTTTCTGTAACTTTTCTCCAGATTGTAACAGACTCAACCCTTGTCTTTCCCTGGCCCCTACTTCTAAGCCTGGCCAGGATTGGGGAAAGAAGAATAGCATAAAGAAAGAGAGAAAGTGGCCCCCATCCCACCTCTCTGACCCCTCTTGTCTGATGAGGAAAACCCAGGCATGTTCCTTAGAGAATTCCAAGTCTAATGGAAGGGACACAGGTACTGATTAGTGAGTCAACAAGCACTAGACCTATTGGTCAGTCAACAAGCACCCTCCCATCTCTGAACCTTTGTACTTGCTGTTTTCTCTATCTTCAATGTTGTTCCTCTAGATATTTCCATCTAGGACTCACCTCCTCACTCCTTTCAGGTCTCAGATATCACCTTATCAGAGAAGCCAATTATCATCACTTCCAAAACAGCCTCCGCCATTCTCTTTTCCCTTCTGCCCATATCAAAACACACACACACACGTGCATGCACACACACAAACACACACAATTTATTTTTCCTTTCTCCCTCTACAGTGTCAGCTCCAAGAGAACAAGGATACCACTGTATTCACTGGTATATCCTTGGTACCTGTGACGTACCAGGCACGTAGGTTTGCAAGAAATGTTCATTGAATAAATGATCAAAGTGATTGAATGAATATCTACTATGTACTCACCACTGTCCTGGCCAATTAGAGACAAGGAAGAAAAAGGCGAAGTTCCTGTCAGTGCTAAGGTGCTTGGGTTTTAGGGTCAAAACCTACTTGTCATTTCTGCTCCCTCTCTGGCCTCCACAGTTTAAGCCCTACATTCTCCATCTCTCTTTTCCTTCACACCTCTCATCCACTCCATCCCCTCCTCTCTGCCCCTTCAGCTCCCAGTCTCAGGCCACTGCAGGCCCCCTCCTCTTTAGCCTGGATGTTTTTGGAATAGCCTCCACTCTCAACTCTTCTATCCCTTCAAGCATCTTCCCATCCCCTCTTTTCCAAGGCCCATGGGGCTAGAGTGTTCTGGCCCCTGTCCACCCCTCCCTCTGCCCCACCTTCTGCTGCTCAGCTCCTCTCCCCTTGGTCCCAGCTACAGTGATCACTCAGGCCCTGGACAGGAAGCCTTAGCCATTCTCAGGGCTTGTGCATTCACCATTCTGTCTGGCCTTCCCTTGGGTGTCTTCAGGGCCACTTCAGAGGCCTCTTGACTTCCCTAGCCGGAGCAGCACTCCAAGGCACACACTTGCCACTTTCTGTTACCTTTGTATGTTCTTGATCCACTAGCGAAAACTTTCTATTTGTCTGTTTCCTGGATAATCTCTTTCACTCTTTAAAATGTAAGGTTCACAAGAGCTGGGACTCTGTCCTTCTTTCACATGCCTAGTCCCTAAAGTAGAAGCTGGTCAGTAAAGTTTGCCGAGGGGCCAGGTTTCAAATGCATTCTGAACAAATGCCTCCCCTCTGTTTTCTGTCAAATTGGAAAACACTTCCCTCTAGGTGTGGTGAGACTCCCATAAGATGTGTCTAATGTGCCGGGCAGACTGTTGCATCTGGCATACATAAGTCCCAATAACTTATGATCTTGACCATCCAGTTTCCAGGGGACTCTAAGTCTGGGGGACGCTGATAGAGACGTGACTCCATCTGTGCAGAGCTTTTGTCTGGGGAGGGAGATTCCAGTGCTAGAGGTTTCTCTTTTGAGGAGTTTATGTAGGGTGGAGGAAGCAAGGGTTTCTCGTCAAAGGGGCAAGACATACTCCAGAGACCCAGAGGTAATAGCAGCCACTCACAGTTCTCTGGACAATCTTAAAGCTGCATGATGTCAGGATGACTAACCTCTGTCACTTGTGCCTTGTACTTCTGATCTTTCTAGTTCTCACCTTGTCTGGTGGCCTTGGAGAGAATAATGCACCAGTCACATTGCCCCTTCAATCACCCACTCCCTGCTCTGCCTTCATCCACCAGGTTTGCCTATTCTCCCAGGTACCCCACAGCAAAAGAAATTAAACAAGACCAAAATAAATGGAGAATATATCTTGTTCAAGATTGGAAGACTCAACATGGTTAAGATGCTAATCATCCACAATTGTGTTAATTTTTTTACACAACACACAATTTACACAAACACACAAACTTTGATCCAGATATTGCACCATACAAAAAATAAATAAAACTTAAAATCAATTGCAGACTAAACCTAAAACTACAACTCTGGAAGAAAACTAGAAATGTTTTGTGATCTTAGATTTAGGACAGTTCTCTGATGTAAAAGCAAAAGCATGATCCACAAAGAGAAATATAGAGAAAGTGGACTTCATCAAAGTTGAAAACTTTTCCCTCCCGAAACAGGAATAAAAGGATGAAAAGACAAGCCACACAGAGATAAAATATCAGGAATTATCACAAATATTATGAGAAAAGCAATATGACAAAGGACTTGTTTCCAAAATATGTAAAGCCCTCTCAAAACTCAGCAATAACTAACAAGTATAAAATGGGAAAAATATTTTAATAGACACTTCACCAAAGATATGTGGATGATATAAACACATGAAAAGATGCTCAAATCATGAGTCATAGTGAAATACAAATTAATACCACAAAACGATGCCATTACATACCTATGAGAATGAATAAATCAGAAAAACTTTGTGTTGACAAGAATATGAAACAACTGGAACTCTCACACATTGGTAACGAGGATGAGAAATCATACAGCCATTTTGTAAACATTTTGATAATTTCTTATAAAATTAAAGTTATGTCATACACTTTCCATGACAGCAATTCCACTGCTAGGTGAACCCAAGAGAAATGAAAACTAATCTTCATACAAAAACCTGCAGGCAAATGTTCACAACAGCTTTATATACAAAGTCCCCAAACTGGAAACAATTCAAATGTTCTTAAGGGAGTGAATGGATAAACAGATTTTGATACATTCACACAGTGGAATGCTACTCATCAATAAAAAGAAAAAACCTATCAGTGCATGCAACACTCATGAATCTTAAATGGAATGTTCTAAGTGAAAGAAGCCAGACTCAAAGGGTATGATTCAGTGTATGTTCCATTTATATGATGTTCTGGAAAAGTTAACACTAGAGTAATGAACAGATTAGTGGTTGCCAGGGACTGGGATGAATAGGGCACAAGTGGGGAGAACAGGAAATTATATAGAGTGATGGAACCACACAAGAAATTATTTAGGGTGATGGAACTGCTTTGCTTCTGGATTTTGGTCATGGTTACATTACTGCAGGCATTTGTTATAAGCCATTCAACTGTATACCAAAAAGACTGAATTTTACTGTATATGAAATACATAAATTTAAAGGAAACAATAAAAGTTAAAGCCTTTCAAATAATCTGTAAGACAATTAATTGGGTGTGGGGGTTTTTGTGTTCATTTCTATCATCTTTTTTTGTATCTTCTACTTTTGCCACTTTTTCTGAATTTATATTCCCTTGCTTTGTTGCCTCCTTTACTTTGATTTTTCCCTCTCATTCTATTTTCTAGACGAACAGTTTGGCAGTTTTATACTCTAGTTCTGTTCTATAATTGGATGCCCTAGACTAGTACTGCCCAATAGAATGTCTGCAGTGACGGAAATGTTCTACATCTGCACTGTCTAATTCCACAGCCACATGTGGTTCTTAAGTACTTGACACGTGATATAACTGAGAATTTGTACTATTGACCTTTTTCATTATTTGATTTTAGTTAAGTTGAATTTAAATTTAAATTTACATAATCACATGTGATTAGTGGCAATTGTCTTGAACGAAATAGCCCTAATCATTTTAACATTAATATTTAACTTAACAAAGTCTTAAGTGAATTGAATAACTCCTCCTAAGCAATACAAAGATAAAGTCTGTAAACACATCTCCTTTATTTACAGAAGGAAATCCAAAAACCTACACATGGAATTCAAAGAAAAAAAAGATACTGCAGCTATTTTCCAGAAAGCTATTCTACCTCTCTCCCACTTTTTAGGAGCCATACACGTATGGAAATGAATTCATGACAGCTTAAGAATATCTATATGTGCCCTCTCAGTCACAAGGTTTTGTGTTGAAATGGGTGAGCTACTTAAGTTGGGACAATTAGATGGCAAAGAGAAGTTTCCTCAGGAAACCAGGATAGACTCATTATAGGGAGAGTAAAGCATCTGATATTACTGCAGCTCTATTTGTCACTATGCAGAAAGCCAGCCAGGGGATAACATGAAAAGCAGAACACAGAGACTGAACACACAAACAAGTCCTTAAAGAAACTGTATACCACTGAATTAAGAGCTCAGCTGAATTCTGGAATGTCCACTCATGTGAACCAGCGAATCCATTTTATTGTTTCACAATTAGAAAATATTTTTACTGGAAATGTGGAAAGCTCTTATTGATATAAAGCCTACTGTGATCTTGGCACCATACTACCTTACCAGTATAGAAAACAGTATTTGCCTACCATATTCTTGAATTCTCCTTATAAAGCATCAAATGCAGCTATCCTGTTCCCCAAATATGTTTTCCTGTGTACACGACTTTACTTAGGCCATTCCTTCATCCTTGATACACTAGTGAAATGTTATTCATTCTTTTTAAAAAATAACTTAGTTTTAGACATACAAAATGCATAATTAATGTACATAATTAATGTATGCAACTTGATGAGTATGGAGATACATTATCACCACAATCTATGCCATCAACCTATCTATCACCTCCCAAAGTCTCTTCCTGCCCTCTTATTATTTTTGTAATTAGAACACTTAACATAAGATCTATCATTTTAGCAAGAACTTGAGTATACAACAGTGTTATTAACTATAGGCACCCATGCTGTACAGATCCCTAGAACTTATTCACCTTGTATAAGGAAACTTTGTACCCCTTGACTAATACCTCCATTTTTCTCTATTCCCAGCCCAACAACCACTTCGACACCTATGAGTTTGACAATTTTAGATTTATTATTCATTAATAAATCATTTCTCATATGACGCTGCTGTAGTTTCCTAAGTCTGAATTAAGCATTCTTCTCTCTGTACTCTAAAATCACTTGTTTATGTCTCAATTTTGTATTATCATTTTGCATATTTTGAGCAAAATAGTGTGGGTCAAAAACCAGTCTCTGCAGTCTGATGGACTAGGTTTAAATCCTTGCTCTGAAGTCCATTACTTCTGCAACTATAAGCAAGTTGAGCTTCAGTTTCTTCTTTTATAAAATAAGTATGATAATAATACCTACTGCATAGTTCTATTAAGTGTTAAATGAGATAATACATATGATGGGACACAATTCTAGGCACACAGTGTTTCCTCAGAAAACATTAGCTAATTATTTTTGCCTGTCTACACTTTCCAAGACTTTAAGTGTCTATATTGTTTGTTAGTCATCTTGTTGTCTTAACATACGTTTAGCATTGTTAACTCTATCATTTTGCTTTCCACAAGCACTTATGTGTATGAGCTCCCCAAATATATTTTAAACTACCTAAGAGAAGGGCTTATAACGACCATTGTTTAAGAACTTATCTCCAAGATCCTCATATGGCACTATAGTTAGACTATCACTCCTCTGAGGAGTTGTAAAAAAGTAGATATACCTTTGAAACTTCAGGTCTAGTCCTCTGGTCATCTTCCATAGCGCTAAATGACTTGTTTTCTTCAGTCTTCATGGAATTCATGATGAGTTCAAAGAGAATGTAACTAACTTCTACTACTCGATAAGATGGAGAAACAAGGATTGAATTTATTCTGCCACCTGAAATGTCTAAAAAAACCAAAAAAACAAGATCTATGAAATAACCACTTTCAAACACTGGAGATCAGGTGGTGTGGGACCTCATCTCTGATATCTGAGAAGAAAATCATATGAGGTAAGCCCTATGGCTATTTAGCTTACTGTATGGAGTTTCCAAGGCATATCTTAGGAAGGAGAAACAGGCAGAGTCTAGTAGTTTCCCTGATTTGAGAAGACAAGCAAGGAGTTTTGGGAGGCCAAGATGACTGGAGCTTGTATGACAGAGTACTAGGGAGAAGACAGCCACAGGAGCACACAGTATGAGAGATCTGCAGTGGGTATCCCTTGAGATTTCAGCTTGGTCAATGCATGAGTGGAACGAAACTGTTGAAAAGGAACAGGAAAAGAAGTACCCAAAAGAAGCAGATGTAACAATTTCTGAGGCTCATACAGGACTGTGTATAATTTCAATTCCCAAAAATCCGACTAGAAAACTTCATAATTCATGAAGTATCAGGGAGACTACTCTGCAAGGTATTTCTTCCGCAGTAGGACAAAATTAGCCCTAGTTCTGCTCCCACCTAATAAATAAAAGCAAGCTTCGAAAGTATAAAATGGTTTCCATGTAAAATATGAACATACTAGAACAAAGCTCAAGAATATTGATAGGAATGTAAAAATTTCTGGCACCCAAAGTTGTGAAATTAACAAAGCTTGATATCTAATAAAAAAATCAGCAGGCACTTAAAAAGTGGATAAATATGACCCATAATGACTAGAAATATCAGTGAATAGAGACAGGTCCAGAAGTGAGAGAGAAGATAGAACTAGCAGTCAGAAACATTAAAAGTCATTACCTTGAATTTCTGGCCAAAATGGAGTAACAGGGACTGGATTTCCCCCTAGTATGAAAACAAAACAAAACAAAAAAGAGCAAAACATATGAAACAATGGTTTGCAAGGAACTGGACATTATGCAATTAAGGACAGTGACAATTGAAATGTATCCTATAATCCACTTTAGCAGACTACCTTGAGGAATTCCAGGCCAGTGTGGCAAGGAAGGGCAGCAAGACAAAACCAGTAGGAATTCCAGATTTAAGGAGACAAAGCTGAGAGACTAAGGTGACAAGAGGTCACAGGCCAAAGACATGGTGGGAGACCTGCACAGAGAGGGAACTCTGGATATATGAAGAGGGTTCCCCTAAAGCATTCAGCTGTGTACTGATCAGAGCAGCAGCTGAGAAAACTTTCCAAGGCCAGGAAAGAACCACCCTAAAACTGTCATAGTCTAACTTTCCACCAACCCTCTCCCTGTAACCCTTTTAGGGATCCCCATTTCCTCATTTCTAGATTAAGGACTTTGGCTCAGATGAAACTTTTATTGTTCGTGTGAATTGGTTCCTCTAAGCTTTTTAAAAAGGATTCCAGATCCCACCCTCACAGACTCTGATTCAGTATGTCGGGGTGTGGCTATGGAATCTGCATTTTTACCTGCCTCACTCCACAACCCCCGCCTCAAAGGCGCACCAAGTTCTTTGAACAGCTGCCTCTGTCACCGCAGGATGACCTCAATGCTTTCCTAAAGCCCCAGAACCTATGAAGGTAACCTGTGCTTGAAGCTGTGCTTGCTTACAGAAACAGAGACTGGATGTCAGTAACCACCGTGCTACAAGATGGGAAACGAACTTAGAAGCGCTACCCTAACCTGAATCCTTGCTGATTACCATACCTCAATCTGTGCCTCGGGGAGAAACGCAGCTTGCTAGGCACATGTAGTGTTGGGTGGCAACAGAAAATAGGAGACTGCCACACTCAGCTGTTTCTGGAAAGCCCCGTCTCTTTCCAGAAATCCTTGCTTTCCAACTACCTGCCCTAAAAGACCTTAAGAAGCACCCTCACACTACACTCCAGGCACTTTGAGCAGGAGCTCTCCTACTCCATTCCTTGATCAGTGAATAGTTTCTGCTCTGCTTAACCGAACCTGGTCTCCTTCTATGGGCGCGAACGGCACCGGGCAGGGAAAGGACCCACCAGGGTCAAACGACCCTCTCGAGATTCAGGAACACCCAGATGATCTCTAAGTATCTCTTCAGGAGTACAACTCTTGGCCTTTGAAGCTGAGACAGGGGGAAGGGAATTACAACGGGCGGCTGCCCAGCTCCCCATCCAAAACCCCCTTGACTTTGGGCTGAGGTCCTTCTGCCTACTGCCCTTGTCAGCCATCCCCCTAAGAACTCCAGGTCCGACCCGGGAAAAGAAAAACCACTCACAGAACCGGAGAGTCTGTCCACACGGTGCAAGTGCCCGTCAGTGCCCGCCGCTCTGGATTTGCAGGTGCTGGAAAGACTGCTCTTTTATATCTCTCAGCTGAACTTTTCCCGCCTAGAAGGGCTCGCCCGTGCGCGGCAGGAGCCTGGGAACTGACACTCTCGCTGGCCAATGGACGAAGAGTCTCTGGAGGCTGTTTTTCTCTCATTGGATGTAAATGACTCATCTCTCATCCACTGTGGAAGCCAATTATCATCACTCCAGACAGTGATTGAAGGGAAGGACCGGATGAGCGCGCAGCGCGCGCAGGTGGGTCTGAAGGCCGGGCCGAGGGTACTGCGCGCCAACCCGCCCACCCTCCCTATTTGTCTGGATGACCCTTCCCGGTCTCAGTGATCCCCTCCCCGGCACCACTCAGTCCACGGCCAGTTCCCGTGTCCCAGGATAAACTAAGCAATCACCGCCCTGCTCTTTCCCGCTCATGGGCGTCCCCTGTCTCCCAGTGGAGGCTAGGGAGGAGCTGCGCGGTAGCTGGGCGGAGTGGGAGGTGCCTGGAGGTTTCGCGCTTTCTCCGACTTTTGATTGCCAGCGCGCTGGCGGGAGCCGCGCGCTGGCGGCAGCTGCAGGGCGAATAGCCCGCCAAGTTGCTTAGGTGTGTGGCAGTTGCTGCCTTTCTGCAGCGGCGGGGTGGGCGACGGTGGCGGGATGAGCATCCAGGCGGGATCCTTTGGCGGCAGCAGCAGAGAGAGCTCCACCCGGATAATGCAGAGGCCCAGGCTCCAGCGGACTTCAAGTCCCAGAGCAGGCTGCACCCGCGTCTGCGTGAAATCTAAAGGGACTTGGCCTGATCACAAATGAGCTAACTTCGCGGCGGGGCTGGCGAACACAGACAATGCCAGCCTGGAGGAGGCAGTGGCCAGCACTGCTTAGGCCTCGTTCCCAGGACGCGCATTACTGAGTGCTGTACTTTACCCTTTGGATGAAGGCTCCAGAGTACGACCTCCCCAAACTGATATCAAAGAAGTGCTTTGCATGGGGCTTGAGAAAACATCTTACTGTTTAAGAAAAGAACGTCTTACTGTCTGAGAAGCTGAATAGAATGAGATGCCATCAGTATTGGGTGTTATTTTTCAGAAGTTGCTCAAAGAAGGAGAGAAGATGGTTAAGTGGGGATGGAGACAATTATTTTGTAACTCATAGAAGGACAGATGTTTATGTAACAGTTGATAGTTTTGGTGGAATAATCATGAGCATGTTTCTGAAATTAATATAAAATATACAGAGACCCCTAAAATCACTGCTTAAATTACACGGGTCTTGAGGTGTTCGGAAAGAGCAAACTTTGGAAGTATAATTGTAAAAATAATGTCATACAGACAAAGAGAAGAGAAAACTTAACGACAGCTTTCTTAAATCGCTGTTATTCTTGAATCATCTGAAAGCAGTACACGTGCCTGGCACCAATATACATCAGAGAGTAAATCATTGCACAAGGAGACTTGATCTTCTTTTTTTGTAGAATCTGGAGGAAACAAATCTATGAAAAGCAAGAGATGGTAGAGAATGGTGTTGTCGAAATTGCCTGACATCATTGGAGATAGAGAATTTGCCCTGGTAAAAGGTGCTCCTCAGGGAGGAGCATCTGCACATTCCATTAGCATAAAGCCCCTGGTGGGCCATATGAAGAAGTCTGGATTTTGCTATAAATGTGAAATTTATTTTAAATGGAGGATTTGAAGCAGGGGGGTAATATACCCTGACATATTTTAAAAAATCACCCTAGCAGCGTTTGTGCGGGGTAAAGACTCTGGGAGGACAAGAAGAGATGTGGAAGGGAGAAGGCAGCTAAGAGTCTGTCCCAGGATTGCAAAGATGTTGGAGCCCGACCTCAGATGGTAATGGTGGAAGTGTTAGAAATGGCTGGATTCCACATTTATTTTGAAGGGCCAGCCCTTGGAATTTGCTTATGGATGTTCCATAAATAAGAGAAACAGAGGGCTCAATGACGATTCCTGGGCTTTTGACTTGAGCAACTAGAAGGATGGGGAAGTCTGAGGACAGAGATGCTGTGTGTGTCAGGAGTGGGGTGTGTGTGTGTGTGTGTGTGTAAAATTCTACTTTTGACATGTCGAATTGGAGATGCTAATCCACTCCAACTGAAAAATAAGGAGGGAAGTGGACATTCAACACATGATGACAGGAAGACAGGGAAGCTGGGACTTATGATGGTAACAATGTTGGCCATTAACTGAGAATTTTTTTTTTTTTTGACACAGAGTCTTGCTCTATTGCTCAGGCTGGAGTGCAGTGGCATGATGTCGGTTCACTGCAACCTCCACCTCCTGTGTTCAAGCGATTCTCATACCTCAGCCTCCTGAGCAGCTGGGATTACAGGAGCCTGCCACCATGCCCAGCTAACTTTTGTTTTTCTAGTGGAGATGGGGTTTCATCATGTTGGCCAGGCTGGGGTCGAACTCCTGGCCTCAGGTGCTCTGCCTGCCTCAGCCTCCCAAAGTACTGGGATTACAGATGTAAGCCACCACGTCAGGCCTAAGAAATATAATTAAAGTACAGGGAAAATTAAAAGAAAGTTCACAGAGAGATATCACGGCAAATGATAAATACAAAAGCCTGCCTTGTTTCCCATACCCCCTGTGTCTTAGATTCCCTGAATTTTACCTCCCAGTGGACCGTGCTTGTCCCTTTGTAATGGCGCTCCAAGCAGCACTGCTGCACACCAATTCCTGAGCTTCCCTGCTTCTTGAGCTTAGGAATAGTTGTGCTTCTATTTCCTGTTTATTTGCTCATCACTGGAGTAGCAACTGAACCACACAATTGGGATAAGTACCCTGAGGCCATTTTGGGAGTAATCTTCCATTTCTTCCTTACGTATAAAACTGCCCCTCACAGAGAAACTGTCTAGAGTGATAGGTCCAGAGTAGAGCTCTAGCTTTGCTTTACCCTTTGCAGCTGTGCTCTGAGAGCTTTGATGCAATCCCACTGCAACTGGAATCAGTGACAGAGTAGGGATGCTCAGGGAATCTGTTGGGCCACCAAAGAAAACTCACTTCTAGCTAATGCTTATCTGGGGCTATGGAAGTTGTCTAACATCCCTGGGGACAGAGTGTTTGCCCTGAAAAGGAACATTCCCTTGGCACAAAGTATCCTGTTGGCTGGATTTTATTATAAATGTGACAAGAATGCTTTTGGCCAGTAACTGGTGGTTGGGTCAGTTTGTGTTTTGTAAACCCATAAAGAGGAAAAGGCTCTCATGTGGTTGGGAGAGGTGGGAATGGATCATGCACTAAGGTCAGGTCTGGTGAAGTTAGGGAATAAGGCCAGTGTTTACGAAGAGTGATTCCTTCATGAACCCCTAAAAGATGCTCTGGAACACTACCAGTAGGATGATGTCTGTATGTAGAGGTGCAGATGACATGTTCTCGGAATACAGAGGAAGGCACCACTGCCTCTACCTTGAGAGTATATCACAGAGAAAGATTTATATTTGGACTAGATGGCTGAGAGATGAGTAGGAGTTTGATAGAAGAGAGCATGGAAACTGGCTGTACAACGGCAGAAAGGGCAGGAAAGGCTGAGGAGAATTGGCCTCTGGGGGTGGGTTATAGATATGGGCCTGGGCACCACATTCTGGAGCTTGCAATGGGGTATGTAAAAGCTTAGATGGGATGGTCTTTTCCTCTCCTCCCATGGGTTCATAGTTGGCCCACCTCACTCACTGCTGCAAACAAGCTGCCCCCATTTGAGAGAGAGCTGGAGTGGGGTCTCTAAGCCTCCAGCAACCACTTAGGAGCTAGCCTTGATGCCCCAGCAGCTAACCTCATGGAGACCCCATAGTCCATCCTATCTTGGGAAGACAATGCAGGCATGGGGAAGGTAACATTCCCCTCCAGACTCCAGAGGCTCCAAGGAGCCTCTCTCTCTCTTCAAGAAAAGAAATAGTCACTGAGCCACGGGTGGAGGTGAACATGGTTTGGGACCAACAGGCGGCTGGATGGTTTCACCTCCACGGTCATACAATGGTACTGGGAGATGAATGGGGGTAGGGCGATCTAGAATTAGTTCAACCTCAACTTCCAGTGGGGTGGTGCTTGGAGTTGACTCATTGTGGCCCCATTTAATATTCGCAGTCACCAGTTGGGGTAGGTGGGACTGTTGCTCCCATTTCACAGATCAGGACAGGATAGTTTGCTAGAGGTCACAGGACTAGTTGGGGAAAGGAAAGGGTGTCAGGTAGGATTTTAACCTTAGAGCCTCACGTTTTCTTAGGCTCTTTCAGGGGGACCTTGGGCAAATTCCGTTCTCTCTTGGTGGGGGGGGGTCTCCATTCCTTATTTGTAAATTAAGGAGTTCTTCCAGTTTGTGATTCTCTGTACTTTAACTTGGATAGGTTTTGTAAAATGGGGATTATGGGAACCCCACTATATTTAAGTAGAGTAGGTCTGGGGTGAGGCCCAGTAATCTGCAGCTTTGAACAAACCTCGGCATCCACAAAACTGGCTGAGATACTCAGGGAAAGTTTATGATGCATGAAAATCTTATTGCGAGCTGTCCAAAACACATAACACTGAGCTCCATCTGCAGAGATCCTGTTTTGATACCCTTGGTTGGACTGTGGCTGGGTAATTTGCATTTGTCAGAAGTGAGGCCAGTCACCTGGTCAACAACCCCTCCTGTCGCTCTGTGACCCTCCCCGGGCGTCCGCGGTGCTTCTTTACTTGCATCTTGTGGGAATGACATCTGCGCAGGCAGCCCCTTTTTAGCACCGCTCCTCGCACGCGAGCCCAGCCCTTAAAAACCCAGCCCAGCCCCGGGTTTGCAGATACTCAGGGCAGGGGAAGGCGCCTTTCCGCATTTGGTGTAGTCCCGCATGCTGCCATTTGATGTCGCGGGAGAACGCGCCTACAGGGATAGGGCGGGGCAAGGAGGCGAGGAAGGAAAAAAAGCGACAAGTGAAGACTGACATCCATTAAGGTCAATGGTAGCTCAATCTTCGGTTCTCTGACTCCCAAGCTTCCCATTCTCTTAGGAGGCTGCATTTGTGGCGCTAAAAAAAGGGATGGGCGTGGGAGATTCCAGGACATGTGCTCGCTGAAGATACAACTGTTAGTCCAAGGTAACTCCCACTCGTAGTGGCTCAACCCTCTTTGTCAATTCACCTTCCTCTAAGTTAACTATGGCTGCTCCACCTGTCTTTAGGGAAACCTACTCCCCATCGCGCTGGGTATTTTGGATTTTTTAAAAGCGTCGCGGGGTAAAGTCAGTGTTGTGCTTTTCCTTTTCTCAGCAGGTAAGTATTTCTGGCGCTGACAGCGGAGAGCTGCCGGGCGGGAATAGGGGTGAAGAGAGAATAGGGAGAGAGATAACAGGTGTGAAGCGTCCCTCAATGCCAGGCATCCTGCTTTGGCACCTTCAGTAAGTTTGTCTGAATCATCTTTCTATTGAATTCACTTTCTGTTTCACAGATTAGGAAACCTCAACTAAGTGGCCCAAGGACAGTCCTTGGATAATTTTAACTTGTGTCAGAAACCAAAGCCTAAGGTCTTTTATTTTGCAGAGGCTGCTTTGGCAGGATTTCAATGCATGCAGGTCCTGCGAATCACTGCTCCTCACTCACTGATCCATCCCGCTGTCCACACATTCATTCACCCATTCATTTCTTAGGGGCTCATCTGCAAGGCGTGGGGCTGGATGATACTAAAAATACAAAAGGGACTCTGATGTAAAGTAGAAGAGATTTTTTAAAAAGATTTACCCAGAATTCCGGTGCTCAGCATGGTTTCGATTTTTCCCCCCAACATACTATTGATACCTGTTATGTTCCACATAATATGATGGATTCTGAAGATACAGAGATGGGTGAGACCTATCCTTGCCTTTCAGAAGCTCGTTGTCATAGGCAAGAGTAATCTCTGAGGTTAAATTTTAGATATCTATTTTTTAACAAATTGAGCATCAACTCTATATATTCTACTGTAATTAATGTACTAAATAATTAAATATTACACACAATTTCTTATTTTTTAGATGAAGATGAATCTAAATGGTGGTTCAAGTATGTCCTTTGTTGATCCTAGTGGACCATCTTGGGTGCTTCAGACTGAAACTCTACCCTCCTGTTATGTGCTTGGCTCTATTCCTTCTTTCTGCAGCTCTCTGTCAAATGCCAGGCTTTGAGGGAGACCAGTCCTGACCCCTTCCTGTTTTCTCTCCTTTTTACCTGCTCCTATCTGAGGCCTCTTTTCCTATTTATTTGTTGTTCTTTCTCCCTCCATCATCTTCTGTCATCAAATCATGTGTTTTTTTTTCATATACTACATCTGAGTTTATAGGGAATATGTTCAGAGTTGTTTTAATTTTTGGTTTAGTTTCTGCCTCCCTGCTCCAGAATGTAAGCTTCAAGAAGGGCAGTGAGGAGTTCTTAACACCCGTCACTGCCTGAGAAACGGTTGGGGATGGAGGAAGACAGCTTTGCCGGGTACATCCTGAAATCCCCTGAGGTGGGGGTGGGAGTGGAGGGAAGATCAGGGAATGTCCATTCATTTTATGAAGTTGAAGTTGGGTTAAATCCTATTATATCCTGTGTTGTTGTTTGTTAATCTCAACTTGAAGCCCTCATCGCTAGTCATCCACTTTTTGCTAGCTTTGTGACCTTGAATGAAGGTTCAAGGTTACCTTGTTTCTTTGTACCTTTATATCTTATGTATAAAGTGGAAAATTATATTTGGTCATCCTAAAATGTGATGTCATAGGGAATCAGTCACTTGAGGGTAAAAGACAAATCAATTTATAAGGCTGCAGAAATTACATTCTTGTGAGGGTCAAAGAAAGATATTTGTGGATTTGAGAGTCTTCAGATATTATATTGGTAGCATATTTACATGCAGAAAATACTGAAGAAGCAATTTTAACTAATCAAATAGGAACAGAGATTTCAGATAGGAGCAGAAAATAAGGAGAGGAAACAGTGGTGAGTAAAAAAAAATTGACAAATTTTATGTAGAGAATTAACTCTAAATGGACAATGATAGGCTCTCTGGGAATGTGTAAGAAAAGTTTTAAAGAAGGATTCTTTAAATGGATGCGACACACTGCAAGGGAAATTCTGTGACACCTGGAACTAAAACACATGGAACTAAAACATCGGTCTCAGGGGGTTGAACGGTAGAGGAATAAAAGCATTTTGTATCACTTAGCACACTCGTCTGGATCAGAGGAGGGAGCAAAACAGGGAAATGAATCTATTGGAAGATATCAACTTATTGAGGTAAAGGAGGAAATGGTGAATAGCTGTTACTTTATTTTATATAATAGTAAAAAAATTTGTGTTCAATTATGAGCACTAGAAACAAATACCAGTGATTGAATAAAAAGTTAATAAGGGAATATGATGTATAAGTGAGTTAATAAGAGAACTTGAGGGATAAGTGAATTAATAAGAGTCCACAGTGGAGGCAATTTCCCCTTTTGAAAAACATTATCTTTTGAATATATGCAGGATATACTTTGCAAAAGAAAAAAAGTGTATATTGGGGAAAGAATTTTCACTCATTCTCGAGACACTCAATACTTTTCCCTAGATAATCTATGGCTATAAAAGCATAATAATGCCTTTTTAATATATTTTCCCAGCAACTAAGAAGTTCAGTGTTTATAATTGTAATAAGAAGCGTGCTGATCTGGCCTGAAATATAGTTTTACTTTAGATATATGTCTCATAAATAGTATTTGAGAAGTCAGGGAATATGCTTAGAAAGGGATTACCAAGGCCCTATAACACATGAGTTTGAGGGCACAGGGAGATTAAGATTTAGAACAAAGTTAGGTGAAATCTAGGGCCAAAGGATAGCAGGGTGTGTGTGTGTGAGTGTGTGTGTGTGTGTGTGTGTGTGTTGGGTGGGGCAGGTGGGAACCTTTGGAGAATGCCTGTAGGCTGCTAGTGAGGTGCTATGATCTCTAGACCTTGGTAGGTCCTTGCAAAGAGACATGGTTCTGAAAGGTTGGCACCCTTATAGGTTCTTAAAATATTTTCGTTATCCATAGGGGTGAACCTGGAGATCATTACCAAAGTTTAAAAATTTCACCACTGGGCACACAGGTTACCCTTCTCGTGGTGGCATGGCAAAGCTTGATTTGCAAGAGTTTCTTTTGGATTGTCCCCAATGATTCCCTTTAAAAATAGGAGCTCCTTCAGGGTAAGGAAGGAAGGAGAAAATATCCCTTCTAACCTATTTTCTCTTTTTCATTCCAAGGACTCTGGAAAGGCACAGCAGGTTTGGTTTTGAAATCTGTAGAATTTTAGTGCTCTCCATTCTCCCAAGTAGATGACTTTAGTGAAGGTAAAAGGAAAGACTGTTTGCTGTGTCAAGGGAAGATTCATATGCAAATCCCAAGACTCAGATGTTATTTCAGAAGAGTTGGTGTCCATAGTAAAGTAGAACTGGCCCGGGTTCATCTGCCTACAAGGGCAATTGTCTGAGGCAAATATGAGGAAACTGGCAGAACAGGAGGGGTGGAATCTTCCTGGGAGAAAGAGTAAAGAGAGTTCTAGGTGGAGAGGGGATCAATATGTTGAGCAAACACCTGGCTGTCTTCTTAGTTCCTATATGAAATCATGGAAAAGACTTTAGAACAAAGAATAAATATGTCATAGCAGGAAAACAAAGAGCAGTCTTTTGGCCAGAAATAGAAACTGTTAAAAAGAAAAACAAACCAACAACAAAAAAAAAAACACCTTTAAGTTTGAAAATGACAGAAGTTAAGAAGTGGAAAGTTGCCTGGGATATGCTTTTATTGCAGCCTCTCTAGTAAACCCGTCCCCACTTCATCTTTGTGTCTTTGCTTATCCTAAGCAGCATGGTGGCAGCCATGGCATTCTTCAGGCTGAAGTGGTCATTTTTGGCACTTGGGCTTGAGATGGCAGTGAAGCGGCATCGTTTGTCTGGGGAAATGCCAGAGGTTTGCTGTCTCACAGTATGGAAATTGTAGATGTGGACACCAAAGGAGTGGGTTTAAGAGCAAAAGTTTAATAGGCAAAAGAACAAAGAGAGAGTTTCCTCATGCATTGGAAGGGTGCCTGAGCAGGTTTCCGGGTTTGGGGCGAGTTGTGGTTGGTTTTATAGAGGAGCTTGAGGAGGCAGTGTCTGATTTACATAGGGCTCAGAGGGTTGGTTGGAGCAGGTGTGCTATTTATGTGATGCACGAAGAGCCTGGCCATCCCACATGAATCTTTAGTATGCAAACGGGGCCTCTACCTGGCCTGTGCCGTGTCGCCTGCACAAGTGAAGACAAAGAAAAGGAAATAGGCGGCCAGGCGTGGTAGCTCATGACTGTAATCCTAGCACATTTGGAGGCCAAGGACGGTGGATCACGAGAGGTCAGGAGTTCAAGACCAGCCTGGCGAAGATGGTGAAACCCTGCCTCTACTAAAAAAACACGAAAAAAAAAATTAGCCATGCGTGATGGTGGGCACCTGTAATCTCAGCTACTCAGGAGGCTGAGGGAGAGAATTGCTTGAACCCAGGAGGGGGAGGTTGTAGTGAGCTGAGAATGCACCACTGCACTCCAGACTGAGTGACAGAGCAGGATTCCATCTGAAAAAAAAAAATAGGAAGAGGAAACCTCTATGTTGAGTACGCCTGACTTCCAGGTATCCCTTTTCTATTTGCATAGGTGCCGGCATTTACCTATGCAAGCTTTTAGCATGCTTGCGGCTTGATTTTTTAGGCTGATTTTCGCTAGAAAAGCGATTATATGGGGGCTGCTTTTTATTAAAAGAAAAACCTTACTGAGGACTCTCTTACCTACACTAACTGCTTAATAATTTCTTTTTAGCTCCTGTATCAGCAGTGCTTGTGCCTGATAGGTGATGATCATGAGGGGGACCAGGAGCCTCTAGACTTAAGAGACAAGTTGCCAGCATTCTCCAGATGGAGTGTTTCCCTCCCCAGCACCACCTGCTGGTCAGTTTGACAAGCAGATGAAGGGAAGTTCTCAAATACACAATAAGCAGATAACCCCAACATCACCAGAAATAGCAAGTTGTGATGGCAGTTTGTCAAATTG
Organism: Homo sapiens; assembly: GCF_000001405.40. Lineage (NCBI taxonomy): Eukaryota > Metazoa > Chordata > Mammalia > Primates > Hominidae > Homo > Homo sapiens. The sequence continues at coordinate 59,097,215 of NC_000011.10, read as the reverse complement.
TCTTTATTTTTTGTCAGCATCATCTGTTGCTTTCTGAGGGAAGTTTTTTGAGTTCTCCCACTGAGACTGTGGATTTGCATTTTTCTTTTGTATGTCTGTCAGCTTTTGCCATGTATAGTTTGTAGTTGTGTTGTGTTGTGAGGCAGATTCATGACCTATGTTGTGGGAGAATTTCTGTATTTAGCAGATGTTCAACTTACGTTCTATTTTGCCAAGTGTTGATGGTATTACTTTGCTTTTCAGTTTCACGTTCATTTAGTATATCTTCTTCCTTTCCGTGAACCCTTGTGTGTTGTTTATTTCAGATATGCTTCCTTATGAACTGACGGTGACTCCCAAATTCATATGTTGAAGACCCAACTCCCAACGGACTTGGAGGTGGGCCTTTGAGAAGTAATTGGGTTTAGATTAAGTCATAAGGGTGGAGCCCCCTTGATGGTATTAAGTCCTTCTAAGAAAAGGAAGAGAGTCTGAGCTCTCCTCTGTCTCCACCATGTGAGGGCACAGAGATGTATGCTTCTTGGATTTTGTTTTTAACTCAGTATGAAAAACATATATTTTAATAAGAAAATTACCCCATTCATTGTTAGTGTGTTTATTGATAATGTTGGACTTACTTGTGCCATATTTAAGAAATCCTCTTTCATCCTTCCCATGCTTTCTTGTTGTTTTTTTAATGCAAGTGCATGATAAGGTTTAGGGATCACTTTTTTAACAGGTCCACGAAGGGCTAGATAAGGGAAGCTGGTTTGCGTTCAGGGAAGCGGCAGAGGAGGGAAGCTGGCAGCTGGGCTGTGCTAAGATGACCTTAGCCCCAGACCCTGGATGAACATCCTCTTCTGGATACAGGACCTGCCCGAGGCATCATTTTGAAATAGTCAAATTTTATTTGCTTTGTGTTCTTTCATCACATATATTAGCTTTTGCCTCTTGAGTGCCAAAATATAGCTGTTTTTATATTACCCCAAGTTCCTGAGTTTATTTTTTAGGTAAGAATTTTCCACCCTTTGAAATCCCAAATGACATGTTTACTCTCTTTCTCAGACCATGCTTTCATTTCAGTCAATGTAACAAATCAGCCAGGTCTCAGGAGTTTAGAAATCTGATTGGATTGATTTATACTAAGCGGTAACAGATCTACCACAGCCTTCTAAGATGAATTGGAGTTTCTTAAAAACTCCATGACCTACACTATTCTTTAGGTGCTGGAATTGCACACTTTCAAATCACATCAAGTATAAACATTCAATTTTGTGGGGGGTTATTTTCTATGGAGAGATGAGGTGTTGATTAATACTGGTAGGCTTTACTCCAAAAGACAATTCTATTAAGATTTCTTTTGTTTTTTAAAATCTAGACTATCAGAAGGAGTAAAAATGCCAATTTTTTTTTTCTTTTTGCTGTGGCTACAATGTTCACAGTAATCCAAGCTCCAATGACAGGGGGGGAGAGCGGAGCCAAATGAGGCCCCGTTTTTTTCATGAAGTGTATTTTTCTTTTTTTTTTTGAGATCAGGGGTTCAGAAATTGTAATATAAGTGTTCAATTATAAAGTTATTATGATAGTGCATGGCACGTGTCCTTTCCATCATCTGGATTTTTCCACTTTTACTGTATGGCTCACTCTTACTCACTCTCCAGTCTTCACCTTAGTGGTCACTTCCCCCTGAAATGCCCTTGACCCCTTAAGATAGCAGTGCTGCAAACATCGTAAGCTGAATTTATAGCCAGACTCACAGGCAACACCTTATCTTGTGCCATGCTTCACTAATGATGAGGAAGTGAGAAAGAGTAGGGGAAAGGAGGCACAACAAATGTCATTTCCATAACAGAGGCCTCAAGGCCAGCCCACTTGATTCTCTGGAGATCCTTTTCTGCATAACAATGATGAAAGGTAGCCTAAGAAAGCCATTTGTCTGAGGCTTCACCTTTGATACCTTGCTAGACACTAAACTAAGAGACTGATTCCATTCTTTAGTATAGCCATTGCCTCATAAATCCATACATAACAGGGGTATTTCTTTCCAATAAAGTATCCATATAGATTAGGTATATTCTATTGACAATTTTATTAAAGTTCTTCATTTATCTTCCAGATAGTAGATTCTATCAACCAAGTTTCATAAAGAGTTCTGATTCCCAGAGGTAAGAACTGAGCCTGGCTTTCTAGTTACATGTTTATTGGTAACTCTGTCCTTCCCTACAACACTTAAGCATATTTAAAGACTATACCCTCCCCTGCCTCCAGCTTGGATTGTAAGCTCCTCAAGAGCATGGCTGTGTCCTTTAACATCAAGTCTCCATGTGAGAAAGAGTTCCTGCCATATCACAAATGCCCAATCAACATTTGTAAGTGAAGAAAGCTATTCTGTGGTGTCTGCTTTAATATTAAGAGATGGCTTGCCCAAGATTGCTAAGCAGCTTCATTGTCTACAATGGAACAAGATTCTGTGGGTAGCAGTTCCATTGGTGCCACTGACAGGAGGCCTCAAGGAAACCTAGTGCACTAGTCTTTCTGATGACGCCTTGATTTTCTTCCAGCACAGAGCCGTAAAATGGAATATTCTTCTGACACAGATACTTCATGCATCGCATGATCAGCCGTGTCCCATTGCCTCTCCTTCGGTATTTTTCCACACTGTAGCCCATTCCTATTTCACAAGAAGGGTCCATGGTTACCCATGAGACCGGGACCCCCTCTGGGCCCAGCATACAGGCTGCTGGCAGGGCTCCTAGGCAGCGCTTGATGTAACGCAGGCTCCTCTTATTCATCCCTAGCTTCCAGTTGTCATTTACCAGCCCAGAATAAGACACATTCAGCTGGGCATACTTAAAGTTCGGAGTCTCGCTGTAGAAAACAAAAAGAAAGACAACAACTTTCATCCCCACTCCTGTAATTTCTAGGTGCCCTTCCATTCTAGAGATCCCAGGCCCTCTTCTTGTTAAAAGACCCACCATTGCAAAGTGGCGTATTTTGACCACTGACAACCTTTATTCATCCCAAGGAATGAATTCATCCTCTCTTCATTCCAAAACTGATTTATGTGAATTACAAAAATGTACAAGGAATAGCAATTATAAATGATCAGCACATGTTTTTTGTACCTCTCCAATTCGTCATCTGGGTGGCCTGTCTCAGCCCAGCTTCCAAGCTTGCTTTTATTGGTGGCATAGAGCTTCAGGATATCTTCCGTAACAAAGAGGAGTGCTCTCGAATGCTCTACCTTCACTGAATTTGAAAATGCAGCTGCTCTTATCCCCTCACCTAAACTTTCTTGAAAACCTGAGAGAAAGCCAAGAAAGCAATATTGTCAGACATGCAGTTCTCTACTTACACTGCTCACACCTGATTAATGCCTCAGTGCTTAGTAGTTCTCAAAGTTGAGTTTACACCACAATCAGCTATAGTCCTTGGCACACCACAGATTGCTCCACCTCTCCCAGCTCTGAGAATTTCAAGGAATTTACATTTCTAATGAGCTCTCAGGTGATGCTAATGCTGTTAGTTGAAGACACAATTTGAGAAGCACAGCTGCTTGCCCATTTCTTCAGACTTGTTACCTTGGATTTGGAGTTTCTGTTTCCAGTTTATGATCTCAGAATTTTTCAAAACTTCTTGTGATTTTTGAGGGTCTTTGGAGAATACACGATATACATTAGTGTATGAATCCATGTCATCAGTCATCTCCTGTGTAGGATGGTGAAAGGTCAGATCATTCCCTTGAACTTTTTCTTCTCCTCTCACTGATTGCAATTATTAGAAAAATGAAAATTCAAAAGAAAGTTTTAGCACTAGCCCACGATGGCTGCAGTTGGGCACGTGGATAATATAAGTGAGACCTATAAGCTACTGCTGACCTCTTACCTGTGTAACTGGAGTTTGTTAAATATTGAACACTGACAGTTACTGGTTATAAACCTGCTTCTCAGATACATAACAAAGACAGGATGAAATCAGTCACCCTCCACCAGGCCTTAAGATGCCTCACTTTTCTCCCTACCCACTCAACTGCACACTTACCTTATTTTATATATAGCATCACAGAGCGCCCAGCAGAAGCAAAGGAATGCAACAATTGCTTCTCTCCCTGCTTCTCTCACCTCCTGGACCACACATATCCCCCTGTTATATATACTGTGCCCCACATAACCCCCTGTGGGACATATTCTGGGTTGTACTGAGTCCGTGTTGATAGGGTTAAGTTCTTAAGCTCGGCACAAGATGAATTTAACCATGATTTCTCTAAGTTATAGTGCCTACTGTTTCACCAGACACCTACAATCTATATTGTTCTAGAATCTGCAGTGTCCAGGGTTTGAGCAAGATACTTTAGTGAATATAAACATTAAGGAGACATTGCCTTTTCCCAAGGCTACAGGATATCAGCCTCTTTGAAGAGTGACATGGCCTTTACAGCCAGAAGCCCACAAAATAGAATGAAGTAACTGAATTTTCCGTAGCACTCTGCGCAATTTATGTGGTGTTAGACTCATGGGTTTTAAAGAAAGATACTTGTGATCTCATTCTCACAAGCCACAAACTTCATGGGACGATGAGTATCTGTTTATCAGGGGAAATATAAACAATAAGTGTGAGTTTTAGCAGTGCATGTATTAATATTATGTTGAAAATTGTATTGTTAAGGAGTAAAAGAGAAAATAGTGTAACTAATTTTAAAGAAACCTTCAAGAATTTGAGGATGCTTTTATAAATGCAAGTTCCTGAATATGGCCAAAACACAACACCTCAGTGAATTTAAAAGAGTAGATGTTTTAAAAGACCGGATTTTAAAAGAATGACTGAACATAGCCAAGTAAATATTCAAAGAATTATAAAAAGAATATCAAAGTAGACTAGAAAATAACAAATGGAACAATTTGTAAAAATGAAAGCCATAAATAATGAAATGTAGAACAAGACACAGTGCAAATGATATATAAAGCCAAAAGTTCATTTTTAAATGGCAAAAAGAAAGAGCAGAAGAGAGAGAGAGATAAACTTCTGGTAAGGCATTTAAAGGAAATAGAAGAGAAAGAGAAAAAAGAAAAAAAAAAGGCATAGAGTATGAGCCATGAGAATGGAAACAGAAAAGGAAAAAGACTTATAATAGAAGATTATATACTACTCCAAGGCAACATATTCACTGATAAAGAAATGGATGTTATCCCTCAAGAATAAACTATCAAAATTGACTTTCAAAAAATAGAAAACTTCAATGAACTAATAGAAATATCGGAAATGAAATGAAATATCTACCATTTGAAAAGTGGACAAGAATTATGGCTTCCAGCTCCATCCGTGTTGCTACAAAGGACAATATTTTATTCTTTTCTATTGCTGTGTAGTATTCCATAGGAATACATGTACCAAGTTTTTTTATCCAATGCACCTTTGATGGGGATCTGTGATGATTCCATGTCTTTGCTATTGTGAACAGTGCAGCAATGAACATCCTAGTGCATGTGTCATTTTGGTAGAACGATTCATTTTCTTTTGGGTATTTACCTAGTAATGGCATTGCTGGGTCGAATGGCAACTCTCTTTTAAGTTCTCTAAGAAATTTCCAGACTACTTTCCACAGTGTAATAATCCTAAGCAAATTAATGCTGTAACAGAAAATCAAATATCACGTTTTCACTCATAACTGGGAGCTAAGCATTGAACATACATGGACATAAATGTGAGAACAATAGACACTATGGACTCTAGAGGGTGGAGGGAAAGGGGCTGGGTTAGAAAACTACCTATCGGGTACTATGCTCACTACCAGGGTGATGGGATCTGTCCATACTCCAAGACTCAGCATCATGCAATATTTGCGTGTAACAAATATGCACATGTACCCCCTTTATCTAAAAGGAAAGTTGAAATTACAAACTAAAAAGTAGCCAAAATTAGATTATTTTACATTTCAATTCTACATAAGGCAAAACCAAACACATAATTTTAATAGTAGACTTTGGTAACAGATGAAAATATCCTAATGCCAAATCTGGTAAAGAAATAACAAAAAGAGAGTTACTGACCATATTGGCTTATGAATACAGATGCAAAAATTCTGAATAAAATATTCAGTAGCATATGAAAAGAATGTGAACATGAACAGTTTGTTTTAGAAAGGCCAGAATGAGTTTGATCAGAAGATCTTTTAGGGTAATAAATTAAAGGAGGAAAAAATTACATGAGTATATAAATTGCCATAAAAAGACAAAAATGAAATAACATAAAATCTACCGTTCATTCTAAATATAATTTCTATGAAAATGGGAAAACAGGAAAGTGCTCTAAGCCTGTAAAGACAGAATTAAATGTAATTCCAAAGGTAAGTTTTTATAGCTATTTCATTAAAATCAGGAATGAGACAAGGATAGAACTTTTATTATGGCTACTTGGTATTGTTTTCTTAGGTTGTACATTATACAATAAGGCAAGAAAGTAAAAACCCATACAAATATTGGCAAAGAAGCAGCAAATTACTTTGTTTATAGATTACAGTATTACACATTTAGAAAATATAAGAGACTTCGACAGAAAACAAAAACAAATAACACCCCAGGCAAACAAAGAAGATTTTAAAGCATAGTGTGACATATTTGGAAATGAAGAATATAAATAGAAAGCAATAACAAAATAATAATGCTCAGAAATAGAAAAGGAAAAATAATTTAATAATCTTAAAAAATAATATAAAATACCTAAGGGTAAACTTAATGGAAAAATCACGTAGTTTACCTCAGGAAAACACTAATATTTTACCAGATGGCATAGAACAGAAACTGAAAAAAGTGAGAGAAAGACCATATTTCTTGATAAAAATATTTAGTATCACAAAAATATTAATGCTTCCACAATTGTCTAAAAAAGCTCCTCCAATACAAATCACAATTGCAATACTTAGTTGGGGAAATTGGGGAACTGAAAAATTAGTTTTTGTTCATATAGCTCTGAAGTTTATAAGAAATAGGAAAGCAAGAAAAAGATTAGTGAAGGGTGATTTGCTTTATTAGATATTAAAATTTGCCACAAAACAATGAAATAGCATGAGAAAAGATTAGAAACAAATACAGAAATAGCTACAAAAATATATAAAAGTTATATGACAAAATAGACATTTATGTTTCAGTAGCAGAATGACTTACTTAATAAATAGCACTAACGTAATTAGCCAGCCATTCGGGGGATAAATATAAAAGAATGTTAATTCATGCTATTCAAAAATATATTCCAAATAGAATGAAGTTTGAAATGTCAAAAGTAAAAATTAACTCACTGTAAGACAAAATGAAAAAAACAACTTGTACGATCTTGGTTTAGGAAAAATCTTCCTAATTATTAACAAAAAAACTCCCAAAGCCTCAGGAATCATAGTGAAAAAGATAATATATTTGATTACATGAAAATTAAAAATTGCTTCATGTGAAAATCTATCAAATTAGAAAATAATTCTAAATTGGGCAACAAATTTGTAGCATACACCTTGTGTTAGTATCCCTCATATCCAAAACACATAGAGAATTTTAAGAATGACACAAAATCCCAGTGTAAAAATGGTCAAACAATATAAACAGTTCAGAAGTAAACCCAAAATGACTGATAATCATATGAAAATATATGTTGAATATCACTAGTCAGGGAAATGCAAATTAAATCTACAATAAGATGCCACTTTTCACCCACCAGTTTGGCATAAAGTAGAAGAAGGATAACATTCACTGCTGATGAGAATGTGGGAAACAATTCTTCCACAGATTGCTAATGGAAATAATACTGTGGAATCCTTTGGGAGGGTAGTCTGGCAGTGCCTACTTAGGATAAGATAAGCTCTGACTTGGACTTATCCCTTTTGGAAACCAATTGCATTGAGAAAAGTTTCCAGGATGTAAAGACATGTATACAAGGATGTTTATTGAAGCATTGTTTGTAATGGCAAAGAAGTATGAACAATTTGAACCCAACAGGAGGAGAATGACTGACTAAATAGCATTGCATTGACTCTATGGAACGCCACAGTTATTAAAACAAATATGTTAGTGCTGTATTGATTCACTCAAAGCAATGTCCATATGTCAAAGGCAAATTAAAAAGCGATTACAGAAGAGATCATAACTGAATATCCGTTTGTGTGTTAATATGGCCAAGGACACCGATTACCCCAAAGGGTAGGAATGGAGGAGAGGAGGGCAAAGAGGTGAGAGGTTATTAACTTCTTAAAATCATGTTGAATTTTTCCACTTCTATAATCAGCATATATTATCTTTCTGATTAGGAACCAACAAAGAAAAATTAATATTTTTCTAGAGAAATTCTCCTGCATCTCACCTTAAAAAGGTCTTCTTCAAAATTGCATTGATTTTCAATACTGAAAGAAACATGGTATACTATGGAATCAGACTAAGTGAATGTATTTCCAAGTAAATTGCAGCATATTTCATTCTTTCCATTTTTTTGGTCATATATGTGTGGCATGGAACTTTTATATTTTAATATTTTTGTTTGCTGACTCACTATATAAAAACTAGCCTTGTTCAAAGCAATGCATATATGAAGTTACAGCTTGATGGTACAGTTACATTGTTAAAATACACATAGTGACTACAAAGTTACTGAAGTAAAAAGAACTATTTGGTTCATACAGTTATTTAGCGTATGACACTTTGAAGAAATTGGACCATGGATCAAGTAAACTAACCATTAATCATCGATCCGAAATTGTCAGGAAACCAGGAGATCAAAAGAACATCCCTGGGGAAGGTATTAGGCTCAGCTTATTATTATGTGGGGGCTCAGTGTCTATACCCACCTGAAGCTGGGCTGGCCATGAGGCTTCAGTTCACTAATCAGATGTGCATGAAACAGACACAAAAAGGGGAAGTCTTTAGGGCCAAAAAATAGACCTAGGTTTGTATTACTATTTCAGCTTAATCGTGTATTCCTTGTGTGTCCTCGGCCAATAATGGCTAATTATGGTAAATACTATTTAGAATTATGTGCTATATACTAAGTGTTTGACATGTGGTATCTCATTTAAACCTTGTGTAATCCTCTGAAGAATGTCCTCCTATTTTTCCCATTTTAACAGATGATAAAACTCACAGAAGGGCCTATGGTTATATAGCTAGTAAAAGTGGCAGAGTCCGTTGAACTTGAATTCAGATTGGGGAATGCTTTAACAGATGGTATCCAGCAGCTACCTGACTGAATATTTCTCAGTGTTGTTTCCTCATCTCTAAATTAAAGATATTAAAGCTCACTTTGTAAAATTGTTCTGATGATGACAGTCACTAACGAGTGAGGTGCTTCCACACAGTTGACACAAAGTAATTGTGTGTCCCTTCCCTGGTTCCTGAGAAGCAACTTTTATTGTTTTCATGACAGGGTCTCACTCTGTTGGCCAGGCTAGAGTAGAGTGGTGTGATCTTGGCTCACTGCAGCCTCAACCTTCTGGGGCTCAAGCCATCCTCCCACCTCCATCTCCTGAGTATCTAGGAGTATAGGCACGCATCACCATGCCCTGCTAATTTTGTTTATTTTTTTGTAGAGATGAGGTCTCATTATGTTGCACAGGCAGGTCCCAAACTCCTGGCCTCAAGCGATCCTCCTGCCTTGGCCTCCCAAAGTGCTGGGATTACAGATAAAAGACATCATGCCTGGCCATGAGATGTAATTTTACTGGTAGACTACTGCCTTGGTTTTTGGTTCTAAGTCACTGTTCCAATATCTCAGACAGCCAACTTTCCCTGTAAATTGGCCTCCATTCAGCCCCTGCAGGTGACCCCTGCCACCTCAAAGGGCCCTTAATCTGTGAGTGTCAGCTTTGTCCTTTTCCTCCCCTTCCCCCTTGACCCCCTTTCCCTAATGAGTCTTATGCTTTACAGGAAGAGTGTTAACATGTGGCACTCACGCAAGCTGCCCAGTACTGAAGGAGTGTTTTAAAATACTCACATTTCCTTTCACCCTATAAAAGCAGCCATGGTGTCTGAATTGGACAGTTCCTCAGGCCCTTTGGACCTGCCTGGCTCCACCAGTCCCTGTCTGTGTGCCTACCTGTTTTTGAGGTCGGATAATAACCATCTGATACTCGGGCCAGGAGTCCACCAACACTTCCATGTTGAAGGGGTTCCCGTGATTGATGTGAAACAGAGAGCCATACACCTGAAGGAGGGATGAAAGGGAATAGGAGAGGCTGAGATCCCCAGAGATGGGGGTCTGTATGTGAAGAGGAAGAGAAAAATGGAGATCAAGAGACAGTACTGGGACCAAGTCAGTGATGATGAGATGAACAGCATCTCCAGGACCATACTGATGGACATGAAGTCACCAGCAAACAGGCAGAACTCACAGGGAGGTGTTCTTGTGATACCACAGAGCTACTGTGCAGTAGCTGGGCACTTGTTAATGCACTTAGCACTTATATTGTATGGATTCATTCAGTGTCCACAACAACTTTAAGAGGTAGGTACTAATATTATTCCCATTTTATTAATGAAAAGACCAAACGTAAAGAAAGCTAAAGGCACAGGCACAATGATATCTGACTAAAAAATGGCAGCCTTGCAATGCATATTTATTGAATCTGGCCCCAAACCGATGTTCGTAGCCACCATTCTTCACCACCTCTCCAAATGAGTGATAAAATCTGCAGAGTCGGCCTAGTTGCCTGTTGCCGAGGAGAAGCAGCAGCTCTTAACATGCCTCCTTTGTCCCCAACCCCATCCTGTTTCCCAGCTCCAACCCTCTGCACAAAGTCAGGAAGGACGAGATTCATGAGCCTGTTAGTTTCTCATCCTCAACACCCCTACTCCCATACCCCAACCTCCCACTGTTCCTTCACCTTCAGGGACTCAGGAATGCTCCTTGCTAAAGATTTGAATAGGGCCAGCAGCCGCTCGGAATTATTCAATAGAATCATTTTGTGGGATGCTTCAGTCCTCAAGCCCTTCAAGAAAAAAACTCTGAAGAGAAGTGGAGGGAAAATGTTAAAGGACCAGATGAAATTAAAATGCACTTTACACATCTCCATTCAAGTAACACTCATGATGTAGGTACTGTTAGTATCGTCTTCATTTTGAATACGCCAAAGCTTAGAGAGACTAAATAAATTTCTCAAGTTCTTACAGGGATAAACGACAGAGTCATATCCAAAACCCATGCATTTCCTCTCTGGTGGAATGAATAAAAGTGAATATTAAGAGTTCTGTGAGCTTCCCACATGCCTGTAGCAGAACACTCCACCACCATCACCATAACTTTTCCTTGTATTTTGCACATCAGATGCCTGAGGAGTCTTCTTTCTTCTGGAATAGAAAATATCTAAGAACAGTTGTGACTGGAAACCTCAGAGCAGGAGTTGGCAAAGATTTTATTTAGTTTCTTAGGGCTAAATATTTCAGATCTATAACCATTTAGAAATTTTTCCCAGTTTCATTACAAAAATAAGAAAAAAACATGGAAAATTTTGAAACATATCTGTAAATTTCGTTCGATATAACACTTGGAATTCTTACAAATGTGACAAAGAGTATAACAGTTGACATTCCATAGGGCCAAACCGGTTCTTAGCCAAAAGGGACTTTACTGAGAGCCCTCATTTTTAAATGTAGTTCAATGCATTGTTTTTCATTTGGAATGTTCCACTCTAAGTTATCTTTAGTAAGATTTTGCCATTTGCGTAAGACTTCTCTGCCTCCCAGTCCTAATGTATAAGCCAGAAAGAACTCAGTTTTTCAGAAATTAAGGATTCCATTTTTACCGAAACTACTGGCTTTACTCTCAGGTTCTTTTGATTAACTTAGCCAATGAATTTCCCTACCTAGGTGGAGAAGAAAAATGAAACAAATGGGTAGAACACAAAAATCCCTGTGAATTTCCCAAAGCCGAATTTTATGACTGCTGCGACATTACTGCTTACTACCACTTCCTTTATGACCCAGTCAGCTGTTAGTGGCCTCTACTGTTAGTGGCCTCTAAGTGGATCCAAGCCAGTTAATTCCCAGATCAAATTCATTCCTAGACCCAGTCCATTTTCTGTTGCAACTCCAAAACCAGTTTGGATCACAAATTTGCTCAAGGAAACTCAGAGAGCTCAAAACACAAATGTGTGAAGCTCCAAAATGCAAGAGGGAGCTTACCTTTGATCCTCAGCTGCTCTGAGAGATCAATGGACACAAGTGGATCCTGCAGGTACCTTCTGTGTTTACTCAGTGCTCCTGGGGATACTAGAAGCTCCACTTCAGATTCTGCTTCTGACACAATCTGATAAAATAAAAACTTCAGCTGACTTAAATTTAAAGGAGTTTAGTTGAGCAATGAACAATTCATCGATCCAGCAGCCTTCAGAATCACAGCAGATTCATGGAGGCTCCAGGGGTGTCTTGTGGTCAAAACAAATTTATAGGGAAAAAAAGTTAAAGTGACATCCAGGAACCAGAAATGAGTTACAGAAACAGTGAGATTGCTGTCAGCTGGGCGTTTGCCTTATTTAAACACAGTTTGAGCATTCAGCAGTCTATGAGTGGTGATGTAAGGCTGCTGGGACTGGCCAACATTCAAGTATTGTTACAGGTGCACACTCCTAAATTAGGTTTTCAATTTTGTCTGACTATTAAGCTAGGTTACTCTTCACCCACAAGGACTCAAATGAAGTACAGAGTCCTTCTCAGACCATATTTAATTTGCTTTAACACTTTGTAGCAAAATTCATTGAAAGGATTGTCTACAAATGCTATTTCCAATCCTCCTCCTAATCTTCTCTAACTGGGTTTTTGCTGCTACCATTTTACTGAAACATTTTTTAAAGCCATCAGTGATCTCTATGTTATTAAATCCAGTGATCAGTTATTGCTTCTGTTCTTAATAGATCATTCTTTAAGACTTTCCTCACTTGGTTTCCAAGAAAACACACTCTCTTCGTTTTCCTTTAACTTCACTGGTTATTTCTCAGTCTCCTCTGTGGACCCTTCTTTTCTCCCCAACTTCTTAATTTTGCATCACTTTAGAGTTCAATCATTGGCCTTCATTTGTATCCACACTTACTCCCTGGTAATCACATCTGGTCCCATGGCTTTAAAATCAATCTGCTTGCCAATGACTAATACATTTATATTAGTATTAAAACTCTTTTCCAAACTCAAGACATATGTATCTAATGGCCTGTTTCATATCTCTTGGATTCCACCCAATAGCCATCTCAAACTCATTATGTCTCAGATCAAACTCCTTATCCACCCTCTCCACCCAGCCTACTTCACCTGTAGTCTTTCTCAATTAAGTTGATGGCAACTCTACCTTTTCATCTATTCAAATAAAAACTCTTGGAATTACTCTTATGTATCTTTTCCCCTCCCACATTATATCCAATCCATTATGACATTCTGCTCATTCTGGTTGGGAGAAAATTCTTCATGCCTCTCACATTTCTGCATGTCTTAGGAGCAGAGACATTGACAGCCTTTGCTCCTAACTTTTCAAGGATGTTTGTAAAGAGTACAGCTTGGAAGCTAGAGATACTGCTTTCTTCTGAAGCAGAAGGCAGTTTTGCTGCAACACACATCTATTGCATTTGCGACATTAATCTGTCTTTCTGTATTTCCTCTGTAGGACTTGTGGAGCAAAGATGACTGACACAAACACATAACTCATTCTGCCTGGTGAAGGCATATAAAATCCTGCCTTTACCTGGAAGCTTGTGTCATCTGCCAGCATTTCTGCATCTGTGCCCCTGTAAACTTTTAGATGCTTCACAGTTCTCGGCAGTCTTTTCTGGATGGAGAATGTCTTTAGTCTTTTCTCTATGTAAAACCAGAATGCTCTTTTTAAAACAAAAGCCACATTTTGTTATTTGTTGTGCAACTCCTGCTGTCACTCCCAATCTCATTCAGAGAAAGATATATAAAAGCCTTATAACAGCCCTCTAAGTTTTCCATGACTTAGAATCCAGTCACCTCTCTGACATCCCTCCAGTCATGTCCCTGACTTCAATCTCTTTGCCTTCTCTGCTTTAGGCACTTTGCTGTCCTTTTTCTTCTGCTTGCATTCTGTTTTCTCATTATACCTATAGAAAACCTTATTACCTTATTTAAGTCTTCACCTTAAAGCCACTTGCTCGATGAGGCATCCTGTGACCATCCTATTAACAATTACAACTGTTCCCTTAGTTTCTCTGCAATGCTCCTGTTCCCCATGGTCATTCTCTGCCTCTTATCTTTTTCTTTTTTTGACAGGGTCTCAGTCTGTCACCTAGGCTGGAGTGCAGTGGCTGGATCATGAGTCGCTGCAACCTTGAGCTTTAAGGCTCAAGCATCCTCCCACCTCAGTCTCCTGATTAGCTGGGACTACAGGCATGAATCAATGTGCCTGGCTAATTGTCTTATTTTTATGTTATAGAGATGGTGGGGGGGTGGTCTTCGTTTTGCAGGCTGGTCTCAAACTACTGGTTATAGTTTTATAATTTTCTGTGCCACACTCTGATACCCCAAAATATCTAGCAGAGACAAACATAAAACCCCGAAAAAAATGTATGCTGACAATTCTGAAGACATTTCTATTTTTGTATTACAATAATTTTTATGCTAGCTTCTTAAAAATTTACTTAAGTAACGTGAATGTAAAAAAACTTTTTTACTTAATCTAGGAGAGTTCTTTTATGTAGAAGCCAATTTCTAGTCACAACATATAATGTAATACGTGTGCATGCACATAAACACATCTATATGTATATACACACGAAGATCCAAAAGCTTTTACCTTGGAACTCTAGCCATGAGATAGTAATATAGTCTCAACTGTCTGCAAACATGTCCACATGGCTGAACTTTGTTAGCCTTGATAAGTAATCCAGGGAAGGCTGTGAACCAAATTTTAAATAAAAGGAGTTACTGTGGCAGTTTGATTTTTAAAGGCCAAAACTCCCTATACTGCCAGAACACTGGGGTCAAAAATGGCACCACATGAGATCATCACATATTAACCTGGCCTGACCCTGCTTAAAATAGCAGCACAAAAGCCCACTTTCCCATTCAACAGCAAACTCCAGATTCCAAACTATACTGGAGCCAAACAGTGTCACAAAAGAGTATCAGTTTATCAAATTCGAATTTCCCATGACTGTATCAGACACATGCAAACAATTACTAAAACACAATCCAACTGCTGCAGCATCAAACAAGCCCCAAAAGTCTACAATGTGAAAGAGTTGTGGTGCTTCCTCTCTCCATTGGTTGGGCTCAATCGACCTGAAATAAAAATTCCTTCAGAATTTCTCAGATGGAGAGGAGCTGATCCCACTGTCTGGTTCCCACAAATGACACTCACTTGCCTGGATACACACACAATGACAAACAAGCTCCTAAGAGTGGCCGTACTGAAATAGTCAGGGTACTTCCCTCTTTTCACAAGTTGGGCTTGTTCAAACTGCAAATGGAAATTCCTTTAAAAATTTCCCAAACTGAGAGGAGGAGATCTTTCTGTCTGGGCCCACAGAGGAGAGTCACCTATCTGGATGCAGATATCAAATTTCAAAGGCAGTTCTCCCAAGGCAATCAGGAACATGGTTGGGGCCAGCTGTGGCTGGCCCTAGAGAGAGGGTACTCATCTCTAGCCAAAATTGGGTAAGCAGCTGCTTAGGAGGACTTTGAGATTCCTCGCCCATGGCAGCTGAGCCAAAGTGTTCCTGGCTGGGGAAGCAAAATCTGTTAGTGAAACACCAGGAGTGTGGTCTAGGTCCTGCTGCTCACTGCACAGAAAACCAATTCATATCAACAATTATTGCCAAGGAAGAAGGCTGAATCGGATGTTGTAGCAGAGGAGATGGCAGTTCAGTGTCAAATCCATCTCCCTGACCAACTAAAATTATAAGTTTACATAGCAGGGAAGAAATGGGTAGAAAATGGGTTTTTCTACAATGGGTAGAAAAACAGGAACTCAGGAGACCTAAGGAAGCAATCATAATGTATGAGGTGCCTGGTGTGCCATCGTCTGGATGGGATCATCTGGTGAGTTTCAGTTCTTTTATACTTTTTGAGGGACCTAGGGGTCCTTTACCAAGGATGAAACTCATAGAAAACAAATAAAAGTTTCAAGCTTTAAGACCAGAATGGTCAATTTCTATGTTTATATAAAGAACTATCCATGGAACTACAGGGGAGGTTTCAATTCAAGTGCCAGTGCTAGCTGCAATCTGCCTCAAGTCTGCCTAGGCTTCTTTCAAACTGTCTCAGGACCTTGGCCAGGAGAATAGCTTTCTCTCCCATCTGAGGGCTCCTCTCCCATCTGTAGGGCTGCTGAGATAGCCAAGTTCTTAGAATACCTCAGTTCCAGAGCAGACTCCTTTGCATCAGCCTTTCAGACCAGCTCTGGACTCTCTCTAGATCTCAGCCCGTGTTTATGGTGTGCAGGGGGATAAGGCGGAACTAGACCCCTATGACTTCCTCCCAGAAACACATGCTATCTGACAGAGTGGTTATTCTGCAGGACTCTAGCAGGGGATTCTCCAAGTCCACTTCTCTGATGTAGCTAATCTATGGATCAAAACTGAAAGGTTTAGCCTTCTGTGTCACTGCTTCTGGGCCCTCTGGGCCTAGCTCAGCTCTGATATCAGTCCCATCATACTCAGTATTAGTCATAAGTGACTTCCCGAAACACTCATTGCAGCTTGGATTCTGGCACAAACATGGGATCTCTGAATGGAAGCAATGAATTCTGGTTTTAATTGTGCTGAGGTTATGCTAATCAGCTTTGGGCTTTTCAGGCTGTGTGAGAGACCTGTGATTCTAGGTCTCTCCAGCTGCCTAGCCCTGAATCTTCTTCCAACCTTTGGGACACCGCAGGTCCTTCAGGGGGTCATGGTGGAGTAGACACCTAGGACACTATTTAGGCATGGCCCTACTTTCAAAAAGGGTCCCAAATTTGAGATTCCAGCTTTATCACCAATGATATCACCCAATGAAACTCAGACACAATGAAGAGAACACATTCACCATCAATTACATGCTGCCAGAAATCCACCCTATATCAATGCTTTATAATTCCTGTACTGATCTTGTGAGTAGAACAACAGTATTGCATGGCATTTTTGTGGTTGTGAGCATACATTTATAAAATATACACATTTTAAAGCTATTATATTATCAATGTTTTGATCTATCTTTATTTTTTGGTATACTTCATACTACAAAGAGTGGCAATAAGCTGGCCACCTTTGAACCCCTGTGAAGCCCTGAAACTGTTGCTCATGGCAGGGAATGGGGACTGCATGGCTGAGTGTCTGTGGGAGGCTGCTGGAGCTGCTACCTCTGTATATTCTCACAATGTGTCTAGGATCTCTGGGATGCTTCGTTCATATTAATGTCCTTAATTAGCCTTTAGCAATGTGAAACTGGAATGCAGCAGCCAACTTAGGAAGACATGTGATAGCTGTTAGCACCTACCCATAGAATCCAAAAACTTCCTAGAGTTTCTGAGGAGACTTACCTTTGCAAGATCTTCTGGTGGACTTTGGAGAGACCTAAAGATCAAAGAATCACTCTATCCCAATCTAAGTTATAATAAATTCTTTCAACATTGCCTCGAGGCAGTGACTAGATGCGTGTACATCTCTTCTGTGTAGTAGTACATTCCTGATTTCTGTTCAACAGGGAACTCACCAAGAGACTCTCATACTCTCAAATCCTGGAGAAATTCTCTTTCACTGGAAGTCTTTCCAGGGAAAAAGTTTTCTTTTCTGGCTTCTAAGATGACAGGTGGGCACTGTGACCTGGGATTCCCCCGAAATACTTGCTCTATTTCAGAATTCTAATGAAGTTCCTCCTAATGGTAAAAAGGAGCACCCTAACTCTTAATTCAGGAGCTTTGGTGATTGAGCAGATCCTTCACATCTGGACACTGAGGGAGGGGTTGTTCATTCAGTCAGAAGACCTTGAACTGATGGTGGCTTTAGATGTGGTTGCAGTTTTCTGTAGCAAAAGAAAGGTGTTTTAACTGACTGGGGGCTGGTGAGAAGGCATAGAAGAGCCAAGTAAACACAGGTTCTTTAGGGTCAAAAAGCCTGATAGCACCAATTTAAATGGATCCCAGAAAAGAGTGAGGGTTTCTGGAGTTTGAAATAAACAACAATCTGCCCTGTAGAAAAACTTGACACCAAAGTGGAATCTTGAAGCTTTTACAGAGGAAGCAATGGGATGTATAGATACTTCATGGAGAGACCAATTCGTGCCAAACTGTTCTGGGTTGGTGATGAGGTTCAATGCCTCCAGGGAAATCAGGAAGTTGTATATGGTTTTAGCTAGATCAGGGAATTGGGAAAGTGTGGGATCCACAGGACATGCTTTCTTGTCTTGGGGCATCCAAGAACATTTTAAAGCTCTAAAGCTGTCTTATGTTTTCTGGTTTTCTTAGAGTCTAAAGAAGAGAAAAACAGGAACTTTCGCTATACTACAAAGCAATAGAGGACTCTCTTTGTTGCTCCTAAATATTTTCTTTCTGATTCTTTCATCTTCTGTTCCCCATTTTTCTACACCAAATTTAGCTTTCATTATTTGCTTAGTCCCTGCTAATGCATTCTCTAAACCCATGTCATAAAACTGTGGTTAAGAAAGACACCCAAAGTCTTCTTCCTTCCTCCTTTGTGACGAAAAAGTTGATCTGAGCACCTGCCTAACTTTCTGAAAGAGAGGAAAATCAGGTAGAAAGTTTATCAGAGATGGTCTAGTCTCAAGAAACTAAGTCCTGGAATGTAGACACATGATTGCATAGACACATGATTGAATGTGCAAAACTTGAGACCAGAGCCCAGACGTTCTAAATCCCAAGCCGTTGTTCTTTTTTTGTAAGATGCTGGTTTCCACTTTGTGATGAATTTTGCATGTTGTACCTCCAAATATCTCATCATGAGTCTCTTCCTCTTGTGGCTTTAGTTGAATTAGTTTACACAGATATTTGATCTGGGAACTTTTCTCTCCCTCTAGCCTGGTACTGGCTTGAATATCTTGAACAACAAGTCCTATTATGTTAAGGGAAAATTTGATTGATTAATCCTCAAATACATATTTTTATCTTTTCTAGCCTAACATGTTATTTCTCTTATTATACTTATCATCAGAAAATCTGGAAGATTCAGTAACCATCAGAACTCTGAAATACAAGTCATACTTAATGGGAGAAATAGGCCAACAGTAGTTTTCCTCTGTTGTGTTTACCTTTCTTTTTTTTGTAGAACTATTTTATTGAGGTATGATTGACATACAATAAGCTGTATGTGTTTAATGTATAAACCTTGATGAAGATAGAGATGAATACATACTCATGAAACCATCACCACAACCTATGCCATAAACATATTCGTCACTTCCAAAAGTTTTGTCTGCTCTATTTATTATCATTATTGTTTGCATATATGTGTTTGGTAAGATCATTTAACATAAGGTTTGCCATCTTTCTTTCCAAATTAGCAGGAGTCCTGTCTCTGATGCTGCTGAGGCACTTTGAAAATCACTATTTAGAAATCTGATGAGATGCCACACAACTAGACATCAGCAAAATGTCAGAATGGGACTTTCTAGTACTTATCCTCACACAAGAACATCAATTTAAACAACTATCTGTGGACAAAAATACCTTCACAAGAGCTAGGGATACCAGGTGAAAAAACACAGAATCTTTGTGTAGCAGAGAAATAAGAAAAGATGAATTGAAGAGCATAGGAAGAACAATTTTACATTACCTATGTCATCCCTCCCACAATAACGGACAGCAGAGCACAGAGAGAGGCAACCTTTGTATTGAAGAAGAAAAGGGAAGTGGGCACTGAACTTTGCCTTCGACGGAAACACAGCCTGATTCAGTGAAATACAGTAATAGGTATGCCGCTATGGCCTCAAACTCCAGGCTCGTAGCTGCAGACTAAGCCAGAGCAGATCCCACAGCCCAGGTTCCAGACTTGCCTGGCAGACATGGTTTCTGGATATATCTTAATGCCAGATCTACCCCAGTGCCCTAGGTGTCAGATGCTCCCTGGGACCAGCCCAGCCCCAGTGACTCCAGGCTCCAGACTGCTCCCAGGACCAGGCTGCCTTCCACAACTCCGGGTTTCACACCAGCCCCAGGGCCAGGCTGGCCCCTTGAACTCTAGTGACCAGGCCAGTGTCCATCGATCCAACCTCCAGGCTGGCCCCTGTGAATACGGGCTCCAGGACTGCCTAGTGCCAGGCTAGCCCCTGTGGTCACAAGCTCCAAGTCTACCCTAGGTTCCAGACCAGCCCAGAACTATGTTGGCTCACACAAATCCAGGATTCAGGCCAACCCCAGTTCCAGGTGGGCAGCCCTAGCACTAGCCCTTAGCTAGGTATCTGGCAAGCATCTGCAGACACAGGCTTCAGGCCAACCTAGCACTCAGCTAATTTCTGCCACCCCACTCTTGAGGCCAGTTCCCAGGGTCACATGCTCCAGCAGACCCAGGGTCCAGACCCATCACAGTTGACTCCACTATTGGGCTTGTGCCCACAGACCCAGTATCTAGCACTGCTTCTGTGGGCCCAGGTTCCAGTCCAGTTCCTCCAGCCCTGGGACCCTAGGCAGCCTTCGTGGACCTAGTCTCCATGCTAGCCCTGAAGACCTAGGTTCTAGGCCAGAATTCACACACCCGGCCTCCAGGCCATTCCGCAGTTTCTAGGCCAGCTCCTATGGCTACAGGCACCAGTCTAGCAGCTATAATCTCAGGCTCTAGACTGGCCCCAACCCCACTCCAACCCTAGGCCAATTTCAGGGTTCAGGCTGGTTTTTGTGACCCAGGATGCAATAAACTCAGAGCCGAGCTGTGCTCTTGCAAACCCAGTGTACAGGCTGAGTTCAGCAGACCCTGACGCTAGGCTGGCCATCATGCACCAAGGCTCTAGGACCATCTCTGAAGACACAGGCTCTAGGTCAGCTCCCATCTACCAAGATCCTAGGCCCGTTTCTTCAGATTCAGGCTCTAATCCTGCACCAGTACCAGGCCAGTCCCCATCGACTCAGATTCCAGGCTCATCCCAGTAGACCCAGACACTAGGCCCATTCCACAACCTAGCCAGCCCTTGTAGACACAGACTCATTGCCCACATCAGAGCCATGTCAGCCCCTGTAGACAGGGGCTTCAGTCCAGCCCTTATTGGTATAGGCTGTATGCCTGCCCTTATAGACATAGGCTTTATGTTCATCCCCACATACCCAATGAAAATATCCAACCAGTGGATACAGGATTCAGGCCCAACTCTACAGACCCAGGAACCAAGCCTACCACCTGCTGACACAGGCACCAGGCCAGCCTGCCTGAAGACTTCAGCAACAAGTTCACCTGCAGACCACAGCAGACACCCTACCAAGAATTGCTGGATGACTGGGAAAAGGTTTTTCCAGACAAAGCCAGTATGCAAAGACTGGAATAACTTTCTTGTTTTTCAAATGTGCAGACACCAATGCACAGCCTAAAAATCAAGAAATATAAGAGAAAAATGATACCACCAAAGGAAAAAAAAAGAATAACCAATAGCTGACCCCAAAAAATAAAGGTTTATGAACTTTCTGACAGTGAATTTAAAATAATGGTCTTTAAAATGCTCAGTGAGTTTCAAGAAAACACAGATGGATGACTAAAAAGAATCAGAGAAATAATACATGAACAAAATAGAAAGTTCAACAAACAGAAAGAAATCATAAAAAAAGAGACATTCTGGACATAAAGGACACAACGGTTGAACTGAAAATTTCATAGAGTTCTTTGAAAGCAGATTTGATCAAGTAGAATAAAGAATCAATGAACTCAAAGACACATCATTTGAAATTACCAAGTCAGAGACACAAAAGGAAAAAAATGAGAAAAAATGAAGACATCCTTTGGCAATTATAGAACATCAGTATGAGAACCAATGCACATATCATGTGTGTCCCAGAAAGAGAAGAGAAACAGATAGGGAAAGAATGCTTGTCTGATGAAATAATAGCAGAATACTTTCCACGTCTGCGGAAAGAGAAATATACAGGTATAGGAACATTGAAGATGTTTGATAAGATTCAGTCTCATCAAGAGTACAAGATATACTTTAATTAAACTGTCAAAAATCAAAGAAAAGAAAGATTCTGAAAACAAACGAGAAAATAAGCCAATAACATATAAGGGAGTTCCAAGAAGGCTAATAGCAGATTTTTGAGCAGAAACTTATAGGCTGAGAGTGTGGAATGATATATGCAATGTTCTATAGAAAAAAAAGTGTCAACCAAAAATACTGTTCCTGGGAAAATCTGTTTTTTGCAAATAATGGAGAGATTAAAATCTTTGCCAGACAAACAAAAACTGAGGGAGTTTATTACCATCAGAGCTGTCTTACAGGAAATGCTAGAGAACAAATGTTAGGACATAAAGCATGTCATAATAAATTTAAGAAGACTGAAATCATACCATTTATCATTCCAGATCACAATGACATGAAAGTAGAAATTAATAACAGGAGAACTTTTAGAAAACTCACAAATACATGAAAATTAAACAGCATGCTTCTGAACAACAGATGGATTAAAGAGGAAATTAAAGTGGAAATTAAAAAATATGTTGAGACCAGCAAAAATGGAAACTCAAAATACCAAAACTTGTTAGATGCTTCAAAACGTTTACAGTGAAAAAGAAGAAAGATCTTAAACAACTTAATGTTACACTTCAAGGAACTATAAAAAGAATAAACTAAGCCCAAAGTTAATAGAATGAAGGAATAAATAAAGATCAGGGCAGTTAAATTAAATAGAAACTATGACAACAATGAAAAAAAACCCCTGAAATTTGATCTTTTGAAAAGTTAAATAAGATTCACAAATCTTTATCCAGACTAACAGAAAAAAAAAGGTTAATCATAAACAAAAAGGAGACATCACAACTTACATCACAAAAAAATCAGGAGACTATTATGACCAATTATATGCCAACAAATTAGATAATCTACAATAAATGGGTAAATTCCTAGATACATAAACCCCACCAGATGAAGAAATTGAAAATCTAAACAGACCAATAATGAGTTAGGAGGTTAAATTAGTAATAAAAAATATTCCATTAAAAAAAAGCCCAGGACCTGATGGCTTCACTGCTGAATTCCACCAAATATTTAAAGAAGAACTCATGTCAATCCATCTAAAAGCCTTCCAAAAAATTGAAGAAGAGGGAATATTTCCAAAGTTGTTTTACAAGGCAAGCATAATCCTGATACCAAAGATAGGGACACTTCAACAAATGAAAATATTAGGCAATAGCACTATTGAACATAGGTGCATCAATAAATATTAATACTAACAAACTAATCCCAACAACATGTCAAAAAGATCATTCATCATGATACAGTGCGCTTTAACGTAGGGATGCAAAGATAGTTCAACATACAGATCCATAAATGTGAAATACCACATCAACAGAATAAATAACAAAATCCATATGACACTTGATAGGTACAGAAAAAGCACTTGATAAAGTTCACCATGACTTCCTGATTATGAACGCTCAACAAATGAGGTATAGAAGGAATGTAGCTCATACAATAAAGACCATATACGATAAATCCACAGTTAACATCACACTTAATGGTGAAATATGAAAAACATTTTTCTAAGATTAAGGACAAGACAAGGATGCTCACTCTCACTACTTCTATTCAGTGCATTAATGGAAGTTCTACTCAGAGCAATTAGGTAAGAGAAAAAAATAAAAAGTATCCAAATTGGAAAGGAAGTAGCTAAATATGTCCCTGTTTGCATATAGCATGGTCCTATATATAAAAAATCCTAAAGACTGCAGCAAACTAGGTTAAAACTACTGAACAAATTCAGTAATATGGCAAGACACAAAATGAATATACACAAATCAGTAGTGTTTCTATACACTAACAATGAAAGACCTGACAAAGAAAAAAATCCTGTTCGCATAAGCTAGAAAAAATAAATACTTAGGAGTAAATGTAAATAAGGTGGTTAAAGACTTATGTAGTGACAATTATGAAAGTTATATGAAAAAAGTGAAGAAAACACAAATAAATAGAAAGCTATTTATTATTTATAGATTGCAAAAATTAATACTGTCAAAATGACAACAATGCCCCAAGTGATTTACAAATTCAATGCAATTCCTATCTAAATACCAATGACATTCTTGAAAGAAATATAAAACACCAAAAAATATATATGTTATCACAAAAGATCCTTAAGAGCAAAATCAATCATGAGCAACAAGAATAAAGCTGGAGATATCACACTACCTAATTTCAAAATGTACTAAGAAGCAATAGTAATGAAAACAGGATGGTACTAGCATCAAAACAGAAAAATGAAACAATGGAACAGAATAGAACGTCCAGAAATAAATCCATGCATTTAAGATGATTGATTTTGACAAAGTTGTCAAGAACATGTGAATGGGGAAGGGGCAGTCTCTTTAATACATGCTGTTGAAAAAAACTGCATATCCACGTGCAGAAAATTGAAATTAGACTTTATCTCACACCACGTACAAAAATCAACCCAAAATGGTTTAAAGACCTAAATGTAAGACCTGAGACTGTAAAACCACTAGGCAAAAACATGGGAGAAAAGCTTCGTGATATTAGTTGTGGCAATGATTTTTGGATAGAATCCCTAAAGCACAGATAACGAAGGCCAAAATAGACAAATGGGATTACATCAAACTAAAACAGTTTTATACAGCAAAGGAAACAATCAACAGGATGAAGAGGCAACCTATGGAATGGAAGAAAATATTTGCAAACCATACATCTGATAAGGGGTTAATGTTTAAAATAATGAGAAACTTAATAGCAAGAAAACAAACAATCCAAATTAAAAATGGGCAAAGACGCTGAACAGATCTTTCTTTCTCTCTTTGTCTCTCTTTGAGTTGCTTTTCCTTTTTACTAGTTTGTAGTAATCTTAAAAACTCTATCACATCCATAAACCACCACAGGTGAGAGGATGATAGAGAATGAATGCTACAGTATGTGGACAGAGTGGGGCAATCCAGGTATTCCCTAGGGTTGTGTGGAAAGGAGGCAGGGAGTGTGAATAGGAGGCTGTCGCTTGGTTCCTTATTGCTGGATGGGGGTTGGCTAGCAGAGGAGAGAGGGACTCAAGCTAAACTAGGAAATAGGGAATATCTCACACCAAAGGCAATGACAGTTGGGGGCCAGGGGGATTACAGTACATTTTCTACACAGACTGCAGGGGTGAGTGAGAGCTTCAGAGACTTGCACCTCTTCATAGGAAGACATGGGTTTGAGGTTGTTTGACTGAAAGCTCCCAAATTGGTATCTGGTCCAATTTCCTAAAATGGCAGCTCACCATTCAGGGAGAGGTACTGAGAAGAAAAGTATAGCACGAGTATGTGGTTTGGAGATGAAGTAAGGGATAAGGGGAGACAGTGGTACTCTCTAAATCTGACTCAGATAAGCAAGAATTGGAAGAGGCCCTTGGGTGAAATGGTGGCCAACACTTTGGGAGAAGACATTGCACCATAAGCTGTAGGTACTCCTGAGGGCTCAGGGACACGGAAGTTCACATTAGGCAGGAAAACAACTGAGAACAATAAATTAGGACTTCATGTTACTGACATCTGGCATAATATAAACCAGGTAATTTTTTTTCCTCTTTATATATAAGGCAACTTGTCAACACATAATTTAAAAAGTGTTCTTCAGTTGCATTGCTTCAGATCACTAGAGAATTCCTGGCTAAAAAGCAGTGGATAGTAGACAAAACTCAACATCTTAAGAACCGTCTGCTCACATTCCCAGAGTCAAGTGGAAAGGGAAGGGCTTATTTGATCCAATGATTTTTTTTAAAGCCCAATTCTGCATCTTTAACAGAAGAAGGGTGTAAAAATTTATAACAAAGCATAATCTAAGTGTAAAGTTGTAGAAAATTGTTAAATTTCTAGTTAACTCATTGCTACTTGGGAATGAGACATATTGGGCATGGAGTGGATAAAGGAGTGCCCTAACAATAAACATGGGGTAAGAGGGGCTGTTTCCAAAGTAGGCTCATCTCCAGTTGTTAAAACCATGCTCATTACGTAAAGGAATCACTCAAGAACATTAAAGCTTTCTGGAGTTTCTTTTTTCCCCCACTTTCCTCTTTAAACTGAGGGGCTGCACTAGGAGGTACTTGTGGAGCCACTCACACACAATGCTGGATTTTAAAGAGCTGCCTTGAGCAGGGTGTTCTCGGTCGGTACATGTTGGTGTTCATTTGCACCTTTTCGAGGCAGGTCGAGGCTTTCCCTACCAGGACAGAGAAAGCATGAGAGGTAACCAAGGTGTTGTTAAAAGACATTATTCCCAGATTTGGACTAACCCTGACTCTTGGGTCAGACGATGGACCAGCATTTGTGGCTGAAATACTTCAGGACTTAACTCGGCTATTAAAAATAAAATGGAAGTTACACTCAGCTTACCGGCCACAGAGCTCAGGAAAAGTGAAGTGCATGAAATGGACACCCAAGCAGCTGCTGAAGAAACTTTGTCAGGAAACTCATCTGAGGTGGGATCAGGTCTCGCCCGTTGTGCTCCTCTGAGTCAGGTGCACCGTCACCAAACAAACTGGATATTCATCCTATGAGATCTCATTCGGCTGGCAAACCCCAATTATAAGTCATATTATAGGTGATCTCCATGAGCTTTGAGAGCTAACCTTAA